>NC_000023.11:21834457-22137488 GCF_000001405.40 Homo sapiens
AACATGCTAAGAATAACTTGGAGTGAAATTTTTCTGTATGAGCTTTCTACGTTTATATCTATCACTTGAATCAAAAAATGTTATTCATTGGTTCAGTATACTCAGTACTGAAGAGTAAAATGCTGCAATAATTATGATTTTTAATACTATTGACATAGAGAACCAATTATTAACAACCAGCATTGCTCAGCTTTTGCTATGTTATGCTGCAGCAACAAACCCTAAAATAAACAACTATATTTAATTTTGTGTTTCTTAATTCCACTTAGGCCATAAGTCTTACAAGAAAAAGTATTACTAGGAAATTCTTCACATCTTGCAAGGGTAAATTTAAAGCAGAATTTTAGCTTTGCCACCTTAAAATTTCACAAGCAGGAAAAACCCAAAAATCCTGCTCTTAAGGTGAAAGCGAACATCTATTTATGTGGTACATAACACTGGCATTAAGGTCAGGCACAGTGGCTCACACCTGTAAATCCCAGTACTTTGGGAGGCCAAGGTGGGAGGATTGCTTGAGTTGAGGAGTTTGAGACCAGCCTGGGCAACAAAGCGAGGCCCTCATCTCTACAAAAACATTTTTAAAAAATTAGCCAGACATGGTGGCATGCACCTGTGGTCCCAGTTACTTCGGAAGCTGAGCTGGGAGGATCACTTCCCCAGAAGGTTGAGGCTGAAGTGAGTTGTGATAGTGCCACTGCACTCC
Organism: Homo sapiens; assembly: GCF_000001405.40. Classification (NCBI taxonomy): domain Eukaryota; kingdom Metazoa; phylum Chordata; class Mammalia; order Primates; family Hominidae; genus Homo; species Homo sapiens. The sequence continues at coordinate 21,835,161 of NC_000023.11, forward strand.
AGCCTGGGCAACAAAGCAAGACACTGTCTCAAAAAAAATAAAAAAATAAAAGATAAAAAATAAATTAAAAAAAAACACTGTGTGAAAAGAAAATAAATCTTGGGACCCCAAAATCACTAAGCCAAAGGGAAAAGTCAAGCTGGGAAATGCATCAGGCAAACCTGCCTCCCATTTTGGTCCTAAATAAGATAGCTACATAGATGTTTTTTTAAAAAGCTACATACCTCCCTCATAACTGGCCCACAAGGAATTTCCCTAAAACAGTTCTATTGAATTTTACCTTGGTAATGTAAATTGATAGCTTATCTTCACAGGTGCAGGACAAAAAAGACAGAACTCAAAGTCATCCTGCGACTAACCTAAGACAAATGTTTATCTGATTGCTTCCTTTGTTTTTGTTTTTTGTGTTTTGTTTTAAGATGGAGTTTTGCTCTTTTGCCCAGGCTGGAGTGAAGTGGTGTGATCTCGGCTCACTGCAACCTCTGCCTCCCATCCCACCCCCATGCCAGGTTCAAGCGATTCTCCTGCCTCAGCCTCCCGAGTAGCTGGGATTATAGGCACCTGCCACCATGCCTGGCTAATTTTTGTATTTTTAGTAGAGATGGTGTTTTGCCATGTTGGCCAGCCTGGTCTCGAACTCCTGATCTCAGGTGATCCACCTGCCTCGGCCTCCCAAAGTGCTAGGATTACAGCCATGAGCCACCCCACCTGGCTGGATTGTTTCCTTTGTTTATGTAAAAATGCAGTCACTGAATCGGACTAAGGCATGTGACTATTTCTCTACCCCCTGCAACGTGTAAATCGTGTATTCAGCAAAAGACTGATCAAAGACCCCAGAGAATGCAGCCTTTAGTCTCTTATCTACCTATGACCTAGAAGCCACCACTTCGAGTTGTCCCGCCTTTCCGGACCAAACCAATGTACATCTTACACATACTGATTGCTATTTCATGTCTCCCTAAAATATATAAAACCAAGCTGTGCCCAACCACCTTAGGCACGCGTCGTAAGGACCTCCTGAGGCTGTGTCACAGGTGCATCCTTAACCTTGACAAAACAAACTTTCTAAGTTAATTGAGACCTGTCTCAGATACTTTTGGGTTCACAACTGTTTACTTCCAGGCATGTTCTTCTCTACTTCCAGGTATACAGGGGATTACACTTTCCCTGCCCTTTTTAGTTAGGCACAGCTACTTGACTAGTTTTGATAATGAAACATGAATAGAAGTAATATGTGAATATCTGAGCTATAGCATTTCACTGCCAGTGGTAGACTCCCTAGTCCACTTCTTTCCCTGCCTTGGCGAACCCTAAGCATCATCTTGTGATGTGGACATGATAAAATGGTGGAGTCTCCATCAGCCTGCTACCCTTCTACCTGCATGTCCTGCCAACTAGCACACACAAAAAATAAATCTTTGTTGTTTTAAGCCACTTGGATTTTAGGGTTGGTTTCCAAAGCATAAGCTAGGTTATACTGACTGTTGCAAATTAATGCCATAAATGTAGACTATAATGATCCCAGAAGCAAACTATCAGCTCACACTGATGAGAAATACATATTTCTGAATGCCATGTCAAACTTTAAAAATTTAAATAGCAATACTTTATAATTGAAAAATAAAAATTGTATATATTTATCATGTACAACATGCTATTTTGAAATATGCATACATTGTGTAATGACTAACTGAATACTAATATTTTCAATAAAACTAATATAAACATTTAATTTTTAATTTTTATATTTCATGTATTTTTTATCGCTGAAGTTTATTATATGATGGTGATATTCTGCTTCAGCCAAATAGTGACTTTTAACATGCAGCTGCTTTGCATTCAGCCAATATATGTATATTCCGTGCCCCTCTAAAAATAATATACATACAAATGATATAAATTAAATCTTGGTTATGTGTCCTTTACTTAAAATACATACTTCACAGAAACCTGAAACAATTTGTAAATTAAGTCACAAATTTATTCTAAGGAAGAATACCTTGATCTTCTAGAATTCAGGCATTTTTTGCTGCCACCTTGCATCCTCTATCTTGTCTCTTCTGCTGCCACCAGCTGGCTTCCACTACTGCTAAATTTCAGCAGCCAGCAGGATTCAATTCAGTGCTTTGTTTTGACTGCTGAGTCCCTGATGAAAACACCAAGTCAGTTGAATAACTAAATTTTTAGGCTGGAAACAGAAAAGCACAACCAACGCATTTCCTGTGTACTTTGGGCTATCAGATAGCCACATGGTAGCTGGTACTTGTCCCAGTAAGTGGTCCAGACAAGGCTGCGGGCTAACAAAAGAGAAGACATTTCGGTTCTTAAGTTAATATTCTGCTCCCAGAGAAGAATATTGTTAAAAACTATAGAGTCATTATATAAGAACAGACAAAGGTCAGAACAAACACAATAGTGTATCCATAGCCTCAGTATATGGCCAGGCGTGGTGGCTCACACCTGTAATCCCAGTACTTTGGGAGGCAGAAGCCGGCAGATCACCTGAGGTCAAGAGGTCGAGACCAGCCTGGCCAACATGGTGACACCTTGTCTCTACTAAAAATACAAAAATTAGCTGGGATTGGTGGTATGTGCCCATAATCCCAGCTACTCAGGAGGCTGAGGCAGGAGAATTGCTTGAGTCCGGGAGAAGGAGGTTGCAGTGAGCCAAGATCATCCGACTGCACTCCAGCCTGGGCGACAGGAGTGAGACTACGTCTCAAAAAAGAGAAAAAGAAGTCTCAGTATAGTGTTAAGCTTTTAATAACTTCAGGAGTATAAATTATATGAACTCATACATTATTTGAAAGTAAAATTATTTAACTGTATTAACTATAAAATTATTTAACTGCCTATTTGGTTTGTGAATTTTTGAACAGAAAATGTGTTTTAATTTTTTGTTTCAGTCAATGTTTGCCATCTTCCGTTAAAGGGACTAAAAAATTTAAAAATGTTCAAAATTCACAAAATAAAATAAACATATAAGAAATTTAAATAAACCTTCAAGTGACTTTTTGCAAGTTGGTAGCATTAATACTTCAGAAATTATTAAAGCTTAAAACAGCACTAAGTCTTTTGGGATACTTGTATATGGAAAACTGTGGAGTAACAGGGTGCTTGAATACAAACTTTTATAATTTACACCCAGCTATGTCCAAAGAAAACGGAAATAATTTATAACAACACATACACACACAAATAGGCAAAGATATGTAAAACAGTCATAAGCTGTCTTGAAGCTGGAGAAACATGTCCCTAAGTGAGTAAAACTTTAGGAAAAGCAGGGAGAATGAGGCAAATTAGTAGCAATATTTGTAATATAGGTTTCTGGTATTATTGTATATTTTCACTTGGAAGGGGGTTGAGGATACATTTTTATTTGGGATACTTGTTCTTGAGATAGTATTATGTTCTCAATATTTTGGTATTAGCATTATTATAGCTAATGATGCTTTTCCAGAAAAGTTGAAACAAATAACTTTTAAAGATGCACATAAATAGAACGTAAAAAAACCCCAATAAATAGTTTTCTTTTCTCTTAGAGATTATCTAGTTCAGTGGTTCTCAACCTTGGCTGCACAGTGCAATGACTTGAGGAGCTTAAAAAGTATAAATGCTTGGGTCCCACTGAGCATCTGATTTAATTGGTCGAGGATACAGAACGGGCATCGGGAATTTTAAAAGACCTTGGTGATCCTAAAGTGCAGGTAAGGTTGAGAACTGCTGCTCTAGTTCAATATATAATCAGGTATACATTAACGTTAAAATGTGTAGGTGTTCAGAGTTCTGATTTTTAACCATAGCACCATCTCAAATATTATAAAAGGTTGAAAAAAGAGCCTAATTTAATCAACATGGATAAATTTCAAAAAGCATGTTGAACGATACAAGCCAGACACAAAGAGTACTTATTGCTTTCTATTTACATAAAGTTAAAAATAATCAGAACAGGGGGAGGGGCTACTGACTAGGAAGGGACGCAAGAAGGAAATTCCTGAGAGGGAAATTTTCTCCATTTTGATTAGGGTACACGTATATATATATATATATATATTTATCAAAACTCACAGAAATGGACAATTGAGCTCTGTATGTATGATTTCATTACATGTAAATTTACACTTCAGTAAAAAGGATAAACAATTAAATCTGGATATCTATGACAGGGTCGGGGAGGGAGAGATTATTACTTCAGACGACCCCAAATCCTCATGGGTTAAAAGAAACAGCAAACCCCTGACCAGAACTGGCGAGAATGGAGAGTAGACAGCAGGGAGGGCCAAAGCCTAAGAAATCGCTACAAGACTAGATGCCGAGTTCGAACTACTGCCTGGACGGCAGCGCCCGAGCGCCCGCAAAAATAAGCCCCCGTGCCATTTCCGGTACTAGCAAATCCTCCTGTATGTCCCCACTGGAAGAGTCCGGTGGGAAACCGTGCCACCGCAAGGAAGGAGCCGGCGGTAGCTTGGTTCCTGAGCGGATGCTGGGGCTGTAAGGCGCGCGCGGTCAGCTGTTGGCGGTGCAGGGAGGAGGACGCCGGGGCTCGCCTTCCCTCCTCTGCCGCCGCTGCCGCCATGATTCCGGTGTCGCTGGTGGTGGTGGTGGTGGGTGGCTGGACTGTCGTCTACCTGACCGACTTGGTGCTGAAGGTGAGGGCCTTGGGCCTAAGGTCCAAGCCCGCGGTGCCCATGGCCGGAGCGCAAGGCCTTCTTTTCTCTTCCCCTGCCTGGCGCCTCCCGGGCTGGACGGTGCCCACGTGCGACAGTCCGCGTGGTGGATCGGCCCGGTGGAGTAAATAAAACATTGCCGGCCGCGGGAGGGTTGTGGCGGCCTGCGCGGCTGCCACTGTCGCAGTGCGGGGCAGTGCAGGCCCTTCAGCCTTCGGGTCCTGCCCGGGAGGCGCCAGTGGTGGGATCGGGAGGGCCGGGGCCCTGCCAGACCCAGCAGCTGCAGTGCAGCAGGGAGGAAAAGAAAACGTCTGCTTAGTAAAGACAGTGCTTTCCCTTATTGTTTTTAAGTTCAAAACGCTCTAGAGACTCAGATATTGGAATGAATCTAAATCAAGTCGTGATTGAAATCAGTAGTCTCAAATTTTTAAATGCATATGATCATCTGGTTTGCGGTCAAAATGCAGATTCCGATTCAGCAGGTCTGCGGCAAGGCCTAAAATTCTGCATTTCTAACCAGTTCCCAAGTGCTACTGATGCTGCCAGATCACAGAGTGTACTTCAAAGTAGCACACTCAAATAGCAAGGATTTACATAACCAGTTTCTAACTACTTGAATTCTGATTTACACGCTGCACCCCACTTCTTCACACTAACCAGATACCCTGGGTGCACGGTCCATTTTCCAGTTATTTGAGAAGGGTAGCAAAAAATCAGGAAGAGTCGTCTGACCACATGCTTCAGGCAAGCTTTTGGAATTGAGTACTGGGGGGTAGGGGATGGGGAAGAGTAACTATATATGTGGAATAAGATCATATAAATTCTCAAGTGTTTAATAAAAATTCCAGTTATGGATAGCAAAATCTTCATGTTATGAATACCATTTAAAATAGAAAACCATAGTATTGCATGTTTTAGCTTTAACAATAAAATGAAATGAGACTTTTCCTTCTATCATTTAAACTTGTAAAGTGCAGGAGGTTACATAGCGTAGTCCTTAGATCCAGGGCTGGGCTTCTAGCCAATGTGACCTTGGGAAAATTGCTATCTGTGCCTTGGTTTCTCATCTTTAAATAGAGATAATAGTAAGGATCTCCTAAGATTACAGAGAGAATTACATTAGTGTATCCACATAAAGTCTCGCTCCTCAACTTGAGGTTCAAGGACCAGTAGCACTTGCATCATTTCGGAGCTTGTTAGAAATGCAGAATCCCAGGCCTCACCCCTGACCTAGGGAATCCGAATCTGCATCTTAGCAAGATCCCAGGTGACTCCTCTGCACCTGTTTGTGTTTGAAAAGCACTGATGTGGCCGGTCACAGTGGCTCACACCTGTAATCCCAGCACTTTGGGGGAGGCTGAGGTGGGAGGATTGCCTGAGTCCAGGAGTTTGAGACCAGCCTGGGCAATATAGTGAGACTTTATCTCTACAAAAAATTTAAAAGTTAGCCAACCATGGTGGTGCATGCCTGTAGTCCCAGCTACTCTGGAGGCTGAGGTAGGAGGATCTCTTGAGTCTGAGAGTCAGAGGTTAACAATGAAACAAGATCGTGCCACTGCACTTTGGCCTGGGTGACAGAGCAAGACCCTGTCTCAAAAGAAAAAGCACTGATTTAAAGTACTTGGCATAGTGGTTAACGTGTCATAAGCAATACAGGCCACAATGATTTTGTTGTTTGAAAAAGCCACATGAGCCAGGCATGGTGGTGCAGCCTGTAGTCCCAGCTACTTGGGAGGAAGAGGCGGGAGGATCGCTTGAGGCCAGGAGTTCCAGGCCAGCCTGAGCAACATAGTAAGACACACACACAAAGCCACATGATTTCTTCATGTTGCATATGTGAAAAAAATCTAAAATAAAAAGAACTTTTACAGTCCCTAGTCACAAGTGTGTGAGGTGACCAAGATGTCACTGGTTTCAGTAACAACCCCTAGCTCCTTAAGAATGCACCAACCTCTGAGCAAAAGACCTAACGCCTACTCAGAGTATCTGCCTGGGAAATGGAGAGACCTCAACTTTTAGGAGCCTGCACCTTTAGTTTCTCTGCCTCCAGCTTGGTCTGCTGATCCACCCTGGGCTTTTCTAGGATTTCTGCATAGACATCTGTTAGAGAAGTTGTGTCACTCCTTTTCCAAGTCTTGGAAAACAAGTACACTTAAAATTTAACTACCTGAAGACTGAGAGCAGATAATACTACAGATCCAAAGCAAACAGCTACCTATATTCAGACTATGGTCATTTTTTAAGACTATGATAGGGCTAAGATTTCCTTCTTGGACAGATAAGTTTCTCACATGGGTGGGCATGAATATGACAATACTTACTGTACTTACTGTGTCAGGTATATAACACAGCCTTATGTCATCCAAAATCCTATATTAGTCAAGGACTTCAAACTTCCCTAAAGGTAAAACTCTTGTTGGGGCTGTGTATAAGCCCCTATCCCCACAACCCCAGAGAATTTAAGGGACATTATTGAGCCCAAGATGGCTTTAGATAAGTTTTTTACTTTTTACATGATCGAGGTTGGCCTAACTTCTTAGAGTTGTTGCTCAGAAGAAGAAAGCAAACACTGATCGCAACTGTCCCTTCTCTTGGATTGGTAGGGTTTTTTTTTTTTTAAATTATAACACAAGGCTTCTGGACCAGTGCTGTCCAATATGGCAGCTATTAGCCACATGTGGTTATTGAGCCTTTAGTCAGAGCTAGTCCAAACTGAGATGTGCTGTAAGTATAAAGTTGATGTTGAAATTCAACGAAGTAATGCCCCCCCCAAAAGTAAAGTATCTCACCAATAGTGTATGTTGATTACATGTTGAAATATCTTGGATATTTTGGGGCATAAGTATACGAAAATTAATATTTAAAATTTGGCTGTTAGAAAATTTAAAGTTATATATGTGGCTTACATTTGTGGCTCACATTATATTTCTATTGGACAACACTGTTCTAAGCAGGGGTCAGCGAACTTTTTGTAAAGTGCTTGGTAGTAAGTATTTTAGGCTTTTTGGGCCACAGAGGGTCTCTGTCGCATATTTTTGGTTTTTATTGTCTTTTTATAATCCCTTAAAAATGTGAAAACTATTCTTAGCTCACAAGTTGTGTGAAAACAGTCTGTAGTTCGGATTTGGCCTGTGGCCCATAGTTTACCAGACCCTAATCTCAGTAGACCGGTTAGGTCTGTGACCTTTAATATTCTGAAGAATAAACATAAAGCTTTAAGATTATAAACATTTGGGAAGTCAGCATCTTAATTTCCTCTAGAAAATACTTTGTGTTATTTTCTTACACATTATAAATTGTTCTTCAAAATTGAGTGATGTAGAACTTTTCTTTCTCTCTTAGTCATCTGTCTATTTTAAACATTCTTATGAAGACTGGCTGGAAAACAACGGACTGAGCATCTCCCCTTTCCACATAAGATGGCAAACTGCTGTTTTCAATCGTGCCTTTTACAGTTGGGGACGGCGGAAAGCAAGGATGCTTTACCAATGGTATTCTTCATCTTCTTTTGTTTGGTTTAGGTTAATCATTAAGTGATCACGACAGACAGCTTGTTAAATTAACTATTTCCATTACTTTGCAGTTTTCTGAGTTTTAAAATATTGACAATATTAAAACTTTCTGGTTTTATATAACCTTATGGGATTGTATCATTGTGGCTTGCATACATTAAAAATCAAGGCATTTATGGCAATTTATAGTTAGGGGCTTTACAATGATCTCTGGGACACCCAAGATACAGGCAGGTTCTGTAGATGAGAGAATGTGAGGGTCAGGGGTGGCATGGTCTAGATTTCTTTTTGTTAAAAATTTAGCCCCAAATGGATTAGAGCTAAATGTAAACAATCAGATCATCAGAGTTAGCAGAAAATGCAATAGCAGATCAAAGCATACAAAGTGGAAAGAAGGATATAATAAAGATAAGAACAGAAATCAGTGAAATAGAAAATATACAATAGAGAAAATCAGCAAAGCCAAAAGTTGGTTCTTTGAAAATATTAATTGGGCCGGGCGCAGTGGTTCACACCTGTAATCCCAGCACTTTGGGAGGCTGAGGCAGGTGGATTGCTTGAGGCCAGGAGTTCGAGACCAGCCTGGCCAACATGGTGAAACCCTGTCTCTACTAAAAATACAAAAATTAGCCGGGCATGGTGGCGCACGTGGTCCCAGCTACTCGGGAGGCTAAGGCACAAGAATCCTTGAACTTGGGAGGCAGAGGTTGCAGAGAGCCAAGATCACACCACTGCACTGCAGCCTGTGTGACACAGCAAGACCCTATCTCAAATAAATAAATAAATAAATAAATAAATAAATAAATAAATAAATAGAAAATATTAATTGATAAACCCCTACCATGACTGATGAAGAAAAAAGAAACGTAAGTAATTAAAAATGAGAATTGAGGCCAGGCACAGTGGCCCATGCCTGTAATCCCAGCACTTTAGGAGGCCGAGATGGGCGGATTGCTTCAGCCCAGGAGTTCGAAACCAGCCTGGGTAACATGGCGAAACCCCATCTCTACAAAAAATATAAAACTTAGCCAGGCGTGGTGGTATGGGTCTGTGGTCCCAGCTACTTGGGAGGCTGAGTTGGGAGGATCACCTGAGCTCTGGGAGGTGAAGGCTGCAGTGAGCTGTGACCGTGCCACTGCACTCCAACTTGGGTGACACAGTGGGACCCTGTCTCAAAAACAAAAATTGGAATTGAAAAGAGGACATTACTACAGATTCTATAGGCATTAAAAACATAGTAAGACTATTAAGAAAATTCTATGCCTATAAATTTGACAGTTTTAGTGAAATAAACAAGTTCCTTGAAAAGCACAACTTACCAAAGTTAGAAAACATGGCAGATTATCTCCACTATACAATGGTAGCTTTTAATAATTAAAACAATAGAAAAAAGAAATTATTATTAAATTATACCATGTTAATATTTAAGCTCATTTTATCACAAAGTAAAGCTGAAATACGATGCAGACAATAGAAGAGGTAGATGAAAAAGGATGGATGTCTATAACGTCAAAAGGGCTTTCATAACGATATAAGGACAAGATCAAAACAATATTATGTAAATGAGCAAGTGCATGAGAGGAAACAAACTTTTTTATTGGGAATGATATTCAGATTCTTTAGTTATCAGAGAATTATAAATTATAAAACTGCTTAAACTAGTGCTCATGCTGCAGTCAAATATTTGAAGTTCATGTAGGAAAAAGAAGCAGAGTTACTGAAATTTTTTAGCCATTATTTTAAAGCTATGAAATGTGGCTGCTTAGTGAATTTGCTAGTCCATGAATTGAGAGAAATTGTAAATTAACATGATTTTTTTCCCTTTTGACAGGTTCAATTTTGGAATGGTGTTTGGCGTAATTGCCATGTTTAGCTCATTTTTTCTCCTTGGAAAAACGCTGATGCAGACTTTGGCACAAATGATGGCTGACTCTCCCTCTTCTTATTCTTCCTCCTCTTCTTCCTCTTCCTCCTCTTCTTCCTCTTCCTCTTCTTCATCTTCTTCCTCTTCCTCGCTTCACAATGAACAGGTGTTACAAGTTGTGGTAAGTATCGTCTTTTCGCTTTAAATAACTATCGAAATAGAGATGCAAGATACCACTTATGATCTAGTGTAACTCCTATCCATAATATAAATATGAAAATAAATTAAAAGTCTCATAATTTTCAAATTACCTGCTTACACAAAAAAATTAATAAGAATACAGCAAGGAATTGTTGAAATATTTGGTAGTAGTTGTAATATTAATGGTAAAAGAGAACAAATGAACCATCATTAAGACTGTCAGCAATTAAACAGATACGTGACTGTCTTTTTAAGATATTAAATGATTGTTATTTTCAAAGAATAGGCATGCTGATTTAAGATCTCTATAATGTATAAGTAAATTGCATTCTAATTATATGCAAAGTGTTTCCCTTTCCTTTTCATGGCCTTCAGAGCCTAACCAATAATATCCTTTTAATTAAAGATATAAGACCTTTCTGAATGGTCACTGTGATTTCTTAATGTGAAGAATAATGTGCTGAGTTGTACTCCTTTAAAACTCATGTGTAGACCTATACCTTATCATTTTATGTCTCCAAAGTTTGGAAGGGGGCTTTACATTGGCTCACTTTTATTTCACATTTTTACATTTATAGTTCCCATTTCCATGAGTCATGGATGTTGTTTTTAATCATGTTCTTATTAATGGAGTAGACTAAGGATTAGTAACAGATTGGGTTTTTTTTTCTTGTCTCTTTGTGTCCTCTACTAGGCTGGGTCACTGGGAAGATTTAGAAGTCATTTGTAGAGAACAATAATCTCTCCTATGGCCATAGCTCTTTTTTAGAGATTAAAAAGATTTAGCAGGTGAGGCCTCAGAAGAAATTATTTCTTTCTTCAGCAAACATTCCCTGCCTTACAGATGAGAAAATCAAGGCACAGACACGTTAAGTCACTTGCCTGTGGTCACAGCTCATAACTAGTAGATCCATCATCACTGATCTTACAGCCTATAGACATTATGCTCTATTATTATTTTATTATCATTATTATTATTATTTGAGACGGAGTTTTGCTCTTGCTGCCCAGGCTGGAGTGCAATGGCGCGATCTCAGCTCACCACAACCTCCGCCTCGCGGGTTCGAGCGATTCTCCTGCCTCAGCCTCCTGAGTAGCTGGGATTACAGGCATGCACCACCACGCCTGGCTAATTTTGTACTTTTAGTAGAGACGGGGTTTCTCCATGTTGATCAGGCTGGTCTTGAACTTCCGACCTCAGATGATCCACCCGCCTTGGCCTCCCAAAGGGCTGGGATTATAGGCATGAGCCACTGCGCTCGGCCTATGCTCTACTTTTAAGAGAGACAAATAATTCTTCAAGGAACTATAAGTAATTTTACTTACAGTTTTAAACCTCTAGGTATATGGTGGGAGGATAGGTGGGACTGGAGGCAAGAGAACAGGATAGTGCAGGATATAAGGTGGGAGATACAGGTAGGGTCTAGGTTATGAAGTTTATGTTTTACCTGTAGGTAGCAAGTCTGTACAAAATGGACCAAAGTCATTAGAGTGAAGATGTGGAGATCATTTAAGAGCAGTAATTTATTTTAGAAGTGATAAAGATATAAAATTAGTGGCAAGGAGAATGAAGGGGATGGATTCAAGTAAGCTTTTGGAGTGGAATTCTCAGACATTGGTGATTAATTAAATGTGAGGCTGGAGGGAGAAGGAAAAGTTTAGGATGACTCTCAGGTTACACAATTGGTTCTTGTTCAACAAGAAAGAGGGTAAGAGAGAAAGAAGCCAGTTGGAGAAAATATGATCACTGGCTTATCTGCCTGCTAGAATTAGAATGGCAAAACGTTGTTTAGAGAAGAAATTATTTCTTCTCTTTGCCACTCAGTTTATTCATAGTACTCACAAAAATGTCAGCTCTATTAGGAGATCCGTGCTTTGGAACCATTAAGAAGTCAGCTGCCCTCTGGAGCCCACCATGCATATTCATGTATAAGTTTAAGAATGTTATGAATCCTGACTTTGACATGAGCTCTTGTAGCTTAAGTAACATACTTTCTGTTTACTCTATAATTCCTGACAGCCTTGTTCAGTATTAATTCTCCAAACCATGGCACTCTGTGTTGTTGAAAGTATTCTGTATTCAGTATTCTGGTACATCTGATACCCTGTGTGAATCATGGCAGAGACAGATGGGCAATCGTGTACTGTTGCCAGCAAATAAGACCTACCATCTGTTGGTATTATCACACATTCAAATTCTTACTTTATCTCACTCACTAGTACATGCAGAAAATAATAAAGAGAAGGAAGAAATATCCTATTGGACCAAGCTTACTGATTTATTTGAAATAAAGGTAAGGTAAGCAGGATATTTTGTGATATAGAGGGTATGTATGACAGTCTTAAGTATGTAAATTTAGAGAGGGGTCAGAGAAAAGTATAATACTGGAAAGATGTCTGACAACTTAGGAATGGAGCAGGTATATAAAAAGGGACATAGAAGTTCTTGAGAAAAGTTGCTCAATAGGGTCCAAGTAAAGAGAATTTCAGATAATGAACATTATAAACATATCCATTTCCTTTGACTCTTTACCTCCACATCTGGGACTCTAGCTTAAGGAAACACTTTCAAATATAGAAAAAATAGTATTCATTAAGCTCTTTAGCCTAACATTATTTATTATTATGAAGAATTAAAAGCAACCAAAATATCTAATTGAGGAATGGTTAAATTATTGGATTGTCATTCAATTAGATATTATGCACACATTAAAAATGATTATAACTAGTTTCGGCCGGGCTCAGTGGCTCACGCCTGTAGTCCCAGCACTTTGGGAGGCCGAGGTGGGTGGATCACCTGAGGTCAGGAGTTCGAGACCAGCCTGGGCAACATGGTGAAACCCCGTCCCTACTAAAAATACAAAATTAGCCGGGTGTAGTGGCGTGTGCCTGTAGTCCCAGCTATTTGGGAGGCTGAAGCAGGAGAACTGCCTGAACCTGGGAGGCGGAGGTTGTAGTGAGCCAAGATCACACCATTGCACTCCAGCCTGGGCAACAAGAGTGAAATCCCAGCACTTTGGGAGGCCAGGGTGGGTGGATCACGAGGTCAGGAGATCGAGACCATCCTGGCTAACATGGTGAAACCCTGTCTTTACTAAAAATACAAAATAAATAAATAAATAAAAATTAGCCGGGCGTGGTGGCGGACGCATGTAGTCCCAGCTACTGTGGAGGCTGAAGCAGGAGAATGAGATGAACCCGGGAGGCGGAGCTTGCAGTGAGCCGAGATCGCGCGACTGCACTCCAGCCTGGGCGACACAGCGAGACTCGTCTCAAAAAAATATATAAATAAAATAAAATAAAACAACAACAACAACAAAAATGATTATAACTAGTTTCTTAACTAGAGAAAGGACACTTGGAATTAATGGAATTTAGAAAATGATTCAAGCAGCATTGTTTGAATCTTCAGTTACTAAAGGAAGCTTTTTAGATGAGATTTCTGTGTCCATAAAAATAAATTCCAGTTGAATTAAAATTAAAACTTGAAACCATAAAAGGCCTTGAAAGAAAAGACCCATGTTATCATTTTTATGAGCACAGAATGAGGAAGACATAGAGCGAATAGTAGAAACCATGAATATTTTTTATGTAACAGTAACACCTTTATTTTTTATTTTTTAAATACTTTATTAGAGCAGTTTTAGATTCACAGCAAAATTAAGAAGGTACGGAGATTTCCCCCCTTACAATGATGAACCGACGTGAATATGTCATTACCACCCATAGTTTACATTAGGGTTCACTCTTGGTGTTGTAGGAAACCATGAATACTAATAGATTTGACTACCTAAATTTTATATATCAAAAACTAAAAACAAAGTAAAATTAAAAGGCAAACAAACTGTGGAATACATTTATGTCATGTATTACAAAGGACCAATGCTGATATTTGAAGTGATCTTACGGATCAGTAAGAAAAAGTTGAATACTTTAGGAGAAAACAAGTCAGGTTATCAGTAGGCAACTCGCAGAAGGACCAAAAAATGGTCAAAAGTACGGGGAAAGTTCAGCTTTACAAATGGTCAAAGAAATGTAAATCACATTGCAGATTTGAATAAAACGAGCTTGCCCAAGGTTATGAAAGGGTCTGCTTTTAGAGTATAATTTGATGACATGTATCAAAATCTTTTAAATTTTGTGTAATAATAGCATTTACTACCCTCTCTGTGAGGCATAACATTAAACATTGGACAAAGATTAGCTCATTTAATCCTCAAAATTACCCTTTTGTGCAAATGTGGTTATTTCCATTTTAATGATGAGAAAATAGGAATGTTGGAGGAATAATGCCAACTTTCCCAAGGTCATTTAGCTAGTTAAGAGATAGAGACAGGACCGGCCGGGCGCAGTGGCTCACGCTTGTAATCCCAGCACTTTGGGAGGCGGAGGAAGGCGGATCACGAGGTCAGGAGATTGAGACCACGGTGAAACCCCGTCTCTACTAAAAATACAAAAAAAAAAAAAAAAAATTAGCCGGGCGTGGTGGCGGGCGCCTGTAGTCCCAGCTACTCGGAGAGGCTGAAGCAGGAGAACGGCGTGAACCCAGGAGGCGGAGCTTGCAGTGAGCCGAGATCGCGCCATTGCACTCCAGCCTGGGCGACAGAGCGAGACTCCGTCTCAAAAAAAAAAAAAAAAAAAAAAAGAGACAGGACCTCAAACCCATAACATGTCTCAAGAGCCCAATCCCTTAGCAAGTATGCTCATCTAAGAATTTCTTCCTCCAAAATATTTAGGTGTGTGTGTCCAAATATCTTTATCACATTATAAGAGCAGAAACTTAATTAAATGCCCAACAGTTTATTCCATAGAACACAGTGTAGCTATTAAAAATCATATTGAAATAGAAAATACTCATGGGAAGACGTCTGTGATACTGTTAAGTGAAGGGGCAAATTTCAAAACCAGATTTATAATAAAAGTATAGTTTTTAAAATTATGTGTACAGGAAAAGACTAGAAGGACATACATCAGAATGGTTCACAATGGTTTTATATGTGTATGTATGTTTGGGGAGCAGAATTTTAGGCTTCTGTTTTGCTTTGAATTTTCCAGTTTTCTTGCTTTAAACATATTTTTTATAATTAATATAATTATAAAAGAAAGCAGAAATTTCCTCCAAAAGGATACCTTTTAGTCCCAACTCCTGGACTGTAAGAAATAGATTCTCAGTATGTAAATGGTATTCCTGAGCCTGGTGTGTCCCACTTAGCCTAATTTATTGTCTCTCTTTAACAGATGACATAACTTGGGAGTGATTACTTATCTTACGAGAATATATCTTTGCTATCTAAAAAAATTTGCTGTGCAGCTCTTATCTTCCCTTGTGTATGCAATAATATATACCTGCACATTTTAGGAGCACATGATTGTAAGACAACTCCTGCTTCATATGTTTGTAACATGTCTGTAGGTTCCAAATGCCTTAATTTCGACATTAAATTTCAATTTTAATGTATTTGTGTATCTCTTCCACACTATTTTTCTGACCAACATAGTAGACCAACTAATGGAATAGAAGGGTATGGTGCTCCCACACTGATCGGGATCCCTATTAGACCAGCTTTCATTACCAACTCACCTATAACTTGAGGATATTAAAATGAAACTCGCTGATTAATAATATGGAGTTCCTATATTAATCAACACAAGTACTTGGAACCTTGCAATAACAATTCAGCGGAAGGTCTAGGAATTTTAACAAGGATTCCCAAATCAGGCATCCAGCCCTTGAGGTTGGGTCAGCTGCTGCCTGCTTCACTGTCATCCTGCATTCCTTGGCACTTTGCTGGGCTCCCTCATTCTTTCCCAAGGTGAAGACTCCAGGAAGCTAACATCTCAACTGTTTAACCTGGTGTTTCTCATTCTCTTTAGACTGGTGGTGTGCTTGTTCCAGAGAAACTGGCTAGTTCGAAAAATGAAATAGCGTTTTTGCTTTTTATTATGATAGAAATGGAGAAGTGAACCATTGTCATATTACTTTTAGTTTGCAGAACATTCAGCTTGAAGGTTTAATACAGAATGAACATCATGTATCTTAGTGCCCAAGTGGGACTCCCCTGCACCCCCACTGATAATTGCTGCCATATTGTGTCTATGAACAGGTTCCTGGTATAAATTTACCCGTCAATCAACTGACCTATTTCTTCACGGCAGTTCTCATTAGTGGTGTTGTACATGAAATTGGACATGGGATAGCAGCTATTAGGTAATGATATTTACCTTTTTCTTTGTACTACATGCAAAAAAAAGCTTTTCATTTAGGAGGATTTATTACTAAAATCTGCTATATTTGATACTTCACTATTTTTCTTTCTGCGGCTATTGCCTAGTGCATAGCCATCATTTGTTACTTTGAGGAAGCTTCTTTTTTTATAGAGAAGATTAATATGTTGATGAATATGCTCCATTAACCATGGGCATATCTGTAATCAGGGTCTTTCTATCCTTTGCCTTTTCCAGTGTGGTTATCCTCATGATGCCTCAAAGTTTTTTACCAAGTCCTAAAAGCCAATCTTTCTGTTCATCGAGTCAGAATGATAACCACTGTACTCAAAACCCACTCACCTTAGAACTTGATTTGACTTATCAGCTGAAATAATTTCCTGCTTCTGCTTATGTCCTCTGCTGGCTAGAGCAAGAAAACTGAAAGCACTGGGTTTAACAAATATCATAGTCTATCTAGAAACCCAAGTGGAAGATAAGAAGACACCTGGGACTAGCTTTGAGTATCACTCCCTGTTCTTGGTCTTGGCTTCCCAAATGTATCATTGTAACTATACCTAAGCATTTAGAAGCCTATAACACATATAAAATCATGATGGGGAGAGGGCCACGTCATAACTCCCCTGCTACCTCCACTGATAATTACGGCCATAATTAGCAAGCATGCTAATAGGAATGTGTTTTATCCTTTCGGTGTGTGGACCAGAGAAAAGGTTAAAAACCTCTGTTTTGGCAGAGAAGATGTAATCACTTCTTATTACTTTCCAGTTGTTTATGAACAAGAGTCTATTTATTGGCAATAAATCCTCATCTTGACAGAGCATATACTGTTACACAGATGTGCACAATAGTGGCTTAAAGTGGTGGCTGCTGGGTTTTTTTTTTCTTTTAAAATCGCCTTCAGTGCTTTGCAGCCTTTAGGATTTTACCTATAGACACATCGTTAATAACAGCTTAACAATTTACAGTATGTTTGTAAAAATAACTTGGGTAATTTTTTTTTAAGTCCCAACTGCCAAGAAAAAAAATGAACTGTACGGTTGTCTTATATATTTAGTATTAAGCAACAGCACAATATATTTAGGTGATACTTTTTTCTAGGGGGGCTGTTTGGTTTTATGAGACTTAAATATTAATTTTTGGAAAATGAACTGATAAAAAATGGTTCTCTTTTTTTTTTTAATATGGAGATCAAAACCTGCTGAAAAAACTGGTTCTCTTAAGGACAATCTGAGCATTATGCATGTTTAAACATACTTATTTAACGTTAGCTTGATAGGAATACACCTAGATAAATCTCCACCATTATTTATAATTGCTAAGACAAATACAAGTTATTAGGTAATTTACTTGAATTATATCGTCTCCTATGTTCTTCTCTGAAAATAGTTCAGAGTAAACCATAAAAATGTTTTTCATTTAGTTTCTCATAAAAGCCATTTCTGTATATATGTGACTAACTTCAATTATTTGCTCAACATATTGGTTTCTAAAAATTTTGAAGTTATGTCTATTTCAGTATGCCCTATTTTGCAAAATTCAATTTCACAGATAACCAAATCTGTACATTATTATAAAATTAAGATTATATATAGTATAGATATAATTTTTTTGGCTGTTCAGAGAGACTTTCTGTTTTTTAAGCAAGAATTCAAATTACAGTGAAAAGTTTTAAGATTATGTACACTATTAATTTGATAAATATAATAGTATTAGTAAACTCCTTTTTCTTATGTGATTTCTTAGGGAACAAGTTCGATTTAATGGCTTTGGGATTTTTCTCTTCATTATTTATCCTGGAGCATTTGTTGATCTGTTCACCACTCATTTGCAACTTATATCGCCAGTCCAGCAGCTAAGGATATTTTGTGCAGGTAACAGACTTAATTTTGTTTTAATATTCATCTGTGGTTTTGGTTTTGATTTTCTATGGTTAGTGCTTTTTGGAAAATATATCACAAATGACAATATCTTATCTTTTGGTTAATAACTTCAGTTTATAAGACCCCTTCAAAAGTAGAGGAGTAAAATAATTTACATTCCAGTTGCTTCCTTAAAACCAACTAAAAACAACATAATTTTAAAAAATTTAAAAACAGAGGAAAACTTTGTTTTGTCCACAACATGAAATCACAAACTATGAAGAATGTCAACTCAGCTGAAATAGAATGAAATTTGCATCAAATCAAGGGAGAATATGAAGAATTGACTAAGAGATAAATCAAAAGTATCCAGGAATGGAAAAAAAGGGTTATGAAAGGATGAGTAGTGAACTCTAGCACTGTCAGAGTTCAATCAGAGAAACAGAATCCCTTGGAGATGGAACCACAGTTCCAGCTGAGTGAAACTGACATACGACAAATCCATCACAACCCTGCATCACTTTTAATGGAATAACTGAGGCTAAGCAAGTGTGGAGTTAGAATTCTCAAACTAACAACGACAACAACAACAAAAAAAACCTGAAGGTGGGAAAAACAAAAACGGGAAATATAAATACTAATTTCCTCAACTTCATAGTGGAGAGGACATCTGCCTGAACCTGATAAATCAAGAAATAGAGGCTTGAGTATATCACTTAAGATTATAAATGTAAATACTACAAGATCTAAAAACACACATAAACTTTTCAAGTTATCACAGTGAAAGCATGAAACACAGACCAAAGAAAACAGACCCTATATCAAAAGATAAACCATGGTAATGAATTTAAGACCAAAACACATTTATTTTGTCAATAAACATAAATGAAATAAGCTCACCTACTGAAAGAAAGATGCCCTTAGTTTGTATTTAAAACATGTCCCAAATATGTGATGTACAAAATAAATCTGTGTAAATAATTACTCAAAAATAATGAAAGTAAAATGATGAGCAGAACATAACATGCAAATGGGAACAGAAAATAAGACCAAAAGCATTATATTAGACATTGGGGGCCATTTAACAATAATAAGGAATATAAGCCACAATGAAAATATAACAGTTGTGAATCTTACTGTATCAAGTAACAAACCATCAAAGCAAAACAAAAATGGGAAAAGTATAAGAAGAAACAGGTAATAAAAAGACTCACGCTTTAATACATGGCAGATAAGTATAAAAAAGTTAGGCTAAGGTAAAAATAGGTATGTCAAACTCTATACCGTGAACACAGAAGACAATATTTTTTCAAGTGCCCATGGGACTTAAAGTCACAGTAAATTCCCAAGAGAAGACTAGCAAACTAAGTAAAAACTACCTGAAATTTAGAAATTTATCTTAATCACACCTTGGATCAATTTAATTCAAACCTGTGATTTCAGTAGATCTAAAAATTATGATGATGAAATCATTTTACTGAGATAATGTTTAAAGTTTTGCTAAAAGAAAAATGCACTGCCTTAGGCAGTCATGCAAATACAAATGGAAATAGATTAGTTGAGTATTAAACTTAAGTGAGAAAAGAACTGTAAAATAATTAAGAAATGATGACGTAATTAGTAAGGATATAGGCAGAAAATAATAAATTAGAAAAAACAAAACTAGATCTGCTAAATCCAAGAGCTCTTAAAAAAAAATCAAAGGTCGAACAATGAGAAAAAGCATCTAAAGACAATTAGCAATCAGATTGGGGAATGACAATTGATAACAGAGAAAATAAAAACAATTATAAGTGTTGTTTGCTCATCTCCACAAAAAAAATTTCAAAACCCTGTATAAATATAAGAAAATAAAAATAGCTGAAATTAACCCAAGAGGCAATCAAAAAAATCTAAATAGGCAAATAATTACAATGGGAGAAATTAAGAAAGTTGATAAAGAACGCCCTTTTTCTTTTGAGATGGAGTCTCGCTGTGTTGCCCAGGCTGTAGTGCAGCGGCATGATCTAGGCTCACTGCAACCTCTGCCTCCCAGGTTGAAGCGATTCTCCTGCCTCAGCCTCCCGAGTAGCTAGGATTACAGGCACGAGCCACCACGCCCAGCTAATTTTTGTATTTTTAGTAGAGAAGGGGTTTTGCCATGTTGGCTAGGCTGGTCTCAAACTCCTGACCTCAAGTGACCCTCCTGCCTCGGCCTCCCAAAGTGCTGGGATTACAGGTGTGGGATTGCTGTGCCCGGCCCAGCTACTCTGGAGGCTGAAGCAGGAGAATCACTCGAACCCAGGAGGCGGAGGTTGCAGTGAGCCGAGATCGCGCGCCACTGCACTCCAGCCTGGGCGACGGAGCGAGACTCCGTCTCAAAAAAAAAAAAAAATCCTTAGTAAAAGTAGGAATAGCTGCATACATCATAATAGCACAACACTTTGCATTCCTATTAAAGGACAAGACAAATTCTACTATCAACTATTACTGATATTAAATGTCGTATTAGTGCAATTAAATAAGAGAAAAAAGCATAAAAGGAGTAGGCTTTTTTGGCAGATACTGTTATATGGGATGGACAGGAGGGGAAGACATGAAAATCAACTAAAATGAAATACATAAAAAATCAGTAAAGAGCCTGCTTACGAAAGTGGAAAAACAACAGCTGGGCGGGGTCGCAGGGTGGCAAACGTACGCGGGCACGTGCACGTGCTTTTGGGGCCGACAGACGCGCCAGTTGCCTAGGCGCATGCGTCTGGCTATCCCAGAAGCACCTGCGCCTTCCGGCTCGTGCTTTCCTCAGTCTCGCGCCTTTCTCTGCAGCTCGCGCCTTTCTCTGCAGCTCGCGCCTTTCTCTGCAGCTCGCGCCTTTCTCTGCAGCTCGCGCCTTTCTCTGCAGCTCGCCCCTTCCTCTGCAGCTCGCCCCTTCCTCTGCAGCTCCCACCTCACTCCCCTCAGCGTTCTTTTTCCCACGGTCTTCCCGTTGCCGCTAACCTAACTAACTCTCAGCCATGGCCTCCAACGAAGATTTCTCCATCACACAAGACCTGGAGATCCCGGCAGATATTGTGGAGCTCCACGACATCAATGTGGAGCCCCTTCCTATGGAGGACATTCCGACGGAAAGCGTCCAGTACGAGGATGTGGATGGCAATTGGATCTACGGTGGCCACAACCATCCGCCATTGATGGTGTTGCAGCCGCTCTTCACGAACACGGGCTATGGCGACCACGACCAGGAAATGCTTATGTTGCAGACACAAGAGGAAGTGGTGGGCTATTGCGACTCAGACAACCAGCTAGGCAACGACTTGGAGGACCAGTTGGCCCTCCCGGATAGCATTGAAGACGAGCACTTCCAGATGACCCTGGCCTCTCTGTCGGCCTCGGCGGCATCAACATCAACATCAACCCAGAGCCGCAGCAAAAAGCCCAGCAAAAAGCCCAGCGGCAAGAGTGCCACCAGCACTGAGGCCAACCCGGCAGGCAGCAGCTCCAGCCTGGGCACGAGGAAGTGGGAGCAGAAGCAAATGCAGGTCAAAACGCTGGAGGGTGAGTTTTCCGTGACTATGTGGTCCCCTAACGATAACAATGACCAAGGGGCAGTGGGTGAAGGCCAGGCTGAAAACCCACCTGATTATTCCGAGTACTTGAAAGGGAAGAAACTTCCTCCTGGGGGGTTACCAGGCATTGATCTCTCAGATCCTAAACAGCTGGCAGAATTTACTAAAGTGAAGCCCAAAAGGTCCAAAGGAGAACCTCCCAAAACAGTCCCTTGCTCTTATAGCGGCTGCGAAAAGATGTTCCGGGATTACGCCGCCATGAGAAAACATCTCCACATCCACGGGCCCAGAGTCCACGTATGTGCAGAATGTGGCAAAGCTTTTCTTGAGAGCTCAAAGCTGAGACGACACCAGCTGGTCCACACCGGCGAGAAGCCCTTTCAGTGCACATTCGAAGGCTGCGGGAAACGCTTTTCCCTTGATTTCAATTTGCGCACACACTTGCGCATCCACACCGGCGATAAGCCCTTCGTGTGCCCCTTCGATGTTTGCAACAGGAAGTTCGCTCAGTCAACCAACCTGAAAACCCACATATTAACGCATGTGAAGACCAAAAACAACCCGTGAAAAGGAGAAGACCCCTCTCAGACTTGGGAATTATCTTCCAGGACTGCGGTAGGGAATAAATATGCCTCTCAAAGCTTTGTATGTTGTTTCTAAGAGTTTTAAAAAAAAATGAATCCTGCACATTTAAGGTTCGTGTTTTGTTAGAGTAGTAAAAATAGAATTTAAACGTTTTTAAAAAGGTAAACCTTGACATAAGATAATAGTGCTAAGATGCCATAGCTTGTTCTGTAACTATTTTTGTAAAGTTTGGTCCCAACAGGAGAAAAATTCGTAGACTTCACATCAAGAGACGGTTCTTACAAACTGTTTAAAATGGGACTTTTCACATTCTTAGAAATAGGAAGTTCATTTATTGTTTACAATGTTTTTAAAAAACTTGTTAAAAAATTCAAAGTGTTCATGTTTATACTTTTAGGAATATGCTTAATAAGTCTATGTATGGTTTTTCTGGAGGTTGATAACTTTGGGAAAGATTTACTTTAAAAGAGTGAACAATTATATGCATACGTGAAGTATTTTCCTGCTTAAAAAAGTTATATAGGTGTTATTTGTTTTAATCTTGGTTGTAGTCTTGGATGTTAACACATCTTGCATTTTAGCTGTATTAGGTCATGTAGTATTGATATTAGGTGATTTAATAGTACTAGTTTAAACCTATTTTAGTCATTTTATTTTCCCCAAAATACTACCAGATGCTGTTGTTTAGTGTAATTTCTTTGCCTGTTCAGTTAAAGTAGTGCTTGCTTGTAGAATATATTGTGTATATGTTGACTTTAACACTTAAGAAGTACATCCTGTGTAATAGAAAAAGCAAAATAAAACACCTCTTCTAAAGAAGGAAAAAAGTAGTTTGCCTATATCAGTACAGAAGTTAGAACTAAAGAAAAGGGGGAGGGTGCTACTGGCATCTGGTGAGTGGAGGGAGATCAGGAATGCCACTAAACATCCTACAATGCACAGACAGCCCCACGAAACACATAATTATTTGGCTAAAATGCCAATAGTGTCAGGTGCAGGGGCTCAGGCCTGTAATGTCAACACTTTGGGAGGCCGAGGTGGGTGGATCGTTTGAGCTCAGGAATTGAACATCAGCCTGGGCAACATGGCATAACTCGGTCTCTACCAAAAATAAAAAAATTAGCTGAGTGTGGGGCGCACACCTGTGGTCCTAGCTACTCAGGAGGCTGAGATGGGAGGATCACTGGAGCTGGGGAAGTCGAGGCTGCGGTGAGCCGTGATCGAGCCACTGCACTCCAGCCTAGGTGACAGAGTAAGACCTTGTGTCAAAAAAAAAAAAAAAAAAGAGAAAAAGGGGCAGAGGGGCTGGGCGCAGGGCTCCTGCTTGTAATCCCAGCACTGTGAGAGGCTGAGGTGGGTGGATCACTTAAGGTCAGGAGTTCAAGACCAGCCTGTCCAACATGGTGAAACCATCCCCCGGCTACTTAAAAATACAAAAATTAGCCATAGACTTCGTAGACTTCACATCAAGAGACAGTTCTTACAAACTGTGTTTAAAATGGGACTTTTCACATTCTTAGAAATAGGAAGTTCATTTATTGTTTACAATTTTTTTTTTAAATTGTAAAAAAATTCAAAATGTTCATGTTTATACTTTTAGGAATATGCTTAATAAGTCTATGTATGGTTTTTCTGGAGGTTGATAACTTTGGGAAAGATTTACTTTAAAAGAGTGAACAATTATATGCATACGTGAAGTATTTTCCTGCTTAAAAAAGTTATATAGGTGTTATTTGTTTTAATCTTGGTTGTATTATTAGATGTTAACACATCTTGCATTTTAGCTGTATTAGGTCATGTAGTATTGATATTAGGTGATTTAATAGTACTAGTTTAAACCTATTTTAGTCATTTTATTTTCCCCAAAATACTACCAGATGCTGTTGTTTAGTGTAATTTCTTTGCCTGTTCAGTTAAAGTAGTGCTTGCTTGTAGAATATATTGTGTATATGTTGACTTTAACACTTAAGAAGTACATCCTGTGTAATAGAAAAAGCAAAATAAAACACCTCTTCTAAAGAAAGAAAAAAGTAGTTTGCCTATGTCAATACAGAAGCTAGAACTAAAGAAAAAGGGGAGGGTGCTACTGGCATCTGGTGGGTGGAGGGAGATCAGAAATGCCACTAAACATCCTACAATGCGCAGACAGCCCCACGAAGCACATAATTATTTGGCCAAAATGCCAATAGTGCCAGGTGCAGGGGCTCATGCCTGTAATGTCAACACTTTGGAAGGCCAAGGTGGGTGGATCGTTTGAGCTCAGGAGTTGGACATCAGCCTGGGCAACATGGCATAACTCGGTCTCTACCAAAAATAAAAAAATTAGCTGAGTGTGGGGCGCACACCTGTGGTCCTAGCTACTCAGGAGGCTGAGATGGGAGGATCACTGGAGCTGGGGAAGTCGAGGCTGCGGTGAGCCGTGATCGAGCCACTGCACTCCAGCCTAGGTGACAGAGTAAGACCTTGTGTCAAAAAAAAAAAAAAAAAGAGAAAAAGGGGCAGAGGGGCTGGGCGCAGGGCTCCTGCCTGTAATCCCAGCACTGTGAGAGGCTGAGGTGGGTGGATCACTTAAGGTCAGGAGTTCAAGACCAGCCTGTCCAACATGGTGAAACCATCCCCCGGCTACTTAAAAATACAAAAATTAGCTGGGGTTGCTGGCATAGCACCTGTAATTCCAGCTACTTGGGAGGCTGAGGCAGGAGAATCGCTTGAACCCAGGAGGTGGAGGTTGCAGTGAGCTGAGAGAGTGCCACTGCACTCCAGCCGGGGTAACAGAGTGAGACTCCGTCTCAAAAAAAATAAAGTAAATGCCAATAGTGTCCCTGTTAAGAAACCCTGCTGTAGAAAAAGTAAAAGTTTATAAGAAAGATTCCAGAGGTTTGCAGTACTTATAATCCAATCATTAATGGGCAAGAGGTTGTTCAGATGAAAGAAATGTTTGTGCTCCACCACCCTCATTGCCGCTTAACCAGCATGGGTAAATCCAGAATCAGAGGGGTGATCTGGTACTAGCTACATGCCTGACGAGATAAGAGACTACACAAATAGTCAAGGAATCAGTGCTGCTGAGTGTCCCGGCTTTTACTCATTTGTTCATGTCTTGTTTCTGTGACTAGCAACTGAGCTGGGGTTGGGGGGAATTCATAGTAGTATCCTAAATTAGTTTCCCCAGAGTAAATTACTGTGCATCAAAGGATTAGGTTTTTTAAATTTTGTTTTAATTTTGTTAAGGAAGCTATGAAAGCAGTACAAGAAAACACAAGTGAATATCTTTTATAATCTTGAGGTGGAAAAGGCTTAGTACAAGGAACTATTTGATCACACAAAAATTTAAAGTATCTGTACAGGCAAAACAACAAACCACATCAAACAACAAACTGGAAAGATAAAATTATAATACCTGTTACAAAGGACCAAATTCCTCCCTATATAGATTATAAATAATAGCATATACAAATTAGTAAATTAATAAGACAACTCAATCAAAAAATGGCAATGGATAGAAATAAGTAGCTCTTAAGAAAATGGGCTTTAATTTTTCACCCAGAAGACTGGCAAAGAGTAAAATTATGATAGCATCCAGTGTCATTCAGAGAGTGGAAAAATGTCAATTATGAGAGTATAAATTAATTCAATAATGCAAACTCATTGGAGGTCAGCTTTAATGTTCATATTTTTTGACCCAACATTTCCATTTCTAGGTAATTTTTCATACCCTTGCAGATGCATACTTAACTGGACGCCTAACATTATAAGCAAAGCTGTGTATTGCAGTATTATATGAAAAGGTTAAAACACCCTAAGTGATTAATAGTAGGATACCTTATAAATAAGTTGATATGTTAATAAAAATGGATTACTCTGTAGCAGATATAATGAGATTGATATTTATGAACAGATATGGAAAAATGTCAAAAATATATAAATTTAAAAGCAAATAGGGTGTGATGGCTCACACCTGTAATCCCAAATTTTAGGAGGCTGAGGTGGGAGGATCACTTCAGGAGTTCAAGGCTGCCATGAGCTGTGATCACAGCACTGCACTCCAACCTGGGCAATAGAGCGAGACTGTCTCTTTAAAAAAAACAAACAAAAAAAAACACGAAAAAGCAAAATATAGTATAATAATTTGATACCATTGGTATTTTTAAATGATGTATCTGTATATAATAGAAAAGATCATTTACCTGATAAGTCCTAGACCATACTTTGTCTGGCTATTTCTGGAATTTAATAATTTACAACACTTTAAAAATTTTAAAAGGAACATTTTACAATGTGAATTCATTACTTGGAACATGTGTTAGCTAGGTATTTGGCTGCTCTAATAACTAAAAATAAGTGGCATAAACTTTCAAAACATTCCAAATATAAGTAGTTCAGTGTTGATCGGATAACTCTGTAATTTGGGTACACAGGTTCTGTCTTGTTAGCTCTGCTATTCCCAACATGCAGCTTCTGTGTCGTGGACCTAAATCCAGCTCCATCATAGCTACATTACAGCCCACAGTACAGGGTTGTCTCCATCACATCCTGGTGCTAGTAGTGCCCATACCCCGCCCCATAAGGAAAACTGCAATAGGAAAAGGGAAGACTAGGTATGGGGGAAGGGGTTATCTAGTGGCGTGTTAAGTGAATGTTTAACATCTGGCTCTGCAGGGCTAAGGTAGGGAGCTCTGATGGTAGCATTTGCTGGTTTCTGTGGTGTAAATACTTGCACCGTGGTCAGTTTCAAGCTGCAAACCTGCACTTCCTGAAGGAGGAATTAGGAAGAAATGCACACAATTAACTCTGGCAAGCTGGTAGGAGCAGGCTTCAGAGAACCACTGGGTTCATATAACCATATCTGCCATAGGATAGGATATAAGATGCTAAGGGGAAAAAAAGAGTTTAAAAAATATAGGCCTGGTGCGGTGGCTCACGTGAGCCTGTAATCCCAGCACTTTGGGAGGCCGAGGCGGGCGGATCACGAGGTCAGGAGATGGAGACCATCCTGGCTAACACGGTGAAACCACCCGTCTCTACTAAAAACAAAAAAAATTAGCCGGGCGTGGTGGGGGGCGCCTGTAGTCCCAGCTACTCTGGAGGCTGAGGCGGGAGAATGGCGTGAACCCGGGAGGCGGAGCTTGCAGTGAGCCGAGATTGCGCCACTGCACTCCAGCCTGGGCGACAGAACGAGACTCCGTCTCAAAAAACAAAAAACATATATATATAAAAAACATATATATATATACACATATATATAAACATATATAAATATATATACACATATATATAAACATATATAAATATATAAACATATATATATAAACATATATATATATATATATATATATATATATATATAAAACCGACTGGGCGCGGTGGCTCACGCCTGTAATCCCAGCACTTTGGGAGGCGGAGGTGGGAGGATGGCTTGAGCTCAGGAGTTCAAGACCAGCCTGAGCAAAATGGTGAAACCCCTGTCTCTAGAAAAAAAAACACACACACTAAAAAACTAGCCGAGCATGCTGGCACGCGCCTGTAGTCCCAGCTACTTAGGACACTGAGTCAGGAGTGTTGCTTGAGCCCAGGAGGCGGAGGTTTCAGTGAGCCGAGATCACGCCGTTGCACTCCAGCCTGGGCGACAGTGAGACTGTCTCAAAAAAAAAAAAAAAAAATTAAATTTAAAAAAAAATTAAAAACTATAAAACTGTCTTGAAAAAGTTATTAGAAAACTTGCTGCTTTGTACTCTTGAGTAAATTATTAAAATTATTACACATGTATACTCATATACATGCTGATGTGGGCAGAGAAAATCTGGAGTAATGGAAAATGATAACAGTATGCTTACTGTGAGTCATGGGGCTGGTGGTTGAGAAATGGTATTTGGGAAAGATGACTTTTTATTACTTCTATATTGTTTGGAATTTTTATAGTCAGTGTGTATTTTTTAGTAATTTTTTAAAAGCCAATTGAACATTTTTAAATTAATTTCATATTAGGGTTAAAATGTACTGAGACTTCTTTTTCCTTAAAATTGACACCTAATGTCCAAAACTAAGACTAAAGAAGGTTATATATATCCCCACCAATAATTGGGTCCACGCACCTCTTTCAGAGCTTATTAAATGGTATAGAACTAACTAGTCCCGCTATCCCAAACATCACCTAGCCCATTAACTTCTCATTCCCAGTTGTGAGTTGTCAGCCTAGTAGACAGCTGAACAGCTTTGCCCTGCCGTCTTTCCCAGGCAAGGGGGCAAGGTTAGGGGTGGGGAGGAGATGCTTATCTTGCCCTGAATTCAAGACAGGACAAATTCAAAGATCTGGAATTGTCTCTAAAAAGAAGAGTTTAGTATCCCTGCTAAATGTTTGCTGAGCTGTGAGCTCACCGTGGTGTAGCCATCAAAGTGGAAGACAACGTGGGAAACCTGTGTGTTCCTCAAAGTTTAGGGATGTACATAAATTATGTATTTAGAGGGAGAGAGAAATATGTGTGTACCCTCTGCCTACTTTATTGGTTTTAAATTTAGGAATATAATTTCATTGCTTCTAAAATGTCTTCCCACTTCCATGTAAAAAGTCCAGGGTGTCATTTAAATCTAGTTTTTTGTTTTGTTTTGTTTTGTTTTTTGTTTGTTTGTTTGAGACGGAGTTTTGCTCTTGTTGCCCAGGCTGGAGTGCAATGGCACGATCTTGGCTCACTGCAACCTCCGCCTCCTGAGTTCAAGTGGTTCTCCTGCCTCAGCCTCCGAAGTAGCTGGGATTACAGGCACCTGCCACCACACCCAGCTAATTTTTTATGTTTTTTTAGAGATGGGGTTTCACCACGTTGGCCAGGCTGGTCTCGAACTCCTGACCACAGGTGATCCACCCGCCTCAGCCTCCCAATAAATCTAGTTTTATAATGCTACTTTTAAAGAGTTGCATATATAGGCCAGGTGTGGTGACTCACGCCTTTAATCCCAACACTTTGGGAGGCTGAGGTGGGCAGGTTACTTGAGCTCAGAAGTTTGAGACCAGCCTGGGCAACATGGCAAGATTCCGTCTCTACTAAAAATACAAAAAATTAGCTGAGCATGGTGGTGCATGCCTGTGGTCCCAGCTACTCAGGAGGCTGAGGTGGGAGGATGGCTTGAGCCTGGGGGGCAGAGGTTGCAGTGAGCAGAGATTGTACCACTGCACTCCAGCTGGATGACAGAGTGAGAACTCTGTTTCAAAAGCAAAATAAGTTGTATATGTAATAGGTTTTTTTCTTTTTTTCTTTCTTTCTTTCTTTTTTTTTTTTTTTTCTGAGACAGGATATCACCCTGTCACCCAGGCTGAAGGGCAGTGGTACAATCACCGCTCACTGCAGCCTCGACCTCCTGGGTTCAAGTGATCATCCCACTTCTCAGTCTCCCAAGTCGCTGGCACCACAGGTGTGCACCACCACACCCAGCTAATTTTTGTATTTTTTGTAGAGAGGCGGGTCTTGCCATGTTGCCCAGGCTGGTCTCAAACTCCTGGGTTCAAGAGATACAACCACCTCGGCCTCCCAAAGTGCTGGGATTACAGGCATGAGCTAGAGCTACCACACGGGGCTATTTCTTTAAAAAAAAAAAAATGAAATATATACTGATTTTGAAAAGAAAAAGCCACTAAACATCTGTCTGAAATTTGGTGGGGAAAAAAGAGAGATGAGATGAGATACTTCCTGAGCACACTGTAAATGAAGATGTTTAAATTTTGAATTATGGTGTATAGAATTTTTAGAAGAGGGATTAAACAATACCTGCTATCTGGTTCCAAGTGAAGAGTAGATTGCTTTAAAAAAATTCTCTATGCTTTGTTGCTAAAAATTCCTTTATAAATAGTGGAAGTAAAATTTGACCATTCTGTTTCTATACTTAAATGTTTTTAAATCCTTCTTAAATATTGAAAACCCTGTTCTTATTTGTATAAGCCAGTTGTAAGTTTATTTGAGGGCAAAGTAAAAAACATTGGTGATAAAAGTGATGTTGTGATTATAGTAAGCTGGAATTTAAACTTAGAACACAGTGTAAGCCTTGCCAAATTGATAGTTTACATTCTTTCAGCTATAACTACTGTGAGTTATTCAAGGAATATTGAGTTGTTATTTTACCTATTCAGTCATCTGGTGACCTGTAAATCATTTCTGTGTGTTTAGAGAATTAAGGTAGTTGTGGTTTTTTTTTATTATTATTTGCAAACCACACTAAGCATAAGTAGGGCTTGATTGGGGTAGCCCTTAGCCCCCGCTTAATAATAATCACCAGCTTCAAGTCTATGGGTATCTTGCTGCCTTGATGACAACTATAGATTTTCTTCTCCCTTGACCCATGATTTTTGTTTGTTTGTTTGTTTTGTTTTTTTGTTTCTTTGAGACAGAGTATCTTTCTGTCACCCAGGCTGGTCTCAAACTCCTGGTCTCAAGTGATCTGCCCACCTCAGCCTCCCAAAATGCTGGGATTACAGGCATGAGCCACCGTGCCCGGCCCCATGATATTTTTAAACCCTGAGTCTCCCATATTCTGATTTTTCTACTGTTGCCCCAGTCTCATTGCTTAGTATATAAACCAGAATAAAATTGATCCTCAATTCCATCTAAGTCCTACTGTTTCTTGGCTGTTGTTTTATTAAAATCATGAAGAAAGCAAAAAAGGCATTCCATCACAACTATTGAAAAGTGTTCTAGAAGTTACAGTCATTGCTATAAGACCAAACAGGAAGGAAAAGATGAGGTATGAATGTTGGAGGAGATAAATGATTATTATTAGCAAATAATGGAAAATCCAAGAGAATAAAGACTAAGACATCCTAAATGGAAAGTTCAGTTTGGTGATTAATTACAAAGTAAATATACAAAAATAAATGTAGTATTCCTGTGTATCTGAAAGAAACAGATCATGTAATAGGAAGAAAAGATCTCATTCAGAAAGTAATGTGACATATAAAAAATAAAAAACTAACATTTTAAAAGAAGTACACAGGGCCTATATAGAGAAACTACAAATCTGTACTGAGAGATGTAGAAGATTTCAGTAAACAGATGTCGTGTTCCTATGTCAGAAATGTAAAATTATGGATTTACCCCTAGTTATTGCAGTCATTGCAGTGACATTAGAAATCCTAATGTGGGCCAGGCGTAGTGGCTCACACCTGTAATCCTAGCGCTTTGGGAGGCCGAGGTGGGCGGATCACTTGAGGTCAGGAGTTCAAAACCAGTCTGGCCAACATGGTGAAACCCTGTCTCTACTAAAACTACAAAAAAATTAGCCGGGCGTGGTGGTGGGCGCCTGTAATCCCAGCTACTCGGGAGGCTGAGGCAGGTGAATCACTTGAACCCAGGAGGCAGAGGTTGCAGTTAGCTGAGATCTCGCCACTGGGCAACAGAGCGTGACTCTGTCTCAAAAAAAAAAAAAAAGAAAAAAAGAAAAAAAATCCTAATTTGAATAATATTTGGTGGTTGTCAAAATGATTCTCAAATTTATCAGAAAGGATAAGGGGAGAATAACCAAAATAAACAAATTGAAAGTATTTATTTACTAAATACTGAAATATTACTACCAGCAACAGCTTTATTGTCACTGGAATAGTGGAAAAGAATGGAAATTCCAGAAGCAAGCCAAAGAATAGATGAAAATGTATTGTAAATTAAAAGTTGCATTTAATTTAGTAGGGAAAGAATGCACTGCTCAGTAATTATTAGCTAAACATTTGAATAAAATTAGTTATATGTATCAGTCACACCATACACAAAAATAAATTCCAAATGGTAAAAGATTTAAATGTAAAAATCACACACATACACAAAAATAAATTCCAAATGGTAAGAGATTTAAATGTAAAAATAAAACTATTTAAACCATCCTTCTCCACAAAAAGAGTGATTACTTACATAATGTTAGGGGCGAGAAAGTCTTCCTTTGCACAGCTGCAAAGGTTGAATATATAATGGAAAAGATTAATGAATTTGAGTACCTAAATTTTAGGGTTTAAAAAAAAATAATAAAGACGGTTTTCTCTTTTTTTTTTTTTTTTTGAGACGGAGTCCTGCTCTGTGCTATGTCACCCAGGCTGGAGCGCAGTGGCACGATCTCAGCTCACTGTAGTCTCCGCTTCCCGGGTTCAAGCAATTCTCCAGCCTCAGCCTCACAAGCAACTGGGACTACAGACGCGCGCCACCATGCCTGGCTAATTTTTTTGTATTTTTAGTAGAGACAGGGTTTCACCATGTTGGCCAAGCTGGTGTTGATCTCCTGACCTCGTGATCCGCCCGCCCTGGCCTCCCAAAGTGCTGGGATTACAGGCGTGAGCCACCGTGCCTGGCCGACAGTTTTCTTATGGTTTGTTGCTTTATAGTCTGTGACGTGATGTAAAATATATGCTCGGTTTGTTCCACCAATATTGTTCTGCATAATAGTTTAGTTCTTAAAACAACCTCCTTTTTCCAAGTACCATTTGAGTTTCTGTACCCCTGTTTAGCAAGAGTTTTTTTTATTTGAATGTATATGAGGTTTCTTTCAAAGATCACAAATATGTTTAAATTAGTGATATATACATTTTCTGAAAAGAGAGTATAATTAGTGGAAGATATTAGTTCTATCAGTATCAAATCATGTTAGCATGTGGTCTTCCTAGTGTGGTATTAACATGCCCATTTTAGATTTCAATATCTAAAATGAAAGTAACTAATAATTGAACATCTGTCTGCTCTACTAATAAGTAGATATTTTTGCCTCATTGCTTCTTCTGATCACTTTATTAATTTATCAGAATGCCCAAGTGTTGTGAGGTCCAGCTACTTATATCATTCCTGCCCCCGGTTGAGCTTATTGCTTTTTTTCCTCTCTTTCCAGGTATCTGGCATAATTTTGTCCTTGCACTCTTGGGTATTTTAGCTCTTGTTCTCCTCCCAGTAATTCTCTTGCCATTTTACTACACTGGAGTTGGGGTGCTCATCACTGAAGTTGCTGAGGTAAATAATGGATTACTCAGGGCATTCTTTCATCAGATGTTGTGATGTAATACCTAGCATCTATTCAGAAACTTTTATTCAAGATCTCTTCATATACAAAATGCTTAGTTTCTTCTGAAGAAATTACTGTAGTCCTCTCAAATCTAACAAATAATGTTGGGAAACACATTGGTTTTTTTAAAGTTTCATGAAAATTGTTTTTGTCCTGATGCTGTACTTAGGAAGATAGTATCAAGATTTTCTACCTGTAGTTTATTGGTAAAATGCATCATTTACCTTTTCTGTTTATTTTTATATCTCTGCTTTTGAGTCAAATGTCTTTACGCCTCCTAAGTAGTAAGAAAGATGAAACCTAGGCTGTCCAGCCGTAACATTTCATAGGAGTTTAAGTTAATGTCTTCAACTCTGTATTTCACTCCCTTAGACAATAACTGCTATGATGGCATCAAATCTTGTATTCAGACATTAGAAAGAGGAAAATTACCTTTGTGAGCAATTGGCTTACATATACATTGTACTGATGGTATTGCCTGCATATTGGGGATATGAAAGGATGTGTCTTATTGTTTTATGCGTTAAGGATATAGGAAAGGCAAGACAGTCTGATGATACTTTCACCAAAAAATTTTTAATTGGCAGTTTGGGAAAAAATTTTATCATTTTAGTCTTAACAGTCAGCAAGTCGGCTTTTTTTCAATTGTGAAAAATTCAAAATCTTGGAGAATTTGGGAAAAGCAACTATAATTGTTGGGTTTTATTTTAATTTTCTAGGACTATGTCTTGAATTCAAAGCTGGATTATTTTCTGCATTCAAACTATTCACTTAATTAACTCAGTGTCTTTATTATTTGCTCAGATTAATTATAGCTTGTCTTCATGCATTATCTGATTTGGTTTTACCCTCTTCCCAAGGACTCTCCTGCCATTGGACCCAGAGGCCTTTTTGTGGGAGACCTTGTCACCCATCTACAGGATTGTCCTGTTACTAATGTGCAAGATTGGAATGAATGTTTAGATACCATCGCCTATGAGCCCCAAATTGGTTACTGTATAAGTGCATCAACTTTACAGCAGTTAAGTTTCCCAGTTAGAGGTGTGTATATTTCCTCAATATAATATAATGCTTCAAGCACCAGTACCTGCCATTCACTAATCCTTAAACCATGTCTATACATTTATTCTGTTCTAATCTGTTTAAAGCAAATCAGTAAAGTAAATAGATTCCAACCAATAGACATTTTTCTTGGTAAGTTGGATGCTAATATGTGTTTCCTTTATTATATATTGTTGAACTTCTAACTATTTTCATTATATCATATTTAACTTTTAGGACTCTAATATTTTCTGCTTTCAAAACACTTGTATTAAATCATAGCCGGGCGCAGTGGCTCACGCCTGTAATCCCAGCACTTTGGGAGGCTGAGGCGGGCGGATCACTTGAGGTCAGGAGTTCATGACCAACCTGGCCAACATAGTGAAACCCCATCTCTACTAAAAATACAAAAATTAGCAGGGCATGGTGACGGGTGCCTGTGATTTCAGCTGCTCGGGAGTCTGAGGCAGGAGAATCGCTTGAACCCGGGAGGTGGAGGTTGCAATGAGCCGAGATCGGGACATGGAAAGAGACTCTGTCTCAAAAAAAAAAAAAAAAATCAGCATTCAAGGTCAATCATAACCAATTAACTAATTCCAATAATCAAATACCCCAATATAATATTATCTTTATGCATGTCTGTAGATATATTATAGTACTTTAAACTTTTATAATTGAAAAAGGGAATATAAGTAATAAGAACCGGTTCTACTTTGCATAAGCTTATGTCAGAACAGATAAACAACGATAGTTAACAACTAAATATATAAAAATCAAAGCATAAACATTCTGTATTAATATATTGTTAGCCCAACACAGACATGCAATAAGGAAAGATTACAAGAAATAAGAAGGAACTTGGCAAACAAAAAACCCCATCTGGGATTTAGAAAAAATTCCCTTACTTCTTAAAAATTCCCTTAATACTTAAACAGTTCTAGTGGAATCAGTGTTGGCATGTCTGATTCTATCTGGGGTAGAGTTATTTTATGTATTTTATGTGGCAGCCATCCTAAAGAAGTTGTCTTGGCTTCCAAAAATACCATGTGAAGTCAGATATGTTGCTCTGTGCAGCAGATGACAGAGCTGAGGCAAGTTTCTTCTCGGATCCTGCCAAACTTATTTAGAGTTATTTCAGCTCTGAAAAATCAGCTTCCCAATTCTTTATACAAAATCAGCTTCCCAATTCTTTATACAAAATTGGAGGTGTTAGAAAATAGAAATTATGCTCACAGACTATATCTTTAAGTAAAAAAATATCCTGATACTTGTCCACATCTATTGGTGTAGGGAAATATGATTAATAATCAAGAATAGTTTTAGTAAAGTACTGTGTGCAACACAGGCAAAGTAGTAAGAACTGATTTTTTTAAAAAAACTTTTTAAAATTTACTCATTTGTAAGAATTTTTTTATTATCAAAAATGTTTAGACACGATGGAGAATATATTTCCTCAATATAATATAATGCTTCAAGCACCAGTACCTGCCATTCACTAATCCTTAGACCATGTCTATAGATTTATTCTGTTCTAATCTGTTTAAAGTAAATCAGTAAAGTAAATAGATTCAAACCAATAGACATTTTTCTTGGTAAGTTGGATGCTAATATGTGTGTTTCCTTTATTATATATTGTTGAACTTCTAACTATTTTCATAATATCATATTTAACTTTTAGGACTCTAATATTTTCTAGTATAAACGAGCCCACATGTATCTTTCTGCCAGCTTCGGCAGTTATTAACATTTTGCCAATTTTTTCATCTAAGCAGTCCA
The DNA here is from genome assembly GCF_000001405.40 of Homo sapiens. Classification (NCBI taxonomy): domain Eukaryota; kingdom Metazoa; phylum Chordata; class Mammalia; order Primates; family Hominidae; genus Homo; species Homo sapiens. The sequence continues at coordinate 21,871,455 of NC_000023.11, forward strand.
CTTTTAGGGGAAGTATTTTAAAGTACATCCCAGGCATCCTATCATTTCATCCATAACCTTTCAGCCTGCCTTTAACGGATGATGACTCATTAAACACGACCACAATACTGTTATAATTCCTAACAAAATAACACTAATTTCTGATATCTGGTTGGTATTCAGTTGTTTCTAATTCTTTTCATTATAGTTGATTTAAATTAGTTAGGATGTCTTCTAAGACTTTTTAAATTTGTAACAATTTTCCTTGACCTGTTTTTGAAATGTTATTTTTTTGTTGAAGAAACTGAGGCATTTGTTTTGTTGAATTTCCTAAATTCTGGGTTTTTCTGGTTATATCTTATCCTCATGATGTCATTAACTTGTTCAGATGTCTTCCAATTTTCTATAAACTGCTAATTAGGTCCATGGCGTTGATTAGATTCAGAATCCTTTTTTTTTGTTTGGGTTTTTTTTTTGGCAAAAACACTTCATAAACAGCGCTTGGTACTTCCTGTGGCATCATATTGCATCCAGTATCTATTGTTCTCTGTTTTAATGGTGTTAAGATTGTTCAGTGGAGCAATCTGATTCTTTAAGGTTGAAATATTTATAAATTTTCCCCATTCTCAGGAGCCTCTTACCATCTTCCAAAACTTTTAAGATGACAGAAGATTAATATGTAATCCACAATGTGTTCTTCTTTAAAGAAATGATCCATTATTTTCCACTTCTTAAGTCCTTTATCCTTTTCTTTTGGTTTCTCTAAATTTGATGTAATGTGTATTGAATTACAAAAACCAAAGTGACACACTAGTTAAATAAAGTTCTCTTCAGTAGGATTGTTTTACTTAGGATATCTGCATTTTCAGATGTTTAGGGTTTTATCCTTTTCCTGACAGACAGACTGTAAATAAAAATTTTCCCTGAAACACTCAGAAACTCTCTTCTTATTAACTGTTTGAGTATTTCACTGTTGTGGATCATGTGCTACATTTTGGAGGTATTTGTTTAAATACCTAAAGCAGATATTACTCTTTTTATACTACAATCAATCCAGAAGTAATTCTTTTTTTTTTTTTTCAAGCCCTGGGCTGTCCCAGCCCAAGAGTAATTCTTCAATATCTATTTTGTCTCAGTATACATGTTTATTTTACATGATTACTATATCTGATAAATCTGTGCCTCTATTTAAGCTTTTGAAAATGGAGTATGTATACTTAGCCAGTTTAAAGGAGTATTAATGTCTGTAAATATCACTTAAAATACATACTATGGCTGGTCCAAATGCAGTTGTGCTTACAATTAATTGAACACAACCAGTTACAGAATTCTTTGTTCCTTCTCTATTCCCACTACATCACTTGACTAGCCTTAAAAAAAAAATACATACTAGATTAATTTTGATGGCAGGCTTAGCCCCTGGGTCTGTGGACATTTAAGAAAGCTATGGATTGATGGTATTTTATATGTTTCTAGGTAACTTCGTTATCCTTCATTGTAAGTAGGAGTGAAAGATATGGTCAGATATACTATTACAGAGTGTCCAATGATCCAAAAGTTATTCATGTTCAATTTAGAGTAGAATTCAGTACACATAACTAAATTCTAGGAATTTATACCATTTCAGAGCAATAAAGCCACCTAGGAAAGATCACACCCTGGAAGTGCTTGTAAACCATCTCCACCAATTATCTCTAGCCTCTTATTTCATATCCTGTCTCTCTCAGATGCAGTATTAGATTTAAACTCTTTGAAGGTTAAACGGCCTTTTGGGGAAACTCCAAGAAGAACACTGAGTGAGGGCTTAGAGCCCTTTGTACCTGGAATAGATCTCTGGTCTTATCTGGGTCAGAACAGAAAAACATACACTCTTCCCCCATTCATATTGAAGCCTCTGCTTTTAGGGTTGCTGGCTGTCCATACACCACTCAGTGATTTAAATAGAACTGAAAGTTTTAGACAATAACTAGTATGGCTCTTTTGGGGGACTATTTTCCTAGCAAGTACTTTGTATTTTCACTCTTTATTTTGAGGGAGGCACTCCTTATTTCATATATGCATAAAGCTAAATTCCTTTTTGATGAAAGCATTGTCTTGAGTAAGAAAGGCTGTCCTTAGCAAGTCCAGCATTTGAACTACATTTTAAGGAGCACGAGACAGAATGCTAAGGCAACTCTGCTTAAAATGAAGCTGTGAGCCCAGACTCAGGCATCCACCGTGAACAGTTTACATTCCTGTTCAAAGGAGGTGAGGGTTTATGCCCTTACCTGCCTGGCAACAGAAATATTAAACTGTCTTACGTATCTTTAACTGGAATGAGAGAAGACCCTTCTTGACCCAGTTTAAGATAATAAAAGGAAAACTCTGGGAATCTTTTCAACAAACTTTGAGAACTCAGATTTTTTTTATGCCCAAATTGCTCTAATATTTGAAAAGCAAAAAGACCTTTTTTTGTTATTATGAGCATCAAGTTATGGTCCAAGGTTTCTTTGCTATCCTAAATTGAAGAGTAAGAGTGTGTATATAAGTATATATGTGTGTGTCTGTGTGTGTGTGTGTGTGTGTGTGTATATATATATATATATACTTTTTTTTTTTTTTTTTTGAGATGGAGTCTCACTCTGTCGCCCAGGCTAGAGTGCAGTGGCGCGATCTCAGCTCACAGCAACCTCTGCCTCCCTGGTTCAAGCAATTCTCATGCCTCAGCCTCCCGAGTAGCTGGGATTACAGGTGTGTGCCACCAAGCCCGGCTAATTTTTTTGTATTTTTTTAGTAGAGACAGGGTTTCACCATGTTGGCCAGGCTGTTCTCAAACTCCTGACCTCAGGTGATCCCCCCGCCTCGGCCTCCCAAAGTGCTGGGATTACAGGGGTGAGCCACCACACCCAGCCTCGTGTGTGTGTGTGTGTTTAATTTTACTACTTGTTACTAGGCAATGATGGCATAAAGTCAGCAACAGAACTGAGAATAAATAGGCTTGCTTCCCTGTGTTGGAGCCCTAGCTATGTGTTATATATTTAATAAGCTAGGGTAAGAAAATTGTTCAGTTCATATTAGAGATACAGAAAGTGGTAAGCACTGTGAACTAGAGACTGAAAAAATCTCTTCTCTCCAGCTTTATTCCACAGTCACCTCTGGTCTAGACCATTCTTTGTAGACTGGACTATTTCTGTGACTATCTTCGGGCTCATCTTAGGGTACATTCAAAATATACAAGTTCTCCCTGTAGTAACATTATGAAACTTTTCTGGCCTTAAATTTTTCTGATTGTCTCCCACACTGGGGATATTTAAAGGACAATTCTAATCTTCTAGAGTTAAATTGAACCCATAAATTCCCCTGGGGACATCCTATTGCAATCTTGAATATTAGTTCCAAAGTAGAATTGTATTGGCCTCTCGTAATTAATAAAAATACATGAATGTAAAAATTATCTGTGTTGCACCCCCTCATCTTATAGATTAAGAATCAAGTCACAGAAATTGGTTGAGTAACTTGTTCTTTATGTGACCCAGTAGAAAAGATTCTAAAATTAACTGTTTAAGCCTATAACTTTTTAAAATAGTGATAGAGAAATATCAAGTTTACTTCTCACATGCAAACAAAATATTTCACTCTTTATTGGAAAATTCAGTATGTTAGGAGGTACTTAATCTTGTCAGGGAGGCCACAGCCATGGATTTCTGTTTTGCTTGGAATAAATGCCAGAGGAAGAAAAAACCAGAGATCACAAATTGGTGGCAGCCTCCAGGCCAAATCCAGCCTTAGCAGATGTATTTGCTTTGGCTTGCCCAGTGTTTTTAAATTTTTAATTGGCTGCCAATGTTTAAACTTCAACAGGCTTCACATGAAGGTTCAGATTTCTGGTTTCTGTTGGGACAAAATGGAAGATCTGTCGATTCTGGGCCCCAAATTGAGTGGCCTGGCTGCTAACCCCCTAGAACAGGCCATGTATTTTCTAGTTCCTCACAGTTCCCACCACTTTGTTTTTTCTGCATATGATCCACTTCATTTATTTGGTACCAGCTTGGCCCATTTAAGCATTTATATTAGCAAACATGCCGTATCATTAGCGATAATAAATTCCTGACTTCCAATTCTGTATTGTACCCAGTCCTCTTAAGAAAAGTTAGTAATTAAGCATCAGCTGTAAACATTTTAAGATCATTACTGATGCAAAGGCAAATCGGGTATAACATCATTTATGTATTCAGTGTATATTGAGTAATCCACCTTATATAAGACACTGAGAAACCTTTCCCTCAGGGAGCTCAAAGTTGAGTCAGAAAAACAGACCATACCCACATTATTACAGTACAAGTTTAAATTTAAGTAATGACAGGCAATACTGGGAAATGATAACAGTCTTGACTGAGAAGATGAAGGCAGGTTTCACAGCATCAGCCCTTGAACTGGCCGTCAACAGTGAGTTTACTTTTAGGACGTCAAGATGGACATGGACCTCAGCACCATAGAATAGAAGGTGGTCAAGGAACTGCCAGTAATTCAGTTTAGGAAGAGAATCATATGAGATAAGGTAGTTTAAAAGTGAGAAGGAATTAGTCTGCACTCAAGAGGGAATAGGTAAGGAGAAAAATGAGGAGGAGGTAAAAATCCATGGGACTTGGCAATCTGATCAAAGAGAATACTGAGGGTTTTAGCTTGGATTGATTTTTCTAAAGAATTCCTAAACAACTTTTTACCTTATACTTTACCATTAGGGCTGACAGATGATTATAGGCTAGCATTTGTCTGTGTCATTAGATGCTCACAGTCTCCTTTAATATTTTAAATACTGCTCCTCACTCAAAATTAAATACCCATTCAGTTATGATAAGAAGACAGAACAGGCCAGCTCAGTGGCTCATGCCTGTAATCCCAGCACTTTGGGAGGCCCAGGTGGGTGGATCACTTGAGGCCAGGAGTTCAAGACCAGCCTGGCCAACATGGTGAAACCCCATTGCTACTAAAAATACAAAAAAATTAGCTGGGCATGGTGGCACGTGCCTGTAATCTCAGCTACTCAGAAGGCTGAGGCGGGAGAATCACTTGAACCGGGAGGCAGAGGTTGCAGTGAGCCAAGATCACGCCACTATACTCCAGCCTGGGTGACAGAGTGAGACTCTGTCTCAAAAAAAAAAAAAAGAAAACAGAACAAAGAACAAAATTACCCATACAGCCAATCACCAGTTAGTTTCCTTTGCCTCTGTTTGGTTCTTTGCTATGTTTTGGCCAAGGAGATAGAGCGACAGTGTATGCCTAGGGGAAATCCAGTATAACCAATACAAAGATGTCTTCCTCAAACAATAGAGTAAAACAAAACAAAAAACTATTTAAAAACAAGCAAGCAAAAACTTTGGCTGAAATACAAAATTTTTATAAAATTAAAATTACATTGCATATCAACTAAGTTTTTCATGCTAAGTGCTCCTGAAAGCACTCTTGTAATAGAAAAGCTTTTTGTAGTCCTGAGAAACAGGGATAATTTGGCGCTTGAGTCTATTTTCATCAGCACATCTGAGTATGGTAGTTTATATTCAAGATTCACATTTAATTGGTCCTTGCCACCCATAAATTTATACTTTACCAGTTTGATGTGTTGGAATGCAGCAAACATTCCTAAATAAATACATGAAATCATTTTTTGTCCCACCTTATAAGTGAAGTAGATTCCTTATTCTGCTCCCAAATAAAGCAGTCTACTAAAGAACTTTAAAAAATAAATAAGCCAGGCGCAATAGCTCACGCCTGTAATCTCAGCACTTTGGGAGGCCGAGGTGGGCAGATCACTTGAGGTCAGGAGTTCGAGACCAGCCTGGCCAACATGGTGAAACCCCATGTCTACTAAAAATACAAAAATTAGCCGGGTGCAGTGGCGCATGCCTGTAGTCCCAGCTACTCAGGAGGCTGAGGCAGGAGAATTGCTTGAGCCCAGGAGGTGGAGGTTACAGTGAGCAGAGATCGTGCCACTGTACTCCAGCCTGGGTGACAGAGCGAGACTCTATCTAAATAAATAAATGGAATGAACAGTTGCCCCATTGCTGTTGTCTTCCAAAAATGGTAACTGGATTACTGGTGTACAGGCGGGTATGTGCACATCTGTGGGTCAAATTGGGCATCTCTGGTTCTCTAGGGGGAGCCCCAAAGTAAGCCTGGGGTAGAATCGGTATTTGGATATAATGGGGATGTCTTAGGCAACCTCTGGCCCCCTCTGTTTACCAGCACCACAGTGCAGGGGTTCAGCAGTAATGTTGGATCATTGGCATTCAGGCACATAATAGTAGTTCATTAAATGTTTGTGCTTGACCAGCCAGACTTATTATTGTGAAACCTACTGAGACACTGCAACTCCGGCTTTATGGGTAGCTCAGTTTATATGAGGACAACTAACCTAGGGTAACTGCTGCTTCATGATTTAAAATTGAATGGATCTCTTTTGGTAATGTAAAATCAAACTGCAGCAAGTAGCCCTCAAGCTGAACTCTGAATTATACAGTTGCTTCTAAATTCATATGCCATTTTACTTATTCTTTTTGTCTTAAAGGCATTTTTTGTTACAAATGTATTTTTATATAAGAGACTCTAATAAACAGTGTATTTCTCTTTAGCATACAAACGACTAGATGGTTCAACTGAATGCTGTAACAATCACAGCCTCACAGATGTGTGCTTTTCCTACAGAAATAATTTTAATAAGCGTTTGGTAAGTTGTCCCTGAAGCAGTCTTGCTTGTCTGATATAATTACTAAAAAATAAGCATATAGAGCTAAAATGGAATCTATGGAAACTTCTCTCTTTTGCTCTATTTGTATCATTTTATTAAAATCTCTACATTTCACATGTCACATTTCATCTGAAAATCTTTAAAAATTTATAGTGATAATATCTTATTTGACCCAAATGGGGTACTTGAATCTATTTTATAGTAGATGCACATAAATGGCATTTCTTTTATATGAACCTCATTCCTGATATGCTAGGTGACATGAAAAATATTGAAGGAATGTAACTTAGGTTTTTCTTAATCATTTTTAATATTGACTGATTAATATTTTATTTATAGCATACATGTCTTCCTGCCCGGAAAGCAGTTGAAGCAACTCAAGTTTGCAGAACCAATAAAGACTGTAAAAAAAGCTCAAGTTCAAGTTTCTGTATAATACCTTCTTTGGAAACTCACACTCGCTTAATAAAAGTAAAACACCCACCTCAGATTGATATGTTATACGTAGGACATCCTCTGCATCTTCACTACACAGGTGAGTATTTTTGTGGTAGACCCTTAGAAAATCATTAAGATCACATATAGTCTCAGTGGTAGAGACTCACTACAAATCCTTGAATTAATACATTTATTATAAATTTGATCATTTATCAAAGTCTTGTTAACTTGTTCTTAAGCATTAAGTGAAAATTATGCAGTAGGAAAATAATCTGAATTTATAAAGTAAGGTGGAGCTGAATCCATGCCTGCCTATGGAGAGTGACACATTTTTCCTTCCCTACCATTTATGCCCAGGTCAAATAGGTGATCTCTCAGATGTCCTCTGAGAGTTTATTAAATTTATACAAGCTCCCCAAAACAGGCAAGAGCAACATACCCTAGAGAATGCCAGGATGCATGGGGATGTAACTGTAATTTATGTGTGACACATGACTTTCATATGAATATACTTTCAAAACTGGGCCAGCATAATCATTTTAGCAGTGGCAGCATCATTGGACTAAGTTCTTTATGGCTAAAGATCATGTAGTCTAACTCATTTTGTTGTACAAGATTTTTAAAATAGTTTACCATGCGATTTACCCATTAAAGTTTACAGTTCAGTGGGGTTTTGTTTGTTTGTTTGTTTTTGTTTTGTTTTGAGACAGATTCTCACTCTGTCGCCCAGACTGGAATGCAGTGGCTCAATCTTGGCTCACTGCAACCTCCACACCTCGGGCTCAAGTGATCCTCCCACCTCAGCCTCCCAAGTAGCTGGGACTACAGACGTGTTCCACTGTGCTGGGCTAATTTTTTGGGTTTTGTAGAGACGGAGTCTCACTTTGTTACCCAGGCTGATCTCAAACTCCTGAGCTCAAGCAATTCTCCCTCCTCAGCCTCCAAAAGTGCTGGGATTACAGGCAAGAGGCACTGTGCCCGGCCCAGTGATTTTTAATATATTGAGTTGTGCAACCATTACCACAAGCTAGCTGCAGAATATTTTCATCACCCCAAAAAGAAACTCCATAACCATTAAGTAGTCACTCCCTGTATCTCCCCAACACCCCCAGCCCTTGGCAATCTCCAATCTACTTTCTGTTTCTATAAATTTGCCTGTTCTTGTCATTTCATATAAATGGAATATTTTATGACTAGCTTCTTTGATGTAGCTTAATGTTTTCAAGGTTTATCTGTGTTGTGGCATGAATTAGTACTTCATTCTTTTTAAGGCCAAATGATATTCCTTTGTATGGATAGACCACATTTTCTTTATTCATTCATAGTTAATGGATATGTGGGTTTTATGTTATTCTTTTTTTTTTTTTTTTTTTTTGAGACGGAGTTTCGCTCTTGTTGCCCAGCCTGGAGTGCAATGGCGCAATCTCGGCTCACTGCAGCCTCTGCCTCCCGGGTTCAAGCAATTCTCCTGCCTCAGCCTCCAGAGTAGCTGGGATTACAGGTGCCCACCACCACGCCCAGCTAATGTTTGGTATTTTTGGTAGAGACAGGGTTTCACCATATTGGTCAGGCTGGTCTCAAACTCCTGACTTCAGGTGATCTGCCCGCCTTGGTCTCCCAAAGTGCTGGGATTACAGCGTGAGGCACCGCACCCAGCCTATGTCACTCTTTAAAAGACTCTCTCATTGCTCCATAGTCATATCCTGAGATACAACCGAGGTCATTTTTCTTATCTATTAGTTTGACACTAAATTACTGTAGACTGTAACTATGAAATAAAACCTCAACAAATGAATAAATGTCCCTAGTGGGGGTAATTCAGGAATGTGTACTGTGAGTTCTGACTAATTACAGGATAGTTTTAAAATGTTTTGAACAAAAACAGGATTATGGAATCCACAGAGTAGATGAGACTTTAAATCCCCTCATCTTAATCCTTGGTTTAGCCATGAAGAAAAAAAAAAGACCTGAAAGAGGTTAAGTAGTATAATAGTAGGAGTAAATGTAATTTTAAGGTTATACCTCTTTGAAAGGGTAAGGACTCTTAATGTAAATTTCTTACTCTCGCCTCAAAATGTAAGTACACACTGGGACGTATTTTTTCATTCTGCTGTTTTTATTAGATGTTCTAGAAGTATTGATTGCTTTTATATATGAGGTATATGGCCTGCATATGTTTAGGAAGGGCTTTCTCAATCAGTTTAATCTGCTAGCCCAATTTTTAACCATATGGTAGAATTCATAATGCTGTTGATTCTCTGGTATGAATAATATTTATTATTCCTTATTTTTCTTTTTCAGTGAGCATCACCAGTTTTATCCCACGTTTTAACTTTCTAAGCATAGATCTGCCAGTGGTTGTGGAGACATTTGTCAAGTATCCTTTCTGGTGTGAAACATGTTTTAAAAGTGTGTTACTTGGATCTTGATCAATTTTACCTTGAATACAGCATTACAAATATAGACCTCACAAGTATCACTTAATTGCTAACAACTAAAAAAGAGTCTTGAAAGATGAAAAAGATCAGATTGTACCCAGGAGGGAAGAAGTCAGAGGAGAAAGATTAATCAGAGTGAGAAAGGTTTAGATGTAGAAGGGAAAGAACCCAGAATACAAATTGAGAATTGAATTTACAAGTCTAAAACATTTTAGTAAGTTTATAAAGGATGGAAGCTTCAGTTACTACTGAGGTAATGAATTCTGCCCCATCCGAGATTGTTAGTTCTGACCAAATAGAGAATGTAATCGCATAACCAGGAATTATGTAAATCCCAGGGAGGAATGCACAAGAAAGATCGAGCTGGTTTCAACTACTAAGATAGCAATTCAGAGGGCCAAATCTTATTGTGGTCTTTCGCATATTATGATTGCACATAAAAGATGAATTTTTTCATATTAATTATTATGCAGAATTGAATTACTGGAAAATTGTGGAAGAGTTCTTTATTTTTGTCGCTTTTAAATTTTTTAATGTCGTTCCTCAATTATTTAAATTAAAAAAAGAAATGGAAAACAAATGAGCAGTTATTTTTAAAAAATGTGTTTAATCAAGATTGTGGCCAGGCGCGGTGGCTCACACCTGTAATCCCAGCACTTTGGGAGGCCGAGGCAGGTGGATCACCTGAGATCAGGAGTTCAAGACCAGCCTGACCAATATGGCGAAACCCCATCTCTACTAAAAACACAAAAATTAGCCGGGTGTCTTGGCATGCACCTGTAGTCCCAGCTACTCAGGAGGTTGAGACAGGAGAATCGCTTGAACCCGGGAGGCAGAGGTTGCAGTGAGCCAAGATCGCTCCACTGCACTCCAGCCTGGGCGACAGAGCTAGACTCCATCTCAACAACAACAACAAAAAAGATTGTACTTTATAGACTCTGCAGCTTTGTCACAAAGAGACTTATGCTATAACCTTACAGAGGGTAGTAAAATAAAGTAGGCTTCAAGGACCAAAGTCTTTGTTTCCTAATATAAAGTAATACTTTGTAAGGCCCAAAGAGTAATTTTCCCCTTATTTCTTATTCCTTCCACATTCCTTTCCCTGTTGTATCATTAAAGGATTAGAAAGACTTAGTCTTCCTACGAGTTCATTATAGATTGGCTTAGTTTATAAGTGGTTGGCCTTTATTTTTCTAGTCAAGGTTTTTGAACTTTGAAATAATATAAACTCATTTTTTTTAAGTAGTAGAGATCTAAGAAGGAATGGCAGAGATTTAAAGAAAGTAGAGAAGTCAAGTGTAATCTCTAATTCAGTCACAGTAAAATATCTTCTGACTCATAGAAATATGGTTTCTACTCAGACCTCTCACAGTTGGTTCCTTAACTGATTTTAACCCAGGTACCTGATTTCCCTCTCAGGAGCTCTGGCTATTGTTAATGCAGTACCCTGCTTTGCTTTGGATGGACAATGGATTCTAAACTCTTTCTTGGATGCCACCCTTACCTCAGTGATTGGAGACAATGATGTCAAAGATCTAATAGGGTTTTTCATCTTGCTGGGTGGCAGTGTACTTTTGGCTGCCAATGTGACCCTGGGACTCTGGATGGTTACAGCACGGTAATGTTTGCACTCATCTGACAGAATCCCTGAGTTACAGTATACAGCTATGTGGTAATATTCATTGCCATTGAAATTCTTACTTGGTATGAAATATAAAGTGTTTCCTTAAAATTACATCTTAGCCAACAACCCTGAGCTCCTCCCATATCCAGAGTACCCAAACTCTGTGGTAGAAGATAAGCAGAAGAAATGAAAGGCATAGTCCCTGACTATATTCTAATTTAGGACTGAATGTACCCAGATGCTTGTGGAATAATATCTAAGCAAGTGCAAATTCATGTAATACCGTTTTGTCTGATTACATATTGTGTTGAAATAGTATAAAGGAGAACAGAACTGGGTGGAATTAATTGGGAAAAACTTCTTACAAAAGCATCATTAATCAAAATTTGAAGGAGACCAGACTTTGGCCAAGTGGAAGGATGACCATTGTCTTGGCCTGTATCTCTTGTCCTTTGTCTTGTTTGAAAAGTATTTTAAAACTTAATGGTGTATTATTTTGTGCTCTGAAAGCTGAGGTCTGATTACAATTAGTAAAATTCTATAGAAGAATCTGCTGACGTGAAAGGGAAAAATCTTTGTCAAATGATACCAAATAAATGAACAAAACAGGAAGTAGGGCCTATGATATCGTGAGACATGTTTTGCCCCACAAGAGTTGCATCTTTTATAAGGTGTCTCTGCCCCCTCATAAAGCAGCACTAGCTTTGACATCCACGGTGAGCTGCAGGAAGCATCACACACCAGCAGCATGTGAGCAGAGGGAGGCAGTTGGGGTTGAACTTCGGAACTAGGCCGGGTCTCCTGACAGATCACAAGACACCCCAGAGGATCTTCAGCAGTCCTACTTCCCATTCTCTATAGAGCTTTGAAGCTTGGAACCCTTCCAGGGTAAACATTTTCTCTTGTGCTGCTCAGGACATCTGGGGCCTAGCTCCTGGGTTCCTGTCTCCAAGAAGCAATGACCTTAAACTCTGAGCCATACTCTGTCCTCACCAGCGGCTCCCATGTTTTTCTGTGTCAGGTTATTAAGTACCTAGTCCTTGTTTTCTGTCTCTCTCCTAAGCTACCTCTCTGGGTCCACAGAAGACTTGGTAGTATAGTGAGAATGGCTATACGTGAGTACAAACGTGGATTTTCCAGGGCTTGGGAACTGATTCTTGAGCCCAGAAGAGCCACGCCTGCTTTGAGGTCTTTTGGAGTGGAGATGCAGCCCTGGGAAATTTGGGGAGTCAGCAGGCCAGTGTGAAGCTATTGGTCCTAGGAGTATATGAGCTTGCTGTTTCTTTGATGGAAAATACATGCTTCTCTTGTATACTCAGAAGTGACTAAGGGCAATAACTCATTAATAGCCATCTATCCAACTTCTTTACTGAGTGATGTATTCCATGGGGTTACCTTTTTCAGATTATTGAGTTGCTCTGTAAGCACTAAAACTTTTTAATCATTTTTAAGAAACTTTTTAGATTGTATTACAAATTTGCCTTAACAGTAATTAGATGTTGAATATAATTTTAACATTTTATTAATGACTTGGGTCATCAGTTAATACCAGTACTAAAACCATACGAATTATTGGTTTATTCCAGAAAATACAGTATTTGTTCTATTTTTAGGTAGACAATCATTTGGGATCAGAGTACATTAGCATAGTAATGCTCAGTCAGACCTGTTCAAGTAGTAGAGCTTGGAGAATGCCATGAAATACTTATATAATTAATTTGATTGCATGAACTAAGCAATTTTACTAATGAAAAGGTTGTATATGTGCAAGTCACTTTTTTAAAAACCAAGAAAAAACTTTAATAGAGGAAATCTTATTCATTAATTTATTTTTCTGAGTAAAAAAACGAAACCCAAATCTCATTTTATTTCAACTGTTAAACATTTTGATCTGTTGACCCATAGGATCAGGATTTGGGAACCACTTTACTAGGAAAGAGCAGATCAGTACCATTTGTATAAAACCGGCCTCATTATGTAAGAAAGAAAATGTTACGTGTTTTCTTCTTTAGCTTGGTTGTGGGCACTTCTACAGCAAGGACCATATCATATTCATCTTTGCATCCCTGGCACAGTGCATGAGACATAAGTACTTAATAAATGCAGTTGAATGGATAATGATTAGTGTTATTTATGGATTAGAAAAAGCATGTTTCTATTTAAGTAAGCTGTAAAAAGTATTATTGAATATTTACTGTAAATATATGTTCACATAAAAAAATAACTTGGAGGGTCTTTGTGTCCCTGGCATATTATCATCTTCATGGAAAGAATCCACTGTGGTTTCTGTAGAGTGATTGGAAAAATGGATTATTTTGAGGATTGAAGAAAGTGTTCTTTCTGCGTTGTCACTTTGTTCAACAGTAAAACTTTATTCTCAGTGTTCCTACTCTGCATTGTTTACATTTTTGACAGTTTTTTTTAATCACCTACAATCTGTAAAGAATGTATATATTCTTTTCAGCATCTCAGTTTGAAAAGACATGCAGTTAAACTTGACCTTTTGATAATCGCTCTTACAGGTCATTGTCTGTTCTAACAGCAAATTGTAAACATGTGCTTCATAGATATTGTGGCTCTCAGTCATCACTTTGTCCTATGGTATTTATTGAATGTTCACATACTAATGGTGCACAGGTGTTTTTTTCTATAAATCTTCTGACTGTCCTGTAATTCATTCTTAAGCTTTAACTTGAAGGTATCGTAATTGCCGGCATTTGATGTTTAGCAATAAAAGAATAAATGTGTACCAGCATTTTATGTTTATCATCGTCTATGTGTTGTCTTTTTTGAAACTCTTTTCTATCAAAATTGTTCCTATTACATAAAGCAAGATCTTAATCATTTTTAAATTCTTGATTCTAGAACCAGCCTTCAGTTTTCATTCGTATAATCTATACCTGAAAGTCGTTGCAGGCCTTGAAAATAAGTCTTTTAAATGAGGCTCCTGTGCACTCGCTACTGTCTTGGAAATGGCTGGTTTATGGATAAAGAAAGAGGACTATCATGTTTCCTTTCATTACTGTGTCTGACAGAAAAGTCTGCTGTCAGTTAGGAATTCTTGAAAGAGAATGTTTTAACTATGGCATTTGGTTCTTCTTGACCTTTTGCCCTAGTGCTTCCTCCCATACTCTCTCTCTCTCTTTCTCTCTCTGGTAGTAAGGGCCAGATAAAATAGGCTAGGAATGTAGCCCAGTTTTTGACTGGTTAGCTTCATTCCACTACTTCTTGCCTCTGATCCCATTACACTACAGTTAAGAGCCACAAGACTAGATGACTGATTAAGCCACTTTTTAACAGCTTTATTGAGATATAATTAAATACTATCAAATTCTCTCTTTATGTGTTAACTTTGAAGTATTTAATTCCATGTAAACTATTTTTCTCTTAATGTCGGATCAAACAGTATGCATATGCTTTCGTATAATCTAACTTTTTAAGTAAATGTGCATGTGATAAAAGACTGGGGGGGAATGTGTTTTAGTTATTTCACAACTTTTTTAACTCTGGAATGGTTTTCAGCAACGTAATAGAGTTGAATAACAGTTATTTTTAAGCATGTAAATATACTTTCTTTGAGACAATAAGCCTTTTTAATCAGTGCATTTGCAAGCTACTCTTGCTGTTGGGGTCATACTAATTTGAATAATCCATTGTATATTTTATCAGACCATGACATATGAATTCAATGAAAGGAAACGCCTCTGTTTCAGAACTCAGTGCTACAATAAGTTATACTTGGGGTGGAGGTAGGAAAAAAATGGCTAATTACGAAGCAGGTTATATTGTATAATTTAATTTTCCATTAAAGGGAGGAAAAAACACCCATATATGTTAGTTTTATTTAGCTAAAGATTGATGGATAGTCAATAATTGTCCCTTCTTATTAACTGAATGCTTCTCAAACTTTTCTACTGACATGCTCCTGACACTGTAGAGGAGGGAAAACCTAGAAGGATCTAAGAGTAGAACCCTGTAATTGGCTCTCCACAGTATAAAATTGAACTCTCACTTTATCTTAAATTTAGCATCCTATTAATCTAATCAAGCATTCTAAAGCTAATTCTCTTAAAGATATGGAACTCTAAAAGAATTAGACTCTAAGAATATTAAGAATTTCTTCATTTCTAAAACACATTCTGGTTTGTAGACTAGTGACAGTCTATGGTGGTATTTTTGTCCATCCAAAGTGAAATGAGAAAAATAAAGATCGTGTATATTGTCTTTAATTACAAAGTAAACATAATGTTTGTGTAATGTTATAAGGCTTCCTGCTGCCCTTTATCAAAGAGCCCCCCCTTTATTTGGAGTATGGAAACACATACTTGGTTTCCCTTAGCACTGCTAGATTGCCCTCCAAAAATGTCTTTTTGTAACTGACCCTCTTACTGGCAAGGCATGAGGGTTCCATGTTTGCCCACACCCTTGCCTCCATCTGGATTATCTGACTTCCATGTTCTGACAAATCTGTTGGGTTTAAAATGACATTTCAAAAAAAAATAACATTTCATTTTAATTTGCATTTCTTAGATTATTAATAGAGTTGCACATTCATATACTTGTTTAGCCCTTTGGATTTTTCATTCTGCCACTTGCTTATTGATATCCTTTGCCCAGTTTTCTATTGTGTGTGCTAACTTTTTCTGTTTGATCCATAGAAATTTCTTGTATATTCTAGATTGGAGGTCAACAAATTATGGCCTGCAGGCCAAATCTTGCTCACTGCCAATTTTTGTACATAAACTTTTATTGTGTTTTATTGGAACACATTCATTCATGTATTTGATGGCTGCTTTTGTGCTACAATGGCTGAGTTGAGCAGGTGCAACGGAGATCATATAACCAAAAGCCTAAAATATTTGCTATGTTTTACAAATATTCAGAACAACCCATGTTCCAGATATCAGTCTACTTCCAGAACAACCCAAGTCCTAGATATCAATCTCTTGTCCATTGTAGATGCTGCAAATAACTTTTCCCAGTTTGTCACTCGTCAGTAAATTTTATTTATGAGGTTGTTTGTTGAACAATGATCTTTAGTTTAATATAGTAAGATCCCTTAATTTCTTGAGTTATTGTTTGTGTTTTGTGGGTCTTATTGAAAAAGTCCTGTCCTGTCCCAGAGTCACAACAGTATTCGCTTACATTTTCTTCTATTTGCTTTAAAGTTGTACTTTCATGATGAGATCTTTAATTTCTGGAATATATGATATGAGGTAGGGAATCGAGGTTTATTTTTCTATATAGACTTAACTATCCTTAAAATAAACATCATAGTATTTTCTTTTGAAGACTATTATATACAACAGCTTACATAAAGTAGTTAATATGGTGCCTGGGATGCTCAAGTCATTACTGGTATTATGAACTTAAAGTACTTATTTTCAGAATGCAGGATTAGGACTTAATTTGCCCTGAGATCTCAGTGTGTACTGGTGTTAGATGTTGCCTCCTTTTGATATGCCTTCTAGGCTTCCAGTGCCTTCAAGCTGGTTCTGATTGTCCAGAGTATCTTGCAGGCCTTGGCTCTTTTAAGCATTTCTTCCCCCAATCAAAATGGACCAACAATCGCAGTATTTAAGCAAATGGCTAAGGATTTTGCTTCCTGTAACTAGTGAAAATAACCTGTGTTCATGAGTGTATTTGCTGATAGTAACATAGGCCAGCATTTACATCTGGTCTTATGAAAACAGCATATTAACTCAGAAGGAAGCACTATGAGAAACCAATATAGGAGAGAATTCAGGATAGGATGGCCTTTGAAGCCACCAAATCAGACAATAAAAAACTTTCTACTCTGCGCATGGTCTGGGATCTTATATTTCAAAATAATCTGTTTTTTACATGTTCATTTTAATTTGCATTTTGTTGTTGTTAGAAAAGAGGCTAAAGTTTTTAATTTTTTTCGAGACAGGGTCTTGCTCTGTCACCCAGGCTGGAGTGCAGTTGGCACGATCACAGCTCACTACAGCCTTGACCTCCTGGGCTCAAGCAATCCTCCCACCTCAGCCTCCTGAGTAGCTGGGACCACATGCACGCACCACCATGCCCAGCTAATTTATATTTTTATATATATATTTATATATATATATATATATATAATGTTATATATATATGTATATACGTACATATATATACACACATATATATGTGTATATATATATATATATTTTTTTTTTTTTTTTTTTTTTGGCAGAGGCCTTGCTGTGTTGCTCAGGCTGGTCTCAAACTCCTGAGATCAAGTGATCCTCCCTCCTGCCTTGGCCTTGCAAGGTCCCAAAGTGCTGGGATTATAGGCGCACTCAGCTTAAACTTCTTTGTTAAAATGTGTGTGCTTTAGTAGATTCCTTATCCATATCCTTTGCCCGTTATTTCCCTTCAGTGGTTGTCACCTTCTTATTCCTTTTCATTGTTCAGGAATCACATTTTTACAAAGGATTTACAAACATATTTGACCATACCTTACAGTTCCTTGGCTTTCATACTTTATTCCTAGCAGTCTTTTCTTACCTTTGAACCTCTTTGTTTCCATCTTTTAATGGCTTCTACTTTTTTCCTAGCCTTTATGTATTACCAGAAATCTATAATGGGAGGTAGCACTGTGCAATTTATAACATATTCCCTTCTCCAGTTTAGGGTACCCCTTTTCTGTCGAGGAAATACCTAGGGAAAAGAAGTTAGAACAGAAGGAGATAGGCCTTTATAGAAAAATAATTTCTTATCAGAAAATAAATACACTTTTTTTTTGTTTTTGTTTTTGTTTTTGAGACGGAGTCTCGCTCTTTCGCCCAGGCCGAAGTGCAGTGGCGCGATCACGGCTAACTGCAAGCTCCGCCTCTCCGGTTCACGCCATTCTCCTGCCTCAGCCTCCCGAGTAGCTGGGACTACAGGCGCCCGCCACCGCGCCCGGCTAATTTTTTTTTTTGTATTTTTAGTAGAGATGGGGTTTTACCGTGTTAGCCAGGATGGTCTTGATCTCCTGACCTCGTGATCTGCCCGCCTCGGCCTCCCAAAGTGCTGGGATTACAGGCGTGAGCCACCGCGCCCGGCCAGAAATACACTTTAATCACAGAGAACAGGTTAATGAAAATAAATTGTGATTTATTGAAAACAAACAGGGTTGTATTATGCATAAACTGGTAAGCCAGTGTTTAAACTTGACAATATATTACAAACACTTTTATGTTATTAATATTCTAATGTTATTTCAGTGGCCATATAATATTGCAGTGTTAAATATGCCGTAATTTAATCAACCCCTATTATTTCTAATTTTGCATCATTATAAATAAAACTGTTAGGAATATCCTTACAACTAAATCTTTTTGCATTCTATGACTCTTTAGACAATTCTAGAAACTCTTAGGAAAATCCTAAAGATGACTTTCTTAAAGCATGAACAGTTATATATATAGTATACATTTAATTTTTTTTCTGTTAGTTGGGTATCCGAAGATGGCATCTTGTTTTAATTTGTACTTTTTGATTTTTAAAAAAAGTTGAATATTTTAAAATGTGTTTATTGGCCATTCTCTTCTTTTTTTTAATCCACAACCTTTGCCCATTTTTCATGTGAGGGATTATCTTTTTACTGCTTTTCCTCGTAAGCTCAGCTATAGCATTCAATTTGTTACATGTAAATATATTAAAACTTCATTTAAGTATAATGCTTATTTTTGTTTTCAATATATTATTGTTTGTCAATCTTTGTTTTGTTTACTGCCTTTGGTGATATGTTTTGGAAGTTTCCCCCACTCCGAGATTTTATAAATATTCACATTTTCTTGTAATAATTTTGTGATCTAATTTTTTAAAATATTTAACTCTTTAACCCACATGGGATATATTTTCATGTTGGTGCAAAGTAGGGATATAATCTTATGTTTTGTTTTCCTCAAATGATTGGCCAGCCATCCAAAAGAGACGGCTAGTCTTCATATGAGAGGCAACTATTTATTAATTTACTTTTACAATTCAGTAATACAATGAAATGAGTATATACCTCATGTGTTTCATTAGAATAGAGTGCTTAAATCTTTTTTTTTCCTTTAGGTGGCTTTTTTTTTAATGGAAATAGTGTTTCTCATTCCTAAACAATATAGACTAGCAATCTGGAGATTACCCTTAACATATATCATTATCTAAAGGTACGGTTTTCACCACCTTCTTAATTAAAATATTTTTTGCTTCATAGATTTTCAAGCTTTAACTCTTCTATCTATCTCTGAATCATTTACTATTCATTTTTAAAGGTTAAAAAGGCAATCTGTCTTTAGAACAGATATCCTGATTTTAAAGTAAGTATTTTATCTTCATCTGTTTTCGTTATATAACGATTAAGCATGGAACATTGCATTTCTTGATTACTTGTTCAAATACATGCATTAATTTTTATTGTCATAATTTAAATCATGAAAATTAGGGGTAATGCAGATACTATGAATTTGTATTTTATTATAAGATTTAAACTGTTTTTTCTATTTATAATAAATGATGAGTTTAAAAGAAGTTGGTTAGCTGTGCTTTTTTCCTATTTGAAATGTTTTTCTTCTGAGCTCACTGTAGTTGGTTTTTAAGCTTGTCAAACTTTAGAATATGAGTCTTACACATATGATACACTAAGAGATGGCTATTGGTTTTAAAAAGTTCCGTTTTTCATATTCATGCCTATTCTTTAATCACTGGAACCAATACATAAAGTCTTTCATTCATTTAACAAATGTTTATTACACAATTATTATGTGCCAGGCACTGTTCTAGGCTCTGGGGATACAGCAGTAAATAATATAATTTTTCTCTTTTGTATTTTGTAAGAAAAAATCCCATTTGTTTTTATACGTTAAGGAGAGTCTGCACTTTAGCCTCATCACAAATAGGAAGCCATTGAAAATTTCAAGCAAGATTTGCCTTTTGGATGGATCATCTCAGCTAAAGGTAAAGCATGAATGGGAGAATAGCAAGTCTGGTAGCAAAGAAATTAGTTAGAAGACTATTTCACAGCTCGGCGTGGTGGCTCGTGCCTGTAATCCCAGCACTTTGGGAGGCTGAGGTGGGTGGATCACATGAGGTCAGGAGTTCGAGAGTAGCCTAGCCAACATGGTGAAACCCTGTCTCTACTAAAAATATGAAAATTAGCTGGGTGTGGTAGCAGGCACCTATAATCCCAGCTACTCGGGAGGCTGAGGCAGGAGAATCGCTTGAACCTGGGAGGTGGAGGTTGCAGTGAGCCGAGATCATGCCATTTCACTCCAGCCTGGGTGACAAGAGCGAAACGCCGTCTCAAAAAAAAAAAAAAAAAAAGACTATTTCAGTAATCTTCAACAAGAGATGACAGTGATGGCGAATACAGTGGTGGCAGTAGAGATCAGAAGGAAGAAGAGAACAAACCAAAAGTAGACTCCACTGTATTTGATGGTTAGGCGTGTATTAGGTTCAAGGAGTCAAGAAGGCAATGAAATGATGGAAATGCCATTGACAGAGCTAGGGAATACCAGAAAAGGAGCAGTTCAATTTGGAACTCCTTTTTTTTTTTTTTTTTTTTTTTTTTGAGATGGAGTCTCATTCTGTCGCCCAGGCTGGAGTGCAGTGGCTCGATCTTGGCTCACTGCAATCTCCACCTCCCGAGTTCAAGTGATTCTCCTGCCTCAGCCTCCCAAGTAGCTGGGATTACAGGCGTGCACCACCACGCCCAGCTAATTTTTGTATTTTTAGTAGAGATAAGGTTTCACCATGTTGGCCAGGCTGGTCTTGAACTCCTGACCTCAGGTGATCTGCCCGCCTCGGTCTCCCAAAGTGCTGGAATTACAGGTGTGAGCCACTAGGCCAGCCTCAATTTGGAACTCTCGAGTTTGAATACCTGAGAGACTTCCAAGTGGAGATGGCGAGTAGGTAGTTGTATGTACAGATCTGGAACTTAGGAGAAATTAGTTGGAGATGCCATCTGTGAGTTGATGCACCCCAAATACATAATTGAACCCATGGAAGTGCATATTGTCCAGCAAAAACAGGGAAAAATGAAAAGGGAAGGTGTCCTAGGATAAAGATCTCAGGAATAACGGCATTTAAGTTAAAAAAAAAAGTACAGGAATAGGAAACAAAGGAGCTTCAGAAAATTAGAAGGAAAACTGTAAGAGTTTGGTATTAGAGAAAGGGAAGAGAATGTGTCAAGAAGAGGGGGATGTCCATAATATGAGATGTTGCTGAAAGAGAAATGATGTCGGATGAGGACTGAAAAATATCCATGGGTTCTAGTAGAACAGCAGTCCCCAACCCTTTTGGCACCAGGGACTGGTTTCGTGGGAGACAATTTTTCCATGGACCAGAGGTGGGGGATGGTTTCAGGATGATTGAAGCACATTACATTTATTGTGCACTTTATTTCTATTATTATGGCATTGTAATATATAATGAAATAATTAGACACCTCACCATAATGTAGAATCAGTGGGAGTCCTGAGCTTGTTTTCCTGCAACTAGATGGTCCCCCGTCTAGGGGTGATGGGAGACAGTGACAGATCATCAGGCATTAGATGCTCATAAGGAGCATACAACCTAGGCCCCTTGCATGCACAGTTCACAATAGTGTTCTCACTCCTATGAGAATCTAATGCTGCCACTGACCTGATAGCGGGCAGATTTCAGGTGGTAATGCAAGCAGTGAGAAGCAGCTGTAAACACAGATGAAGCTTCTCTGGCTCACCCGTCGCTCACCTCCCGCTGTGCAGCCCAGTTTGTAACAGGCCATGGACCCGTACCAGTCCGTGGCCTGGGGGTTGGAGACCCCTGTAGTAGAAGAGTTCATAGATGATCTTGAGAGAGAAACTCTAGTGTGGCAGGAGAAGTTGAGCCAGGTTGGAGTGGATGCTGGATGGTGGAGTGGGTGGGGTGTGTGCGGGTAGAGACTGCAAATACAGAAAATGCCATCGAGAAGTTCCATTTGGAAGGGGAGGAGAGAAAAACTGTGGGACCTAGTGAAGGATGTAGGAGAAAGTTGTTATCATTGTTTTAGCAATAGGAGAATTGTGTGCATGTTTTTGGTGCTAATGGAAAGGACCCGAGATAAAATAATTGAGGGAAGAGATGGGAGCCAGGGCACGATAGAGCCTTCATTAAGAGGGATGCCCTTTCTAAGAGGAGGAAAAATGGATGCAAGCATAGTTGTCATGGTTTTGATAGAGAACCTCATGTGGCTGTCCATCAAACATCACTTGAGTCATAGGTGTCTAGAACACTATTTTGCACCTTAGAAATATTTGAATAGACACCTTAGAAATCTTTGCTGAGTAAGACAGATTCCTCGCATAGCTGCAAGAAGCTTAGCCAAACCCATTTCTAAATTAAAACTACCAGCAAAGAGGTACTTGAGTAATAGGCACAGGGTGCTCAGCTCTGGGCTAATAGCATTGAATGTCCTGATTTTTAGAATGTTCTGTGCTTAACTTCTCAGGCAACACAGGCTGAAGTATAAGAGTTGAAGGGATTTAGAATAAGTCATTGTTTCATTAAAAATTATTTTTGGCTGAAGGAGAAATAAGATTTGGATGGGGACACAGCTAAATCATATCATATACCATCTTAATTGGGGATGGTATTTTTTTTTTTTCTTGAGACAGAGTCTCGCTCTATGGCCCAGGCTGGAGTGCAATGGCATGATCTCGGCTCACTGCAACCTCCACCTCCCGGTTTCAAGTGATTCTCCTGCCTCAGCCTCCCGAGTAGCTGGGATTACAGGTGCACTCCACCATGCCCAGCTAATTTCTGTATTTTTACTAGAGCTGGGGTTTCACCATGTTAGCCAGGCTGGTCTTGAACTCCTGGCCTCAAGCGATCTACCCGCCTTGGCCTCCCAAAGTTCTAGGATTACGGTGTGAACTACTGCGCCCAGCCAAGTTCCTGAAATCTCTTATCTGTCTAAAAGCAGAATCTACCAAAAAACAAAACAAAACAAAACCCTCGATTGCCATAAATCCCCTCCCTGAGAGCAACATAGATGGAGATGACAAGTTGGCACCACACCCAAACAGACATTGTCACCAAACTCATATCTCCCATCTATTCTCCTAAGGGTTCATTTATCTTTCAAAAAAAATCTTTATTTTTCCATAAATGCCCTTCCCTAATCCCCTTCTAAGAAGTTATTAGTTCTCCCAGAAGTGTCCTCTGACCCTCCCCATCCCCAATTAAGATGGTATGTGATATGGTTTAGCTGTGTCCCCACCGAAATCTCATCTTGAATTGTAGCTCCCATAATTCCCATGTGTCATGGGAGGGACTCAGTGGGAGGTAATTGAATCATGGGGGCGGGTCTTTCTCATGCTATTCTCGTGATAGTGAATAAGTCTCATGAGATCTGATGGTTTTATAAAGGGATCTTCTCCTGTACATGCTGTCTTGCCTGCCACCATGTAAGACATGCCTTTGCTCTTCCTTCACATTCTGCCATGATTGTGAGGCCTTCCCCAGCCATATGGAACTGTGAGTCCATTAAACCTCTTTCCTTTATAAATTACCCAGTCTGTCCATTAAACCTCTTTCCTTTATAAATTATCCAGTCTCAGGTGTGTTTTTATTAGCAGCATGAAAATGGACTAATACAGTGTATAAGCCCCAAATTCTAACCACCTCCTTGAGTCACATTTCCTTGTGAATTTCCATGCCAACCAACATAATTAAATGTTGCTGTCTCTTGTGAATCTGTCTTTTATCAGTTTAATTTACAGGGCTCCAAGAAAAGAACCAAAGAGGGCAGAGGAACAGTTTTTCCTCTCTGACAGAATAAAAGGGCATGATGTTTGAAGCTTACTTCCAAATGGTTCTGAGAGAATGAGCTAATAGAGCAAATGTAGCAAAACATTAACAATTGTTGAATCTGGGTGAAGGATTTGAGGGAGTTTTTGGTACTGTTCTTGAAACTTTTTTTTGAAATTATTTCAAAATAAAATTATTTTTAAAAGAAGAATAAGCTTCTGCATTTATTCATCACCTCTGCTTTTTTTTTTTACTCTATTTCCACTTTCAACACTTTTTTACTCACAACTTCCTATGAGTGGAAAGGATGAGGAATTTGAAAGACAGGGCTGCCTTTTGGGTTTGTGCAAAATCTCTGTGTCTTAATTTGTCTATCTGTAAAATGAGGATAATATCTTCAAACGTTTGCTACATGAACTGAGATGAGGATACAGTAGGCCCTCAATAAATGTTATTGCCTACCCTTCTAAGACCAGTTCAAGTCCTATTTCCTTTATTAAGTCTTCCCTCATCACATCCATGATAAAAATTTATTTTATATCGTACCATACATTTAGCTAAATGGCTTTCTCATACATTACCTCATTGAATTATCCCAATAACCTTACAAGTTAGGTTATCATTTTCTCTACATCATAGATAAGGACATTTAATGAAGTTAAAAGATTTGGCTAAAATCACACAGTCGGTCAATAGAAATAACAGAATGAAAACTCAGGTTCTTTTAGCCCCAAGTTGTATCCTCTATGTTATACCACAATTTGATATTTCTCCTACTCAAGTGTTTTAAGTGTGGTAAGAATATACATAACATAAAATTTACTATGTTAACAATTTTAAAATGCACTGTTTAGTGGCATTAAGTACTTTCACGTTGTTATGCAACCACTATCCATC
The DNA here is from genome assembly GCF_000001405.40 of Homo sapiens. Classification (NCBI taxonomy): domain Eukaryota; kingdom Metazoa; phylum Chordata; class Mammalia; order Primates; family Hominidae; genus Homo; species Homo sapiens. The sequence continues at coordinate 21,896,302 of NC_000023.11, forward strand.
ACTAGAACTTTTTCATCTTGCAAAAACTGAAATTCTGTACCATTTCAACACCAACTCCCCACTCCTCCCTTCCCCCCAGCCCCTGGTAACCACCATTCTACTTTCTGTCTCTATGAATTTGACTGCTGTAGATATAAGTGGAATCAGGCCTGGTGTGGTGGCTCACACCTGTAATTGCAGCACTCTGGGAGGCCAAGGCGGGAGGGTTGCTTGAGCTCAGGAGTTTGAGACCAGGCTGGGCAACATAGTGAGACCTGTTGTCTACAAAAAAATTAAAAAATTAGCTGGAAGTGGTGGTGCATACCTGTAGTCCCAGCTACTTGGGAGGCTAAGGCAGGAGCATCGTTTGAGCCCAGGAGGTCAAGGCTGCAGTGAGCTGTGATGGCGCCACTGCACTCCAGTCTGGGCAACAGAGCAAGACCCTGCCTCAAAATAAAATAAAATAGGCCAGGCGTGGTGGCTCACACCTGTAATCCCAGCATTTTGGGAGGCCGAGGTGGGTGGATCACCTGAGGTCAGATGTTTGACCAACATGCTGAAACCCCATCTCTATTAGAAATACAAAAAAAAAATTATCCGGGTGTGGTGGCGGGAGTCTGTAGTCTCAGCTATTCGGGAGGATGAGGCAAGAGAATCGCTTGAACCTAGGAAGTGCAGGTTGAAGTGAGCCAAAATCAGGCTACAGCACTCCAGCCTGGGCAACAAGAGCAAAACTCCATCTCAAAAAATAAATAAATAAAATAAAATAAAAATTTAAAACTAAAAAATAATTATACAAAAAGGGAATCATACAGTATTTGTCCTTTTGTGATTGGCTGATTCCACTTAGCACGATGTCCTCAAGGTTCATTTATGCTGTAGCATGTGTCTTAAGTTTTATAAACACTTGTGCTCATGGCACTCATGTACAACTTCGTGTGTCCTTATTTTCTTTCCTGGTTTATAAACTCCTTGGGGGCTGAAATCCCATGCTTTCTCTTGGTATTGCCACGCTCATAGTGCCTCGTTCATAACAGTGCCCAATGAACTCTCTTGAATGGGTAGATACAGGCCACTCTAAAGTAGAAAACGATCCCTCTCCTATACTTGATGAAACTTGTATACAGTTTCATCACTGCTGTCAGCTATTGGAGACAAGGAGCTGGACAAGCATAATTGTTCTCCCTACTATTGAAACGGGAGCCAGACGAATTAAGAAGATTCCCCAGGTTGGAAGTATGACAGGCAGGTGAACTTTAGTCAAGTAGAATTAGCTCTCTGCCCAGTGTAAAAACGTATATGCAGTATTCTTCAAAGAGGAAAAAATCTCATCTTTTAGTCATATGAAGTGAGAGAGAGTTTGGTCGTGGCTTTTTTTTTTTTTTTTTTTTCCCTGAGAAAAAGAAATGAGATCTGTCAAGACTGAACTTTGCAGGAGAGAAATCATCAATCTTTGGTGTCATCTGAGTGCATTGGAAATGCATTTGCCTTGTCTTGCGGTTTGATTGTTGTCTAATCCCTGTAAACATTAAAGGATAAAAACAGGAGAAATGGAACAAGAAATATGTGGGATCCAGGTTTTAGCTGTGCTGCCCGCTGGTGACTTTCGAGGTGAAGCTTTCAGGTCCCTTCTCCCTAGCACACCCATGCCTCCACCTCTATGAAGCAATAGAGCTTCAAGGGCAAATCTGGCCTCAGAGCCCAGAGGGGAATATGGCCACATCAGGGACCACCCCAGGAGACTCAAAGGCCTGCATCTCTTTGTCTTGCAGGAGTTGCTGCTGGACCACATGACACCAGTCCCATTCTTGAAGCAGAATGTTCAAAGAGTGTGTACAAAATGCAGAAGCCACCCATTTCCAAGAAAAACGGCTATGCTTCAACCAGCCTAAGTCTACTGCAAGCAAGGGCACCCATAAGAGATGGACCTTGAGGGATTCAACCTAACTAACTGTGAGTAAGGACGTCTAGCACATTTTGGAGAGTACTGGTATGAGACAGATTCCAAATAAAATAACCGGAGGCAGGCTGGGTGCAGTGGCTCATGCCTATAATCCCAGCTCTTAGGGAGGCAGAGGCAGGAGGATAGCTTGAGCCCAGGAGTTCGAGACTTGCCTGGGCAATGTAGCAAGACCCCATTCTCTACAAAAAGGAAAAAAACAAACAAACAACAACAACAAAAAAAAAAAAACAAGAAATAACTCTAGGCAGCCTGTAACATACTAAATTATTTCCCATTAGCACATTAGCACATAAACACCATTAGCACATCTTTTTGAATATGTAAGGTCTGTGGAGATAAGACTACACACAGGATCTCAAAGAATCTCCCTTACTAAGGGGGAAATCAAGTTGGCTTTTATCCTAGCAACTTACTTAAGCCTTAACATACTTACAATTGTTTTACATAGTATATAATATTTCCCATACTTGATTGTGTTTCTTAAGTTTCATTTTTAATTTTCAAATCAAAACAGGAAATATGGGCTGGGCACAGTGTCCCACACTCTCAGCACTTTGGGAGGATAGCTTGAGGCCAAGAGATCAAGACCAGTCTGGGCAACATAGCAAGACTCTGCCTCTACAAAATTTTTTTAATTAGCCAAGCATGGTGGCATGCATCTGTAGTCCCAGCTACTCGGGAGGCTGAGGCAGGATTGCCTGAGCCCTGGAGTTCGATACTGCAGTGAGCTAGGATCATACCAACATGCTCCAGCCTGAGTGAGAGAGGAGGACCCCGTCTCAAAAAACTGTCAAAAAAAAAAAAAAAAACAGAAAATATAGAGAAGAGGTAGCTATTTAGAATGCTTGTAGAACTTTTGTAACATTACTGTTTTTTAGACTGAGGAACATTCTCCAAAAATATGATTTTGCACACACTTTTGATTGCCTAACCAAAAGTCATTTCTCTCTCTCTTTCCCTTCTGGCAGGGCCTGCTTCCCATAAGAAGGGCTAAAAATGCCAGACACTCTCTTTCAGCCTCTTTTGCAGGTAGGGCTGGCCACATGACCCATCTGGTCAAATTAACCTTTCAGCCACACCCTCCCAAAAGGCTTTTAGAAAGATTTTTCATGGTAATGAAAACAACAGATATTCAAGGAGAGCTTTTTTTCCCCACCTCTTCCTTCCTGACATTTCATAGGCATTTCATTTCATGGGAGCTATGGAAGCTATATTGCAGCCATTAAGCAGTAGACAAAGCGAACGTGCTGAGGATGGCAACAAACAGGGATGGAAAGAACCTGGATCACTGATGATGACACTGTTTAGCTTGGGACCATCACCTTCTGTATTAGTCAGGGTTCTCTAGAGGGAGAGAACTAATAAGATTTATATATATATACATAAAGGGGAGTTAATTAAGTATTAACTCACACAATCAAGAGGTCCCACAACAGGCGGTCTGCAATCTGAGGAGAAAGGAGAGCCAGTCCGAGTCCCAAAACTGAAGAACTGGGAGTCCGATGTTTGAGGGCAGGAAGCATCCAACACGGGAGAAGGATGTAGGCTGGGAGGCTAGGCAAGTCTAGTCTTTTCACATTTTTCTGCCTGCTTTATATTCTACCCATGCTGGCAGCTGATTAGATGGTGCCCACCCAGATTAAGGGTGGGTCTGCCTTTCCCAGTCCACTGACTCAAATGTTAATCTCCTTTGGCAACACCCTCACAGACACACTCAGGATCAATGCTTTGCATCCTTCAATCCAATCAAGTTGACACTCAGTATTAACCATCACACGTTCTAAACACCTTATTATGTAAAATGATACAATCCTGTTGGATATGCCACCTTTTTTTGAAACAGGGTCTCACCCTGTTGCCCAGGCTACAGTGCAATGGCATGATCACGGCTCACTGCAGCTTCAAACTCCTGGGCTCAAAGTGATCCTCCCATGTCAGCCTCCTGAGTAGCTGGAACCACAGGCATGTGCCACCATGCCTAGCTAATTTTTTTTTTAGAGAGAGACAGGCTCTTGCTATGTTGCCCAGGCTGGTCTCGAACTCCTGGGCTCAAGTGATCCTCCTGCCTCAGCATCCCAAACTCCTGGGATTTTAGGCATGTGGAGCCATTGTGCGTGGCTGGATATTGTTTTTACCACTTTTAGCTGGATATTGTTATTCACAGCTGAAAGCACCTTAACATATTCAATGCGATTTTAAATACAGTCCAAGTGGAACCTATTTTACACCAAATATTGACTAACTTTCTGTCAGACATTGGAAGGCCATGTTCCTAAACATAAGCATATGAGAAAATCCTTGTAATGATGAGATAAAGGGAGTTTGCCAGTTTAAACACCCGCGGGTTGCCCTGGCAAATGTCAGGTGTCACAGGGTCGGAAAGATTAGTTCATAATGTACTAGGAAAAACATCCTGCAATGTATATGAAAATATATATTGTAAAAAATCTTTTTGGCTAAATGTATTGGCACGATTATTAGAATACAATCTAGAAACATTTACTTTAAATTTTAAGAGCAAAGACAAGACTTCTAATCTTAATTAGTCAAAGTTTTTCTTAAGGATTTCAATTCAAATGTGTCCTTTATTCTGATTGTGATGGGACTTTTGATTTCTCCTATTTGAAATGCCATGTGAATGTCTTAGAAAACCCAGACATCTGACCTTATATTTTACTTGATAAATTGAAAAAGCCACTTGCTGATAAAATTTTGTTATTCACAGGTATTACATGAGTGAATTCATTTTTCTACTTGCTAGTTTTCTAGACAACTATCTTCATTAAAATTTTAGATTACTGTAATTTACATGGAGTTCACACATTCAATTTACAGATTTAGAATACTTAATCAATTGATGTCCATTTTATTTTTTCATTTAGTTGCTGAGATAAGACATCCATTTTTCTCAAAATGTATCAGATCAAGCTAAAAAAAAAGAAATGAAATTAATATGAAAATATCTATTAAAGGACATCAGTGTCCAAGCTCACCATCCTTTCTAACTATCTTTCATCTGAACATAGTCAGGGCTTATACAATAGAATTAAATATACCATCCCAGAGGACACCTGGCAGTGTCCAGAGACATTTTTGGTTGTCACAACATGGAGGCGCAGTGCCACTGGCATCCTTGGTAGAGGACAAGGATGCTGCTACACATCCCACAGTGCACAGGACAACCCCCACAGCAAAGAATGCTCCAGCCCAAAATGTCAATAGTGCCAGGGTTAAGAAACCCTGTTCTACACCAAGCACCTTGATGTCTAAAATACAACACAAACTGGTTCTTTGTTCATTAGAATTCCTACAGAGGAAAGAATAGATTACTATCATTTTACAGTCATCTCAACAATTGAAGTCAGGAGAAGCCTTGATTCTTATAAACTGCAAAACATTAGTTTGAAGTCTAGTTTGTAGGTATCATTTGTTTTCTATGAGGAATTCCTTCTTTTGATGTTATATTTTCTTTCATTCAAAGACAGGACTTACATGAGCCTTCCTTTCTGCTGTTCCTTTTCTTAAAAAAAAATGTCTTATGGCTGGGTGCAGTGGCTCATGCCCGTAATCTCAGCACTTTGGGAGGCCAAGGCAGGCGGATCACCTGAGGTCAGGAGTTTGAGACCAGCCTGCCCAACATGGTGAAACCCTGTCTCTACGAAAAATACAAAAATTAGCTGGACACGGTGGCAGGCGCCTGTTATTCCAGCTACTCGGGAGGCTAAGGCAAGAGAATCGCTTGAACCCAGGAGGCAGAGGTTGCAGTGAACCGAGATCGCGCCATTGCACTCCAGCCTGGGTGACAAGAGTGAAACTCCGTCTCAAAAAAAAAAAAATTGTTTTATATCTAGTGTGTCTTGAAGTGAACCTGAACTTCACTAACATTGCCAAGAGTCTACCCCAAGACGTGGACCATAGATGTGAGTTCAGTATAAATTATATGGCTATAGGAAAGTCACTTAGAGAAACTTTCACTGTGCCTCAGTATCTCCCTGAGATGCCTGCCTTGCTTGTAGAGATAATGTGAAAACATTTCACTTGGAAATAAAGTCACCATCCAAATCTAAGATCTGATATAAAAGAGATGATAAAGAACACTAAGTTCACATTACTCTTCCTGGTATTTTAAATGTCTTTTCTATCTTTGAAAAGCTGACCTGGAACACAGAGAAGGGAATTTTTTTTTTCCTTTTAAAGATTCCTATGGAGGATTGTTCTGGAATCCATCAGAATGTTCTAATACCTAGCCTCTAATTTGTCATAATAAGGCATGACACATTACAATGTAGATTGATAAAACTGGTTTGGAAAGCAATTTATCCACACTCATCAACCTCAAAAATGTTCATGCCCAATGCCTGTAGTCCCAGCAACTTGGAAGCCTGAGGCAGGAGGATCGCTTGAGCCCAGGAGGTTGAGGCTGCAGTGAGCCATGATTGTGCCACTGCACTCCAGCCTGGGTGACAGAGCAAGATCCCATCTCTTAAAAAAAAGAAAAAAGTTAAAAAGAGTCCACGCCCTTTTAGGCAGTAATTCTTTTTTTGGAAATTTATTCTAAAGTTCTAAAGTAATAATCCTAAATATATACTAGGCTTTCTACAAAGAGATGTTCCTAAACCTGTGATTTACCACAGTGAATAACTGTAAACTACCTAACTGTCCAACAACCAAAATAGTGGAATGGATACATTAAATTCACTAACTTAACTCAGCTTTATGTCTACATGAACATAGTAAAAATTATTTTTATAGAATATGTGTGATAACATGGGGAAATATTTTTATTAAAAAATAAAACAATATGAAACTATACTCACTACATGATTATAATAGCATAAGAAATCAAGCAAAATCCTATAAATTGGTGTAATCAAAGCTGTGTACCCAGAAATTCCACTTCTAAGATCCTTAATCCTAGGGAAATGATTAGCTACAGGGATTTTTTTTTTTTCTGAGACAGGGTCTCGCTCTGTCACCCAGGCTAGAGTGCAGTGGCACGATCACAGCTCACTGCAGCCTCGACCTCCCAGTCTCAAGCAATCCTCCTGCCTCAGCCTCCCAAGTAGCTGGGACCACAGGCAGGCACCATCACGCCCGGCTAATTTTTTGTATTTTTAATAGAAAGGGGGTCTCCATATGTTGCCCAGGCTGGCCTTGAACCCCTCTGTTCAAGTGATCCTCCTGTCTTGGTCTGCTGAGTAGCTGGGACCATAGGCACGTTCCACCATGCCTGGCTAATTTTTTTTTTATTTTAAATAGAGATAGGGGTCTCCCTATGTTGCCCAGGCTGGTCTCGAACTCCTGGGCTCAAGTGATCCTCCTTGGTCTTTCCAAGTTCTGGGATTACAGGGGTGAGCCACCATGCCCAGCCTGTTACAGGGAAATTAATCACCATGCAAAAAAGTCGAAACAATTTTAATTTTTTTTAGTAAAAAAGTGGAAACAACTCAAATGTCCAACAACTCAAATAATAAGAGATGCGTAAAAATCAATTACGGTACAACAATACAGTGGAAAGATGAGCAGCCAATAAAATGATGTTGAAACACGTTTATTAACAAGACAACATGTTCATAATATATTAAGTGAAAATTCAGGCTTAAAAGGGTAGACACATTAAAAATCCCTTAAAAGAGTAGGAAGAGGTAAGAATGTGTATGTTCAGTATATAAGTCCAAAAGAATATTCTCTGCAAAAGTAGCTGGTTGTCTTTGAGTGGTAGAATTATAAGGAGATTTTTTTTTTCATTTTGCTTGTATGTATTTTTCGAAATTTCTGTAGTAAGCATGAACTATCTGCATAAAAAAAGAAATACATCAAATGTTATCAAAGCCTACAGAATAGAACTATGGATCTCTTCTTATTACATTTTGTTTCCTGTATTTTCCTAATGGTCTTTACTTATTTCACTTGAGAAGAGGTGAACCATTAGAAGAAAGCACTATCCGGTGTCTTCTTTAGGAGAAATATCTTGGGTCAGTCACTTTCCTTCTTTAAAATACCTGTCTCAGATGGGATAGGGTAGGTTATGCTGTTGTAACAAACAAGCCCAAACAACAAAGATGTATTTCCCACTCATGCTACATGTCCATCACAGGTTGTCTGGCAGCTCTGACCGCCATAGTGACTCAGAACCTTAGTCTGTGGATCAGCTACCATGTCAAACTGTGCCAGTTGCCACACTAGAGGAAAAAAGAGCTCTGGAAAGTCACACATCAGCAACAAGTTGCCCCAGCCTGAAAGTTACTCTTATTACACAGTGGCCACAATTAGTCACATGGCCCTATCCAATTCATAGGAGGCCAGGACATGGGTAAGACAGATTATGTTTGGTGAACGGCACCTAATTCACCAGCTCAGAACATTGTAAGCAAATATTGAAAGAACTATAAGGAGACATCAACAAATTTATAATCACAGTGGTCATATTCCTGGCACCTGCTACTGTAGTCTGTGGCCAACTTTATCTTGTTAGATGCAAGCATTGTAGAAAGCATACCAATGTGTCAGATGGAGACCAGTTGCCACAAGCAAAACAGGACATGCTTTTTGTGAAATCAAAAACTAACAATGCATTTGTTGATTGTGTGGCAAAAAGAGGATAAAGGAGCATGCAATACATACGCAATATATACATAGGTGACAGCATTTCACATTTACTCGGGATATACTCAGCTGGGCAAAGAAAATTGTAGCTTTCATCCCTTCTTGGCCTTTTGGCTAAGATCAAGTGAAAATTGTAGCTTTCTTCTTTCTCTCTGACTGCTCTGATTTACCTCACAAGCCCCCACCCTCTAGGTAGAAGTAGGGAGGGGAAACAAGATTGAATTCAATTTATTAACCTCAATTCAATCCCTAACTTAAAATGTCTTTGTGGGTAAATAGTCCCTACTTGGATGACTCAGTTAAGTGCTCAACCAGTAAGAGTTCCACCCCTTCCTCTGCTCCTTTCCAAGATGGCATCAGGTGTGTGAGGGAGGGGTGTAGCTTTGGAGACCTCTTAGTGGCAAAGGGCAGATGTTAATCCTCCCAAAGAAAAGCAAGATCCAGACCTCCCCATTTGCAGTCCTCTGCCTTCTCAGCAACCTAGCTAACATACTTCCTGCCCTAGGACTTCAACCTAGAAGGAAGCGATCAGAACAACTGTGTCTTGTGACCTGCCCCCAGACTGGGAAGTGGGAAGGGGTTAGGGAGGGGGGAGGGTTTTTCTCTCTACTCTTTACAGCCTGACCATGCCTCCCTTCTATCCTGCACACAGGCCTGTGTATTGAAAAGGAAGCTTTGTTATTTAGAAATCCCTTTCTCCAAAAAGCCTGGGTTTTATATATATTGTTTTACTCAAAAGAGGCCAAGAAAATCAGCTTTGAAATTCAAAGCTGATGAATGGGCTCTGTTCTAGACAGCACCTGTTCGTCCTTTCTTTCCTGGGACAATAACCTTGATGACTCTATCAAAAGGCTAGCAGGAAGTGGGATTTAAAGGGGAAAATCAAAATGCATTGGTTTAATTATTATAAAAGGTGTTCCTCAGAGGCGAGATTGGAAGAACTAAAGTAATGAGGTATCTATTTTCTTGGCTGTCTTGTGAGATGTATCTCTTTTCCTCACAGAGACAAAGTAAAATTTTCAAAAATATGACCCTAATGAAAATACAGAATGAACACCTCACTGGTTTTATGCATTAATGAGGGAGCCAGCAGGATGGTAAATCTGGTACAAAGGAGAATTCAAAAGATATGTTTAAAAAGAAAAAGCATGCCGAAATAAGCTTACTAAGTTAGAGGCAAAACAGGGCAATAAAACCATAACCTTTGAGGTCACCCCTTCTACTGCAAAGAAATCATTTGCATCTCTACTGGACAAAAACCTCCAAGTTAACATGCCTGGGCTTTAATCAAGCAACAGTGCATTCTCACAGAGAACTGAATAATCCTTGGGTGGGCGCTTTAAATGGAGGCCTTTTAATAAAGCTTCAGTCTGGAAATTGAAAGGACAAGCAGTCATTCTGTCTCCTTGTTTCCAGGTGTTAGGTAATTTTTCTTAACATACTCAAACATTGCCTACATCCCACCCACCTTAACACACACAAAACCGATCTGCTGAGAGCTGATGGAAGAAAGAGTTATGAATGGATTAAAGAGCCTATAGGAATAAAAGATGGGGATTTAAAGCAAGCACAGGTTTCTGCTTCAGAGACACAAGTGAATGGGTATCTTTAAAAGCCTAAATATGTGATTTTGTTGTAAACCTACATATTTTAAAGATGTTTAAATTACGCTTTCCTTTTAAAATTACCTTTTCCTTTTCAAAATCTAGATAGACTTAACTAGGCCTGAATGATTCCATTACCAAAGCAGATTAATATGGTTAAATGAAACTGTAAGGGCATGTGATAATTATTTTTCAGTTGTCACAGGTTACATAGGTTACCATAGCCCATTAATGTATGCTAGCCTATTAAGTTACTGAAATGACAAACATTATTGCATCGATAAGGCATATTCAGTCCAGTTGAGATAGAAACCATTCTCCAAATGATAGTAGTTTCCAAAAGAAACCTATTTTTAAAAATCTCATAACAGCTCATTTGTAATACAGCTTGCTGCTCAGATGGTTTCTGAAAAGTATCTTCTTAGAGAGAAATCAAAACATCTCATATACTCCATAAATATACACACCTATTATGTACGCGTAAAAATTAAAATTTTAAATTTTAAAATTTTAAAAAACAAAACAGACAAAAAAAAGAAAACAAATATTATAATAGGACAAAGCCTACTCTGAATAGCAGGTTCCCCATGGAATTTTGTTTTCTGAGTAGAGAGCAAGATCATCTGATTAAAAGGCTCAAATTCTCTGAAACTTTCTATTGAAGGCTATGATGTGTAACATGAGCGCATTTCCATATTAAGGTTATTCAGCTGTGGAAAACACCAGAACCCACACAAAGCTTTTCCTTTAAAAGCTGAATAAAATCTAAGACACTGCATGTTGGTGCAGAAATGAGAAATCTAAGTTGTTGTTCGCTGACTGCTTGGCTGTGTGTGTTTTTTTTTTTTTTCCTGCAAGAAAGCAGAGACACACATTTGAGAAAGCATTGTAACTCAAAAGCATGACCACAGCTAAGAAATTTAAGTAACCATGTCACAGAAACACAGGAACATAGATTCTGTTGGCTAATCTAAATAGATAATTAATCATGTTCCTGGCAGTGTGGAATGCAGATTTGCATGCTATTCACAGAGACTTTGGCAGGCAGGCTGAGAGCTTTCTGGAATATCAGAATCTGGAGTGTCTTGAGGAGCTGGTAAGTCAGTCATTCTGAGATCTACAGATTTCTTGGATCAGTAACATTTAAAAATAATGTTGAAGACCAGCATGGTATTAACAACTTCTTATTTTGGCAAATAATAATATTGTAAAAAATACTTACTATTTATAATTGCCATTATTTCATAAAAGATATGGTTTCACAGACTATTTTTTTAGGCTAGTTCGTAATTGGATTCGCTGTTGGATTTGGGGGTCAAGATATCTTTAAGTAACTTAACTTATTTCTCAAACCTTTCATAAGTGACTGAAAGGCATATTGAAGTACCTGCCATGTCCAGTCAAAATGAATGTTACTTCTGAGACAGGTGAATGTGACAGGACTAGACTGGCTCTAGATAGGAGCTTGGATCTTGAGAGTTCTTCTGTGGGATCATCTTGTCTTAAGGAGGGTTTTTTCAAATGGTGGGGAGATAGGAGATTTAAATATTGACCAAATTCCAACTGTGGCATGTTTTCAGCTTTCTTCTGCCCTCCCTGACCTGTAAATAAGAATTAAATCAAGTAATACTGCCCAAATGCCTATTACTAACAGTGCAGGGTTAAGCTTTGGGACAAAACTTCTCAAACTTAAGTCTTCATAAGAATAGTCTGAGAACCTATCAAAAGGCAGATTCCTGGGTCTTAGTGCCATGGGTTCTGAAGTCTGAGATGGCAACCATGGAATCTCAATTTTTAACAAGCATAACATGATTTTGGTGGAAATGGTCCGTGGGCCCCATCTTTAGAAACATTAGCCTAGGAGTGAAAAAAAAAAAACACTTCCAATTTCTGTAATGACATACTAGGTATTCAGACCAACTTTCTTGCTGAACATAATATGTTAAACCTCTTCTTAAAAGCATCAAAAAGCTAACAAAATAGTGATAAATTACTGGGATGCGATTCAGAAAAGAATGGAAATCCACAGAAGTGAGCCTGACATTCTGAACCACTTTTGCCTTCCCATTACTAGCAGATCCTGAAGAGACAACTGAGAGGGTGAGCTGTCTTCTTAGCAAGCTCATGGGAATAGGAAGGCAAAAATCAGACATCGGGACCTGCCAAGGGTTGACACATGGTAAACCAGTCCTCGTCCCATACACATGCACACACATGTTAGGAGGAAGGGTGAACTGGAAGTGGCTTGCTCAGAGAATCTCACATCTTGAACTTGGACTAGGGTGATCAACTTGGGCCTCAAATTATTCTGACAAATAATTTTTCTTATATAGTGCCCAGCACACAATCAAAGATAACCAAGCCTAATTGGGACAGAAAACCTTGAGCAAGAACCTCTAGGAAAAATGAACAACAAAATGGATTTAGAATGACTCCAGATATGAGTAAATCTAAATGAGTATTAACTATGTGAAACAATTAGTATAGTCCCCTGTGGGAATACATAGATAGATAGATAGATAGATAGATAGATAGATAGATAGATATTTTAAATGCATGATAATCATAGTATAAAGTCTTGAGAGGAAAATAAATGGAGATAAAAATGTTCTAAATTCCTAACATTATCCAAAAGGAGAGGAAAGGTATCAATTAAAGTTAGATATTTGGCTGGGTGTGGTGGCTCATGCTTATAATCCCAGCACTTTGGGAGGCCAAGGCAGGAGAATTGCTTAAACCCAGAAGTTTGAGACCAGCGTAGGCAACATAATGGGACTCTGTCTCTACAAAAAATAAAAAAAGTTAGCTGAGCATGGTGGTGCACGCCTGTAGTCCCAGCTACTCAGGAGGCTGAGGCAGGAGAATTGCTTGAGCCCAGGAGGTCAAAGCTGCAGTGAGCTATGATTGTACCACTGCACTGCAGCCTGGGTGACAGCAAGAGACCTTGCTTCAAAAAAATGAGATATTTAGGCCAGTCGCGGTGGCTCACGCCTGTAATCCCAGCACTTTGGGAGGCCGACACAGGCAGATCACCTGAGGTCAGGAGTTCGAGACCAGCCTGGCCAACATGGCGAAACACCGTCTCTACTAAAAGTATAAAAATTAGCTGGGCGTGGTAGCAGGCGTCTGTAATTTCAGCTACTCAGGAGACTGAGGCAGGAGAATCGCTTGAACCCAGGAGGCGGAGGTTGCAGTGAGCTGAGATTGCGCCACTGTACTCCAGCCTGGGCGACAAGAATGAGACTCCATCTCAAAAAAAAAAAAAAAGGATATTTATAAGTGAAACATGCATGCTGTAATTCTAGGCTAACCACCAAAAGAATAAAAGAAGAGTATATGATGTATAAACTGAAAGAGATTTTTAAAAATTGAATGTAAAAGTCATCAGTCCAAAAGAGGGTGAGGACAGAAAGAAAAAGAAACACAAAACAAAACAGACAAGAAAAGAAAAAGTACATAATAATAAGATTTTAACACAAATATATCACAATTACATTGAATGTAAATGGACTACATTTTCCAGTGAGAAAACAGATTATAAAATAGAAAATAGACAAACAAGCAGTACTACTATGTGTTGTTTAAAGAGACACATTTAAACGTAAAAATAAAGAAAGGTAGAAAGTAAATAAATGACAATAATTTACTCCACAATTGGTAACTGAAAGCAAGTTGATATAGCTATATTAATATCACACAAAATAGACTTCAAGCAAAAAGCATTATTAGAAATAAAGCAAGTCACTTCTTAAGAAAAGTTAAATTCACTAGGAAGACAGAACAATTTTAAATTTGTGCATAACTAATAACCTGGCCTGAAAATATATAAAATAAAAATTGAGGCTGGGCATGGTGGCTCACACCTGTAATCCCAGCACTTTGGGAGGCTAAGGTGGGTGGATCACCTGAGGTCAGGAGTTCGAGACCAGCCTGGCCAACATGGTGAAACCCCGTCTGTACTAAAAACACAAAAATTAGATGGATGTGGTGGTGCATGCCTGTAGCCCCAGCTACTAGGGAGGCTCAAGCAGGAGGATCACTTGAATGCAGGAGGCGGAGGTTGCAGTGAGCCAAGATCATGCCACTGCACTCCAGCCTGGGCAACAGAGTGAGACTACATCTCAAAAAAAAAAAAAAAAGAAAGAAAGAAAAACAAAATTGAGGCTCATACCTGTAATCCTAGCACTTTGGGTGATGGAGAAAGGAGAATCAATTGAGTACAGGAATTTGAGACCAGCTTGGGCAATATAGCAAAACCTTGTTTCTACAAAAAAAATTTTTAAATAGCCTCATGTAGTGGCATGTGCCTTTAGTCTCACTCAGCTACTCGGAAGGCTGAGGTGGGAGGTTCACTTGAGCCTGGCAGCTTGAGGCTGCAGTGAGCTATAATGGTGCACTGCACTCCAGCCTGGGTGACAGAGTGAGACCCTCTCTCTAAATAAATAAATAAAAATAAATAAAAAATAAAAATTTATAAAAATAAAAATTGATAAAATCAAAATTAAAAGTACATCAAGGAGAAGAAAGAAAACCCCCAGTCATTGTGAGTGACATTAATACAACTTTCTTAGTAACTGGTGGAACCAATAAACAAAAAAAAGTCAAAACACATATGTGTACTCTACACAGCCGCTACAGGTACGACCATGTGAAATAGTAGACAAGGCCAAAGTCCAGGGAGGATCATGTACAAGGGAATTCCTCCCAGAGGGCAGGACCAAGGTCTGACAGGAGAACTTCCTTCACTACTAGGGAGTCTTTGCGCATCTTGCCAAACACGATTTCGTCATTTCTATGCACCAGTGACTGACGAGTGCTTTCCATTCTACATTTTCCCAAATGGGAGTTTTCTCTGTGTCTATCCTGTTCTTGCTCTATATGATGTGCCAAATGTTGAGTAGTGTTGGGGGAGTAATGTTCTATTATTATATAGATTTCTGGATCATGAGACAGTAGATCTAGACCTGATAGAAAAGACTGCACGTTACACAGAGGTGTCAGACTTTGTTTTGTACTCAGGAAATGGATCGTACTTTGAGGGATGAGTGTATTCTGTGTGTATGGATATTTAGATGCCAGAGGTTTGGAAGTGTCAGAGTTTGCTAATTGTTCCCTGTGTCCATTTTGCCTTTCTACTTTTTGGTAACAGAGGCCCCCTGCATGTGAGCTCATCACATGGCTGCCCGGCAAGATACTACATTTTCCAGTCTTCCATGAGGATAGATGTGGTCACGTGACTGAGTCTGGGCCAATGGGATGTGTGTAGATGTGATGTATATTTATCTCCATAAAGATGAAGCTGGTTGCCCTGAATATTCTGTCCATCAGTTGGGAAGTGGCAATGAATGGAACAATGCCTTGGGCCCCAAGACGGATCCTGAGTATGGCAGAGCTGCCCACCAGCCTAGGTTCCTATATGTCATCATGGGACAGAGCTGCCTTGTAGACCCTGGACTGTTATATTAATATAAAAAAGAAATAAACTTCTATCTTATATAAGCTATTGTACTTTAGGATTCCTTTGCTACAGCAACATTGCCTGTACCCTAACTAATACATGTGTTATGGAGTGACAAAGGTCAGTTGGGAAGGTGGGGGTGAAGAGGAAACACTTGTTGTTAGCCTTAATAGTAAACTCAGGAGTCAAGATTTGACAGGCTTGGTAATGTGAAGCATTGCCGAGGGACAGGGCAGATGGTGGTGCCATTAATGGTGATTGGGTAGCTGATGAAATGGCTTCAGCTACCTTTTGTGTGATGTTTGTAATTCCACATCTCTGGGCAATTCTCTCCAGAGTATCATGTCCATATCTCCCTTGAGATCAAATAGGCTCCTCAAACTCAACATTTCTAAGCTTAGCTTTCTTCTCCCCAAAGCCTTTCCTTCTTCCTGTATTTTCTATAAGGTTAATGACTGTACCTTTCAATATCACCCTTCACCCACTTGTCAGTAGAAACTAGAATCACCCTTGATTCCTCATTCATCACCACACAGTGTCTCATAAACACCACCTACTTCTATTCTTTTTCCTCTATTCCCATCGCTAGTGCCTTAATTCAGGTCTTCATTATCTCTTACTTCAAATGTTGCAGTAGTCTCCTTTCTTTTTTTCTGTTTCTTTTTCTTCTTTTTTTCAGCATTCTTCTTTCTAGCTGATTTCTCTGATTTCAATCTCCCCCATGCCTCATACTGCTCTCAGGACTCTTTTTCCAAATAACAAATTTGATCATGTCACTTACCCTGTTTAGACATCTTCTTCGATTTCTCAATTTTCTTTTTTTGAGATGGAGGAGTCTCACTCTGTCACCCAGGCTAGAGTGCAGTGGCGCCATCTCGGCTCACTGCAGCCTTGACTTCCCAGGCTCAAGTGATCCTCCCACTTCAGCCTCCCTAGGCACACGCCACCATGCCCAACTAAATTTTTGTATTTTTGGTAGAGATGGGGTTTTGCCATGTTGCCCAGGCTGTTCTCAAACTCCTGAGCTCAGGCGATCCACCCACCTCAGCCTCCCAAAGTGCTGGGATTACAGGCGTGAGCCATCGCACCCGGCCATCTTCTCCAATTTCTTTTAAGCTAAGGAGCCTGGACTGGTCCCCTTTGAACCCTTATCAAGCCCCTCAGTACACTGTGGGCCCCAGGCACAGTGAGCCTTTATAGACAATGTCCTCTCTGCCTGGAACACTTTTACTCTGTCTTCATTTAACAGACTCCTACTCTGCCTTCAAAACCCAGTTTAAACATAACTCAATGAAGTATCTTCTCAGGCCAGGCAGGGTGGCACACTCCTGTGATCCCAGCACTTTGGTAGGCCAAGGCAGAAGGATCACTTAAGCCCAGGAGTTTGAGACCAGCCTGGGCAACATAGCGGGACCACATCTCTACAAAAAATTTAAAAATTAGCCAAGCATGGGGGTGCACGCCTCTAGTCCCAGCTACTGGTGCGGCTGAGGCAGGAGGATCACTTGAGCCCAGGAGATCAAAGCCGAGGTAAGCTGTGAGCATGCCACTGTACTTCCAGCCTGGGAGACAGAATGAGACCCTGTCTCAAAAAGAAAGAAGAAAGAGAGAAAGAGAGAAAGACAGACAGACAGAAAGAAAGAAAGAAAGAAAGAAAGAAAGAAAGAAAGAAAGAAAGAAAGAAAGAAAGAGGAGGGAGGGAGGGAAAGGAGGGAGGGAGAGAGGGAGGGAAGGAAGGAAGGAGAAAGAGAGAGAGAGAAAGAAAGGAAGAAAGAAAGAAAAAGAAAAGAGAAAGAAAGAAAAAGAGAGGAGGGAGGGAGGGAAGGAGGGAGGGAGAGAGGGAGGGAAGGAAGGAAGGAGAAAGAGAAAAGAGAGGGAAAGAAAGGAAGAAAGAAAGAAAAGAAAAAGAAAGAAAAGAAAGAGAGAGAAAGAGAGAGAAAGAAAGAAGGAAAGATCTTCCCAGAATCCCTTGGCTTAGTTGTTTAGCTATTCCCACCTCAATATTTGATATATGAATGAATGAATTAAAGATACATTAAGAACCAAATCCTGGCCGGGCGCGGTGGCTCACGCCTGTAATCCCAGCACTTTGGGAGGCCGAGGCGGGCGGATCACGAGGTCAGGAGATCGAGACCATCCTGGCTAACGCGGTGAAACCCCGTCTCTACTAAAAATACAAAAAATTAGCCGGGCATGGTGGCGGGCGCCTGTAGTCCCAGCTACTCGGGAGGTTGAGGCAGGAGAATGGCGTGAACCCGGGAGGCGGAGCTTACAGTGAGCCGAGATCGCGCCACTGCACTCCAGCCTGGGCGACAGAGCGAGACTCCGTCTCAAAAAAAAAAAAAAAAAAAAGAACCAAATCAAATCCCAAAGAACACACCCAGCAGAAAGACAAAAAATTTCCAAAGTATAGAAATTTACCACTGCAAAGGGAGCTTACAGATTGTAAAGATCATCTAAATGTGTTTACAAATGAGGTTCAGAGATATTATGTGACTATCTCAGAATCAGACAGGGTCTGACTATGCTGCCCAGGCTGAAATGCAGGGGCTATTCACAGGCATACAGCGCACTACAGCCTCAAGCTCTTGGGCTCAAGCAATGCTTCTGAGTAGCTGGCACTGCAGGTGCACATCATTGTGCCTGGCTCTTCCTGTACTATTTTTTTCTGTATTTTGCTGTGAATGCATTAGAGAATAATTTTAATAGAAGGATTTGTTTGAAAAGCTGAATTTAAAGGTTCGATGCTTCAGCTTGCCAACAAAGTTGCACTTCAAGTCAAATATGAAATGATCAAAATGTCAGTGTGATCTTGTCACAAAGATAACTATCTAAGTTACAAGCCATTCTCCCAGAGAGACTAATAGAAACCCTGTGTACACACCAATGTAGACATTGAAAACAAGAGATCATCCAGTCCAAGGATTCTAAACATTTTTTTTTTTCACCTAGGAGTCCTTTGGCAGGCTGGCTTCTCAGAATAATGCTTTTGAATGCATAAAACATCACACATAGGAATACAAAGGAAATCAGTATATTGAAAATATGCCTATCAAAATAGTAAATATTATAAATGTGTGATATAGTATTATATGTGTTTCTTCATTTAATCTATTAATTAACAACATCTATCAGGAGTCTAATTTTGAAGTGGTAATAAGTATAAATGATATTTCAAGATATATGCAACAATTGTCATGTGATACAAAAATATTTCTGATTTCTATTAATGACAAATCCCAGGTTCTGCTAGCATGACTATGGTTTAACGCTTGCATTTGCAGTTAAATAAAACACATGCTTTTGTTAGAGATTACTGAAAATAAAAAGGAGATGTTTTTCTCTTTCAAGTTCACTGATACGCTAAACCCCAAGTTAAGAATCCCTGGGTTAGTTCAATCCCTCATTTTAAAAGTAAGGGATCTTTTGTCTGAGATATGTAAAATTAGGTCAAATAAAATTAATTCAGAGAAGACCATTGATGGGTCTATGACGTTGGCCTTTTTCAAGTCAGCACAGTTCCCTTGAGGAGCTTGGGTTTAAAAACAAACAAAAAGACTTGAAAAGGGAGGTTGTTTTTATACAATTTCTGCTTTCTGCTCAGTGTTCCTGGTCCCTAAGTCCTGCTTGGTGCAAAGGCCCTTGAACTAGGGGAAAGGACATGTAAGAACTAAACTCAAATTAGTATCTCAATATGTTATCCTGCCACCGTACTAAGAACAACAAGAAAGATGACACAATTAATTTTTGAATAAATGTCAACAGTAAGAAGTGTCCAAAAATGCCCTATTAAAGAACAGAATACCCAGCCTTGAAATGAACTGATACTGTACAGGGATTTGGGGCAGCTGGATCTTTCAAACCTTTGTGATTGCAGCTCACAGTAAAAAATAGACTTTTCATTGAGACCCATCACTCGCGTGCATGTATACACATACATGTGATTCAAAGTGATTCAAACAAAAGTTTCCCCAAACAGGCTTACCTTAATAAGTGATGAGACCCACTGATAGTTTTTGTTTTATTCCTTTCCATTTCATTCAAAAAATGCTAGTCAGTGACTCACTATTCGTGAGCAAGGATTGGGTTACAACCCATAGTTTCATAAATATCGGACTGGATGAACTTCAAGGACTCTCAAATTCTAAGATTCTATGATGTATGAGTGTATCATATAAATGAATACAGTATTGCAGGGGTGGTAAATGTTTTTAATTTTATTTTTTATTTCCAGCTCTTCATTTTGAAAGATTTCAAAACTACAGGAAAATAAGAATGGCAAAATAAATGCCCTATACAGTTCACCAAGATTGACATGTATTTTATCACATTTGCTTTTTCTCTCTCACTGAACACACACACATACGTATTTAAGTATATACATACTGAGACAGAGTCTGGTTCTGTAACCCAGGCTAGAGTGCAGTGGCACAGTCTCGGCTCACTGCAACCTCCACCTCCAGGGTTCAAGCGATTCTCCTGCCTCAGCCTCCCGAGTACCTGGGATTACAGGCATGCGCCACCACGCCCAGTTAATTTTTGTATTTTTAGTAGAGACAGGGTTTTACCATGTTGGTCAGGCTGGTCTCGAACTCCTGACCTCAAGTGATCCACCAGCCTCAGCCTCACAAAGTGCTGGGATTACAGGTGGGAGCCACCATGCCCGGTTGGTATTTAAGTCTATTCTTGTTATTTTTGCTAAACCATTTGAAAATAAGTTGCAACATTATGATACTGAATCTTGAAGTGAAATACTTTAGCCTGTACTTCTTGAGAACAGGGATAATTTTCTACAAAGCCACAATACCATTGTCATATCCAAGAAATTTAGCATTAATGCAACAATATTATCTAGTATACAGCTCACATTCACATTTTCCCAATTGCCCCAAATGTCCTTTATAGCTGTTTTTCTATCCAATCAAGAACTATGCAGTACATTTGTTATTTCTCATTAGTATCCTTTCATCTTAGTTCTTCATGACACTGAGTTTTCTTTTTAATAGGTTTTTGAGGATCAGGTGGTGTTTGATTAAATACGTAAGTTCTTCAGTGGTGATTTCTGAGATTTTGGTGCACCCATCACCCAGAAGTGTACACTGTATGCAATATGTAGTCTTTTATCCCTCACCTACCTCCCGCTTCCCCCCTCCGAGTCCCCAGAGTCCATTGTATCATTCTTATTCCTTTGTGTCCTCACAGCTTACCTCCCTCTTATGAGTGAGAGCATACCATATTTGGTTTTCCATTCCTGAGTTACTTCACCTAGAATAACAATCTCCAATTCCATCCAGGTTGCTGTGAATGCCATTATTTCATTCCTTTTTATGGCTGAGTAGTATTGCATTACATATATATATATATATATATATATATATATATATATATATATATATCACATATTCTTTATCCACTCGTTGGTTCATGGGCATTTTGGGCTGGTTCCATATTTTTGCAATTGCGAATTGTGCTGCTATAAACATGCATGTGTAAGTATCTTTTTCGTATAATGACTTTCTTTCATCTGGGTAGATACCCAGTAGTGGGATTGCTGGATCAAATGGTAGATCTACTTTTAGTTCTTTAAGGAATCTCCACACTGATTTCCATAGTGGTTGTACTAGTTTACATTCCCATCAGCAGTGCAGAAGTGTTTCCTTTTCACCACATCCATGCCAAAATCTATAATTTTTTGATTTTTGATTATGGCCATTCTTGCAGGAGTAAGGTGGTATCTCATTGTGGTTTTCATTTGCATTTCCCTGATTATTAGAGATGTTGAGCATTTTTTCATATGTTTGTTGGCCATTTGTATATCTTCTTTTGGGAATTGTCTATCATGTCCTTAGCCCACTTTTTGATGAAATTGTTTGGTTTTTTCTTGCTGATTTGTTTGAGTTCCCTGTAGATTCTGGATATTAGTCCATTATCAGATGTATAGGTTGTAAAGATTTTCTCCCACTCTGTGGGTTGTCTATTTACTCTGCTGATTATTTCTTTTGCTGTGCAGAAGCTTTTTAGTTTAATTAAGTCTCATCTATTTATCTTTGTTTTTGTTGCATTTGCTTTTGGGTTATTGGTCATGAAGTCTTTGCCTAAGCCAATGTCTAGAATGTTTTTTCCGATGTTATCTTCTGGAGTTTTTATGGTTTCAGGTCTTAGATTTAAGTCTTTGATCCATCTTGGGTTGATTTTTGTATAAGGTGAGAGATGAGAATCCAGTTTCATTCTTCTACATGTGTCTTGCCAATTATCCCAGCACCATTTGTTGAATATGGTGTCCTTTCCCAACTTTATGTTTTTGTTTGCTTTGTCAAAGATCAGTTGGAGGCCAGGCGCAGTGGCTCATGCCTGTAATCTCAGCACTTTGGGAGGCTGAGGCAGGGGCATCACTTGAGGTCAGGAGTTCATGACCAGCCTGGCCAACATAGTAAAACCCCGTCTCTACTAAAAAATACAAAAATTAGCCAGGTGTGGTGGCAGGTGCCTGTAATCCCAGCTACCTGGGAGGCTAAGGCAGGATAATAGCTTGCACCCGGGAGGCAGAGATTGCAGTAAACTGAGATTGCACCACTGCACTCCAGCCTGGACAGACAGAGTGAGACTCTGTCTCAAAAAAAAGATCAGTTGGCTGTAAGTATTTGGCTTTATTTTGGGGTTCTCTAATCTGTTCCATTGGTCTATGTGCCTATTTTTGTACCAGTACCATGCTCTTTTGGTGACAATGGCTTTATAGTATAGTTTGAAGTCAAGTAACATGATGCCTCCAGATTTGTTCTTTTTGCTTAGTCTTGCTTTGGCTATGCGGGCTCTTTTTTGGTTCTATATGAATTTTAGGATTATTTTTTCTAGTTCTGTGAAGAATGATCATGGTATTCTGATGGGGATTGCATCAAATTTGTAGATTGCTTTTGGCAGTATGGTAATTTTCACAATATTGATCCTACCCATCCATGAGCATGTGATGTATTTCCATTTGTTTGTGTCATCTATGATTTCTTTCAGTGTTTTGTAGTTTTCCTTGTAGAGGTCTTTCACCTCCTTGGTTAGGTATATTCCTAAGTATTTTGGGGCGGGGGGCAGCTATTGTAAAAAGGGTTGAGTTCTTGATTTGATTCTCAGCTTGGTTGCTGTTGGTGTATAGCAGTGCTACTGATTTGTGTATATTACCTGCATCTCTGGTATGAAACCCACTTGATCATGGTGGGTTATCTTTTTGATATGCCATTGGATTCGGTTAGCTAGTATTTTGTTGAAGATTTTTGCATCTATGTTTATCAGAGATATTGGTCTGTAGTTTTCTTTTTTTGTTATGTCCTTTCCTGGTTTTGGTATTAGGGCAATATTGGCTCATAGAATGATTTAGGGAGAATTCCGTCTTTCTCTATCTTGAGGAATCGTGTCCATAGGATTGGTACAAATTCTTCTTTGAATGTCTGATAGGATTCACCTGTGAAACCATCTGGCCCTGGACTTTTTTTTGTCGGCAATTTTTTTTTATTACCATTTCAGTCTTGCTGCTTGTTATTGGTCTGTTCAGAATTTCAACTTCTTCCTGATTTAATCTAGGAGGGTTGTATATTTCCAGGAATCTATACATCTCCTCTAGGTTTTCTAGTTTGTGCCCATAAAAGTGTCCATAGTGGCCTTAAATGATCTTTTATATTTCTGTGGCATCAGTTGTAATATCTCCTGTTTTGTTTCTAATTGAGCTTACTTAGATATTGTCTCTTCTTTTCTTGGTTAATCTCGCTAATGGTCTATCAATTTTGTCTTTTCAAAGAATCAGCTTTTTGTTTCATTTATCTTATGTATTTTGTTTGTTTCCTTGTTTCAATTTCATTTAGCTCTGCCCTGATCTTTACTATTTCTTTTCTTCTATTAGATTTGAGTTTGGTTTGTTCTTGTTTCTCTAGTTCCTTGAGGTGTGACCTTAAACTGTCTATTTGTGCTCTTTCAGACTTTTTGATGTAGGCATTTAATGCCTTGAACTTTCCTCTTAGCACTGCTTTTGCTGTACCCCAGAGGTTTTGATAGGTTATGGCACTATTATTGTTCAGTTCAAAGAATTTTTTAATTTCCATCTTGATTTCATTGTTGACCCAATGATCATTCAGGAGCAGGTTATTTAATTTCCGTATTTGCATGGTTTTTAGGGTTCCTTTTGGAATTGATTTCCAATTTTATTCTACTGTGGTCTGAGAGGTATGTGATGTAATTCTGATTTTCCTAAATTTATTGAGACTTGTTTGTGGCCTATCATATGGTCTATCATGGAGAATGTTCCATGTGGTGATGAATAAAATGTATATTCTGCAGTTGTTGGGTAGAATGTTCTGTAAATATCTCTTAAGTCCATTTGTTCTATAGTATAGTTTAAGTCCATTGTTTCTTTGTTAACTTTCTGTCTTGATGACCTGTCTAGTGCTGTCAGTGGAGTACTGAACTCCCCCACTATTATTGTGTTGCTGTCTATCTCATTTCTTAGGTCTACTAGTAATTGTTTTATAAATTTGGGAGCTCCAGTGTTAGGCACATATATATTAGGATTGTGATATTTTCCTGTTGGACTAGTCCTTTTATTATTATATAATGTCCCTTTTGACTTTTTTAACTGTTGTTGCTTTAAAGTTTGTTTTGTCTGATATAAGAATAGCTACTCCTGATCACTTTTGGTGTCCATTTGCATGGAATATCTTTTTCCACCTCTTGCACTATCTTGGATGTCCAGTCCAGTTGAGTCTTCATCTGACTCCAGCCCCAGCTGCCATCTTATTATCCTGGATGAGAGACCCTGCTTAGCTGAGCCCAGTCAACTCACAGAACAGTAAGAGATAATAATAATTCAAAAAACATTTATTGACATAATTTCAGACTTACCAAAAAGTTGCAAGAATAGTACAATGAATTCTCAGATATCCAGAGTCC
This sequence comes from Homo sapiens, assembly GCF_000001405.40. Lineage (NCBI taxonomy): Eukaryota > Metazoa > Chordata > Mammalia > Primates > Hominidae > Homo > Homo sapiens. The sequence goes on from NC_000023.11 coordinate 21,920,840, forward strand.
CCAAATGTTAATCCTTTACTATATTTGCTTTATTCTTCTCTCTCAATCTCTGCCCACCTATCATCTCTCTCTACCCATATCTTTCATTCTTATCAAAAATAGTTAATTAACATTGATACAATACTATAGTCTGACCTATATACTTGATTAAGATTTCACCAATTGTCCCAATAATGTCTTTTATAGCAAAACAAAAAACAAAAACTTCTAAAATATGTGTTGCCTTCAGTTATCGTGTCTCTTTGGTCTTCTTTCATTTGAAATAATTCAGTCTTTGTTTGTATTTCATGATATTGACATTTTTTTGAAGCATGCAGGCCAGTTATTCTGTAGATTGTCCTTCACTTTCAGTTTGTCTGATGTTCCTCGTGACTAGATTTAGATTATGCATTTTGGGCAGGAATCCCACAGAATTGATGCAGAGTCCTTCTTAGTGCCTCATATCAGGAGGCACATGCTGTCAATTAGCTCCATTACTGATAATGTTAACTTTGATCATTTGGCTTAGTTGGTAACTGTCAGTAACTGTAAAGTTACTGCTTTTCCCTTTGTAATTAGTAAATGCTTTCTAGAGAGATACTTTGTGACTCCGTAAATGTCTTCTTACTACTCAAACTGTCACTCACTGGCTTTAGCATCCATTAATGATTCCTGCCAGAATCAATTATTATTACAATGGCCACCAAATAGTGATTGTCATATTTCCATTATTCTTTCTTCATTTATAATTTGGCTTTCTACTGTAAGGAAGATCTTTCCCTTCTAATTTGTTTGTTTGTTTGTTCATTTAAGTGTGGACTCATGGATGCTCACTTTATTCAATAAATTATAACTCTTAATACTAGCATTTGCTTTCATGCTCAAATTGTTTCAGAGTTGACCGGTGGGAGTTCTTCAAGCCGGCTCCTGTGGCCTTTTAACATGTCTCCATTATTTCTTGAGTGCTCCTCTACTTTTTAACACAAGATGATCCAGGCTTATCTTGTATGTCCCTTGTCCCAGCTCAGATTCCTTTTAGTGGAGAATGTTATGTAGAAAGCAAGAACTGGGTGCTGGGTGTGTTTATCATTACTGAGGTATCATTGCTTCTACAGCCTCTCAACAGACAGAGCTGGGAAAGAGATGTCTGTATGTACATATTTGCACATACATATATGTGTACACACACATGCATTTACATATGTATTCATTGCATATAGATACATATCTATATTCATTTCTATATCTAGCTATCTATATCGATCTACATATATATATATATATAATATATATAGTCATAACTTCCCAATGGTACCTCCAGCTCCAATCTAACACAATGACATTCAATCTGTTCTTCCCACTTTCCATAATGGTAACTGCCTTCCCCAATAATGAAAAAACTGGATCCCATTATCCACAATGTATTTACTTATTTGCTTAACCCTAGACCGTATTGAAAGTAGTTTCAGAATTGTGAATTTATGCCTATGCCAAAAATAAGCTTTCTGATTAGAGTTCATTATTTGTTTAAAGTTATTTGAGGGCATGTGGTCCAAATTCTAAAAGCTACTTGGATTAATGCCCCCTTTCAAATGTGATTATGTTTTTATTTGAAAAATGCATCAGTTCACTTGTTTCTGTTTGTATTCAATTTTAAGGTCCCCTGATTGTTATTTTAAGCCACTATGGCTTATCATGCGACAATGGATAACCCTGACACCATTGCATCACATCAGGAGGCATACGATGTCAGTTATTAGTGATGGAAGTTGGATCATACAGATAAGCTCTTATCTAGCCAGACCTCTCCATTATAATTTATAAGTAATCTGTGGGGTGCCTTACTCTATTTTTAAAGTAATTCTTACTATATGAACTTAAAACCACCATAACTACCACGATTCAGGGACCCTAAGTCAGATTTACATTTTTCTTTATGGAAATGCCTGCCTCGATGCCATAGGAATACAGACAGAAGGAAGAGCATCTACTGATGGATTACCCAGTGGGTGGGGGCCACAGCTGGCAAGAAGGTGGATATCCAGCTGTGATGAAAACATTGGATTCTACTTGTAGTTCAACAGCACTTAAAACAGAATGCTACACACTGTGTGTAGGTTTGCCAAGTTGTGATTTGGATCCCAAGTCATGAGTTAGGTAGGAAGGAATGAAGGAAGGAAGGGAGAAAGGAAGAAAGAAAGAAAGAGAGAGAGAAAGAAAGGAGAGAAAGAGAGAGAAAGGAAAGGAAAGAAGGAAGAAAGGAAGGAGAGAAAGAAAGAAAGAAAGAAAGAGAGAAAGGAAAGAGGAAAGGAAAGAAAAGGAAAGGAAAGAAGGAAGGAAGGAGAGAAAGAAAGAGAAAGGAAAGAAAGAAGGAAAGAAAGAAGGAAAGAAAGAAAGAAAGAAAGAAAGAAAGAAAGAAAGAAAGAAAGAAAATCTTTTTATTTTAGGTTTTTCATGTGGAGTTAGAATTGGGTGCCTGCTAAGAAAAATGTCTGTTTGTAAAGAATGCTGCTTCTCTTTTTAACAATAATGCATTGATTTTCTAGTTAGGATAAACATCCTACTGTATAAAACTAGTCGAGTCTATGTTGCCCTCTTGATTCCATGTCTTTTAATTTCTGTCTTTACAGATATTATTTGATCATATTCAAGCGATTGAATCACAGTCCTCTCATATTCCAAATGTACAGATGTTCATGGCTATATTCCCAGTGCCTAGGATGGCACAAAGTATGGCTGAGTGGGAATTCCTTTTTTTTTGTTTTTTTTTTGAGACAGGGTCTCACTCTGTAGCCCAGGCTGGAGTGCAGTGGCGTGATCACAGCTCACTGCAGCCTCAGACTCCCAGGACCAAGTGAGCCTCCCACCTCAGCCCCCTGAGTAATTGGGACCACAGGAGCACACCACCATGACTGGCTAATTTTTAATTTTTCGTAGAGATTAAGGTCTTGCTATGTTGCCCAGGCTGATCTCAAACTCTTGAGCTCAAGCAATCCTCCTGCCTTGGCCTCCCAAAGTGCTGGAATTACAGGCGTGAGCCTCCATTCCTGGCCAAATTCTTATTCTTTCATTCACTCCTCACAGATTTATAGCATGCCCACTCACCTGTTATGTGCCAGAATTATCCTAGGCATCAAACCACAGTGGTTAATAAAATACAGCCCCTGGGTCAAGAGCTCACAGGCTAGATCTAGAGAAAAACAAAAATATAAAAATTATTAAAATCTGTGGGGCCTAGGGAGAGGAACAGGCACTGACAGAAATATGCACTTGGTTTTTGTTGTTACATTTGTAAGGCGTTCTCAATTTATTCACAATTTAGGCACATGGAAGTATTATTCACAGGAAAATGCTTAAAAAAAAAAAGCACAACATTTCAGTAAGCAGTTGAAAAAACACAGCATAGTTATGGAAGAGATGGGTAGAGGACTCCAAATTCTTGTATATGTATTTATCATCATCATCATCGTTTTTTTTTTTTTTTTGAGACGGAGTCTCGCTCTGTTGCCCAGGCTGGAGTGCAGTGGCGTGATCTCTGCTCACTGCAACCTTCGCCTCCTGGGTTCACGCCATTCTCCTGCCTCAGCCTCCCGAGTAGCTGGGACTACAGGCGCCCGCCACCACGCCCGGCTAATTTTTTGTATTTTTAGTAGAGACGGGGTTTCACCACGTTAGCCAGGATGGTCTCGATCTCCTGACCTCGTGATCCTCCCGCCTCGGCCTCCCAAAGTGCTGGGATTACAGGCGTGAGCCACTGCGCCCGGCCCTCATCATCATCATTTTTAAAAAGTAATATTTGAGTTAGCTGAAAAGTACCTAGGATTACCACTGTTGCTAAATGTTTTCAGAGTAAGGCCTGGGTTTTATGGGATCAGAGGAGAGGTGATGAGAAAAAGCCCCCTGCAGTGAACCTGAGTTTAAAAGGATGTAATACTTGCATGGTATTTTTCTCAGTACAACTGTAGTTTTAAAAATGAAGACAGCCCCCCAAAAATATTTCAATACCATGCATAATCCCATCCACAGGTAATGGTAAACAATCTTTGTTTATATCCTTCCTATTTTTCCAGAATATAAATATATTTAAAAGCATATAAAAATATAACCACTCTGTATTTTTTCTTTTGCGATCTGCTTGTCTCACTTAACAATATTTTGTGAATATCTTTATGCATCATCAAATAATCTTCTACCATATCAAATTTAAGGGCAGCATTATATGGAAAGAAAGAATGCTGAAATAACATTGCTGAGAGTAAGATATAAAGTTACATACAGATGCAACTATTGTTGTGTTCATTTTTATCTGGCAGAAATCATTTGCATTTCTACTGAAACAAATAAAAATTGCTCATAATCTTATCTGTCTTTTCTGCAAGTTAATATGCAAATATGTAGTTTTGCATAATCTAGGCCCTAATCAGCAGCCATTAGTAAGTTAAACAAAATTACAGTTCTCTGGAACTGTGCTTTACAATATGGTAGCCTCTAGCCACATGTGGCTACAGAGTACTTGAAAGACTAGCGCACCTGAGGAACTAAATTGTTCGTTTTATTTAATTTTACTTAAGTTTAATTTAGAAACAGTGGTGTCAAAATAAATTAAATTATTTAATTTATTCAACTTTATTGAATAAATTCAACTTTATTATTTAGGCAGGACAATATTTTACTTTAACCATGGCATCTTGGCCTATGTTAAGATATTGCTGCATTGGGCTGGGCGCAGTGGCTCACGCCTGTAATTCCAGCACTTTGGGAGGCCGAGGCAGGCGGATCACTTGAGGTCAGGAGTTTGAGACCAGCCTGGCCAACATGGCGAAACCCCATCTCTACTAAAAATACAAAAATTAGCTGGGCGTGGTGGTGGGCAATTGTAATCCCAGCTACTCGGGAGGCTGAGGCAGGAGGATTGCTTGAACCTGGGAGGCAGAGGTTCCAGTGAGCTGAGATCACACCACTGCACTCCAGCCTGGGCAACAGAGCAAGACTCTGTCTCAAAAAAAAAAAAAAGATATTGCTGCATTGTACTGTGTGTGTCCAGTGCATGAGTCATTTTCAGTATTACATGTAAACATATTATTACTCTAGTCAGTGTCTGATTGACATTGATTCAATTTAAATGATGTTTTTCTATGCACTGATGTAACACTGAAATGTGTTCATTTGAATATTTTATACAGGCAGCACTAATTACAATGATACTTATGTAAATCAAAATTGGTTAACTAAATTGAAGTATTTATGCCTTAAATTATGATATAATTAAACTGCTTTTTTTTTTAATTAAAAAAAGTGTGAACTGTTTTAAATGTAAAACGAAGGCAGAATTGGGTGGAGAGGTAGAGATTATTACTGCTGTGCCTGGAATAGAGAAACAGAAACAGGAAGAAGGTATGTTGCAAATTTGAGGCAATTTGCCAAGGCAAAGCAAAACAAAAAAAGCTGTTTGTTGTGTAAAAATTGTTCAAAGATAACAAAGCGGACAATATTAAGAGACATTTTCAGCAAATACAGAGAGAATTTGATAACAAAAGTGAAAAAAATCAATAAAAGTAGTTGTCGGAATTCAAAATTGAATGTCCAATAAAAATTGTTTAAAAAGTGATAACAGGCTCTGAGCTTGGAACTTTGGCTAGCTTTATACTGGCTTGGATTCTTGCACAAAAAAGGAAAACAGTTTTAGATGGCAATAGTAAAAGAAATTATTTCAGTTATGGAAATTTTGTTTAAAAGTTGTAACGAAAAGACTTTAAAATATATTTTACAAAAAATGAAAGCTCTTCAATTAAACCACAAAATAATTGCCTGTAGAATACAAGACCAGTATCCAAGATTAATTAATTTAAAATTCGAAAAATTGCAACGATTTTAGCTTTAGATGATTCATGTGATCTACGACACTGCCCAATTAATACTTTGGGTATGTTTTGACTCAAAGGACTCCCATATTTACAAAGAAATGCCAATTCATACCTTTAAAACCTTATAGCAAAAATTTTTTAAATCTTTTACATCTCTCAAGGAAGAACTTCAGTTAGATATGAAAAAAAATCACAATGAATACTGCTCAGCCATGTTAGGTCAAAATTCCAGATGTATTGGAATTTTAAAATAGGAGTCTGATGTTTTCCTGGTGACTTCATATCACTGTATGACACATACCGAAAATATTTGGGCTCCCTTCTCTGAAACAGACTCTGTGAAAGGAGTCATGAATGCTGTTGTTAACATTTTTCAGCATATACGTGCAAATGCTGTGTGTGACTCATCACCAGTTTCAAGAACTGTTGAAAGAAATTAAAGACAATGAATTTACTCTTGTGTTCATTGCCAGTGCTCATTGGTTAAGCCATAGAGTTTTACCAAGCTGTTAACTCCAATTCAAATTTTCTTGAAACAAAAGGAGTGCTTGCCAAATATACAGCAATCAAAGAAAAAAAATAGCAATGTGATTTATGTGTTTTCTCACGGATATCACACTGCATAGGAACAAGATAAATTTAAAACTCCAAGAAAAGGAAAAGCTTATTTGTGACTTAGCTAGACAGTTAAAGGATTAATGTTGAAATTGAACTTTTTTGTGATACAAGTCGATAATAATGATTTTATACCTTTTTCTAACATGAATCAAATATGCATAAGACTTTATTAATAGACAGTTATGTAAATTGGCTGCAAAAACTATAGAAAATTTTAAAGAATGCTTTGTTTATATTGATAAACTTAGAACTGCTTCTCAAATCATGCAATACCCCTTTGAATTCAATGTTAATAATATGGAGTTGACACAAATTAGTGAATTTACTTAACTTGGACAGACATGATTTTGAAACTGACATCCTTTCTCTTCAAAGTAAAATCACTTCTTCTAAAAAAATAAGCTAGTTTTGTCAATGAGGATGCAAATATTAAAGGAAAATAATTTTTGCTACTCAATTCAGTTACAGGAAAACTTTTAGGTATGTTAAAACACCTTGGATATGTGAATCCACCTTTCTTCCAAATGCAAATTTTATGAAACCTAAATACAGAAGAAGCACTTCCCGTGAAAATCTAGCATCTGAAGATGTGCTGTGAGTGTAAAATACTCATTGTATTTCAAAGGCTTAGGATGAAAAAGACAATCTAAAATATCTCATTAACAATGTTTTTACATATTGAAAGAATAATATTTTAAATACATTAGGTAAAATCTTATGCATTATTAACAGCAATCTATCTGGTTTCTTTTTTTCTTTTTCTTTTTCTTTTTTTTTTTTTTTTTGAGATGGAGTCTCACTCTGTCACCCAGGCTGGAGTGCAGTGGCACGATCTCAACTCACTGCAACCTCCACCTCCCGGGTTCAACCAATTCTCCTGCCTCAGCCTCTTGAGTAGCTGGGATTACAAGCGTGCACCATCGCACCCAGCTAATTTTTGTGTTTTTAGTAGAGACGGGGTTTCACCGTGTTGGCAGGGCTGGTCTCAAACTCCTGACCTCAAGTGATCCACCTGCCTCAGACTCTCAAAGTGCTGGGATTACAGGTGTGAACCACCGCGCCTGGCCTTATCTGGCTTCTTTCTACCTATTTTTTAATGTGGCTACTAGTAAACTTAAAATTGTATCTGTGGCTCAATTGGACAGCACTGCTCTGCATTAGGCAGCGTAGATTTACTTTTTAAATAATACTCCAGCGGGACACAGAAAGACCAGAGAGTAATCTTTTTATTACTTAATATGTAATCTTATTTCTGAATTTTGGGTAACTTTTCTTAACATTATTAGCTCATGAAAGACCATGCTGGCCGGGCACGGTGGCTCACGCCTGTAATCCCAGCACTTTGGGAGGCCGAGGCAGGCGGATCACGAGGTCAGGAGTTTGAGACCAGCCTGGCCAAAATGGTGAAACCCCATCTCTGCTAAAAATACAAAAAATTAGCCGGGCATGGTGGCAGGCACCTGTAATCCCAGCTACTCGGGAGGCTGAGGCAGGAGAATCGCTTGAACCCAGGAGGCGTAGGTTGCAGTGAGCCGAGACTGTGCCACTTGCACTCCAGCCTGGGCAACAGAGTGAGACTCCGTCTCAAAAAAAAGAGAAAGACCATGCTATGTCTAAGACTTACAGCAACTTAGCAAGTTTAGAGTCCTGTGTCTTTGGAGGAATAATAGGAGTTGAGTGACAAAAGGCAGGCTAAAGCTAGATCATGAGATGTCTTTAAGCCACATGTAGCATTTGATCTTTATTCTGTAGGCAACTGGCAGCCACTGAAGAGTTTTACCGAGGGAGTTGTTGCATTATTAGATTTGTATTCTGGAAAAGTAACAGTTGAAGAAAGCAAGGCATGAATTGCAAGGAGCCAATTATTATTGTACAGGATAGAAAGAATAAAGGCCCAAATTTAGATAATTAGAAAGAGGGCATGGGGGAAATGATGAGATGAATTTAAGGAAGATTTGGTGTGGGAAAGGAAGATTTGGTGATAGGGTGTGGGAAATGAAGGAAAGGAATCAAGAATGAGTCCAAAGTGTCTGATGTGGTCAGCTCCGTGGGCTGTGGTACAGAGTCTGTTCTTATTCGCTATTTATGAGCGTGTAAATGTCTCAAGTTTGAGATTGCGCAAGAAAGACCAAGCAGGGGAAGAAGGTAAAGAGTTCAATTTGGCCATTTGACTTTGAAATTGTAGAGGGTAAAGAGGAACAATAAATAGGTCCAAAGCTCAGGGGAAGGAGTAGGAGCCAGGGATGGAGATTTGGGAATCTGCATACAGGTGGCTAGAACTGTAGGCATAGATGAGATCACCTGGAGAAAGAGGTTTTCCACCTTGCCGACACCTTAGAATCACTTGGAGGCATTTAAAAATAACCCAATGCCTGGGACATACCACAGACAAATCAGGGATGAGACCCAAGCATGACAATCTTTTAAAGCTTTCCAGTTGATTCTAATATGCAGCCAGATTTGAGAACCATTGGTACAGGGAAAAGAGAGAAGACGTGCCAAGGATGGAAGCTGTGAGAAGCTCAACATTTACAGAAAAAACATGGAGACAGGAAGAAGTTGGTGAAGGCACCATCAAATTGAAGAAGCAGGGGGAACCAGAAGGTAGTGATGTCATGGAAGCCACAGGAAGAGGAGGTTTCAACAATCTATTATAAAAACAAAGATCAAGTAATGAAAGAACTGAGAAAAGGTCAACAGGGATTGCTGAACGGGATGAAAGCCCAATTGCATTGAAGAACACACACACACACACACACACACACACACACACACACACACACAGAGTATATATGAGTCAGCACCAGTGTGAGGTTTTCCATTATCCTGAACAACAATTGAGAAGGACAGGAGAAGGCAAAAGGCTGGATTGGTCCAGGGTTGGGAGTTTGCAGTGTCAAAGGATGAGGGATTGAAGAGTTGAAGTCACATCAGACATGATGTGACTGATGTGACCAACCATGGGGAGAGAACTAAAATGAGAAGGTGAGGGATCAAGTGAGGAGGAAATGAGGTGGTCAGGGGACTGAAGGTCCTGATGTGGTCACAGAACGGGTATAGCACACATATTGTGAGTGGCCTCATTCCCTTTACACCAGCTGCCTCCTCCTCCTAACTCCTCCACTTCCTCCCTCCCACCCTCGATCTCCTCACCCACAAGTGCATCCAGAATGATTGGTGCTGAGGAGGTCAAAGAATTGAAATAGGGCACTGGCTGCCTCATGCACAGAAAAGCCAAAACTCTACCCAGGATGAGGCAGGCATTGAGGTAACGGCTGCATCAAAGTCATCAATGAAGGTGGGAGGGTGACCTAGAGGCCTGCTAGAGTGGCTGAATGGGGCATGAATCTCCCAAGGGAGGAATGTGTTAGTTTTTTGTTGTTATTTTTTAAACTGAGTCTGTGAACAATGGGCTGAAAGTATAAAAAAGGCAACCTTCCTTTTTTCTCCTCAACCCTGCACTTTAAAATGTAGAATGTTTCTCTTAAGTCAAACTTGCCCATTAACAAAAGATTTAAACATGCCTTAGACTCTGCTGTGTCATGTACATTTCAGGAGCATTGCTTTTTTTTTCTTTTTCTTTTGTAATATTCTTTTATCTTCTATACATCTATTGTTTTTTGATAACCTTTAATTTTGATATAGTTTTAAAGGCGTGCACAAAATGTTGCAAAAAAAGTACAAAAAATTTTGTATATATACCTTTACCCAGCTTTGACAATTGTTGACATTTTGCTCCATTTGCATTATCAGTCTCTTTCTCTCTCTTTTTATTTGTACATGCATATTTTTCCCTCAAACCATGTGAAAGTAAATTGGAAACATATTGCCCCTTTATACAAAATGCTTCGGTGTGTAATTCCTAAGAACAGGGACATTCTCTTACATAACCACAGTACACTGATCAAAGTCAAGAAATTTAACATTGACACAATGCTCTTGTCTAATCCACAGTCCTTCCTCTGCTTTGGTCAACTGTCCCAATAATGGCTTTTATGGCTTTTATGGTTTTTTTTTTTTCTGGTCTAGGACATTGTGATTTAGTTGTCACATCTCTATAATCTCTTTTCATCTAGAACAGTTCCTTACCCTTTCTTTGTATTTTTTTACCTTGACATTTTGTGAAGAGCATAGACTATTAATTTTGTGGAAGTTCCCTTAGTTTGAATTTGTCTGATATTTTGCCATGATTAGATTCAGGTTATGCATTTTTGGCAAGAAGATTACAGAAAGGATGTTGAGTTCTCAGTGCATCACAGCAGAAGGCACATGGTGTCTGTTTGGCCCAACTGGTGATCATCACACCATTGCTTTGTCATAGCAAAGGAAAGTTCTTTTAGCTTTATTTTTTCAATTTGGAAGGCATCTTGCATTGCAGCAAAATTTTCTTTTTTACACAAGCATAACTAGAGGCTTTTAAATTATTTTTGATTAATTGCAAATAACCAAAGAGCAATAACCTAGGTTGCTTTTTTTTTTTTGAAGAAGAAGCAAGTTTAAAAAACTTGTGGAGTTTTACTGTCAACAAGTATACTTACACTGAAACAAAATCTATTACTTTCAGAGAAAAATGAGAAAACTATACATTTGTAAATAAGCTTGATAAAATGCAATTTAAGATTATTAAAGGACAAAGTTCCAGACACAATGTACATATATATGTGTGTGTGTGTGTATATATATATATATATATATATATATGTCTTGAAACAGGGTCTCACTCTGTCACTCAGGCTGGAGTGCAGTCACACAATCATGGCTCACTGGAGCCTCCTGGGCTCAAGCAGTCCTCCCACTTCAACCTCCCAAGTAGCTGGGACTACAGGCCCATGCCACCACGCCTGGCTACTTTTTGTATTTTTTGTAGATGCCCGGTTTTTCTATGTTACCCAGGCTGGTCTCAAACTCAAGGGCTCAAGCAGTCCGTCCACCTTAGCCTCCCAAAGTGCTGGGCGTGAGCCACCGTGCCTGGCCAAATGAACATATTTTTAAAATACTGATATGAATATATCCTTAAAGTACAAGGCCTTTATAACTAACATTGTAATATGCCAGGCAATACAATATAACCAGAAGAGACATATGGCTTAGTGGAGAGGAGTGAATCCTAGCAGTGATCGCTACGTAATGATTTTAGGCAGATACTCAAGAGTCTGACAGAGGGCAGTCATGGGACTGGTTGTGCCACGGGGAAGAAGTTGAAAATGGAGTTTCAAAAGATTTGAAAATCAGAGTTGGGTCAACACGCATAAATTTACTTGCTTTGAAGACGTTGAAATGGGATCCAGGAACAGGAAAAAAGAATATTTATTGTTTTGCCTTTGCATGCCAAAATGTAATCTCTCTTTTTCTTCTAGACTTTCCTTAAAATAACAGTTGTCTGCATGTAGAATGAGTGTGTTTTAAAAGAGCCATTCAGGGCTTTTTTCGATGCTCATTTCCTGTACTGAGTAGCAACATGATGACAGACTAGAAATTCTACTGACTGAGTCAGACTGACCCTGAAGCCAAGCCTCACTCTGCCACAGACTGGCATGAGGCCTTGAGCAAGTCACTTGACCTCGGTGTCTCAATACTGTATTTAAATGAGAGAATGAACCTTGCGGGGTTTGGAAGGTTAGAAATAACACATATAAATAACTCATAGTACTTTACAAATGCCGTGGTCTATCCTAGGTATTCAATAACGGAATTTAGACGTGAGGACAATTTCATGAAAAGTTTAGTTTAATGAAAAGAGCTCTGGTCTGGGAACCAGGACACCAGGGTTCTGGTCCCTTTCTAGTTTATTTAACTAGTAAGCTCCTAACCTTGGCCTCAAACGTTTTGGACTGTAGTCCCATTAAGCAAGGAGTGTTGGCGAGAGAGAAACAGGTCAAGTTCTTGGGGAGCTGGCAGGGAGCTAACATGGTACCATTAATACAAGTTGGGCTGTTTTTCACTGGCAGGCTGAACACTGTGCTGTGGAAACACGGAGGTGAGCGAATGAGTGCGCAGCTCTGCCTGGGCCAGGGGGCGCCACTTGAACTGGGCCTGCTTGAATGCTCCTGTATGGATTTTTCCACTGGAGAAAGGAGGGTGTTCCAGGTACCCAAGATTTAGCAGGTGAAGAGACAGGGTGCTGCCACCGTGCAGAATGGTGCTTCACATCAAATGCCACTGCAAGCAGCTTCTGAGACTGCCCCTGACTATTAAGTTGTATCAAATACATGTTAAGTAGGCCAGGTGCGGTGGCTCATGCCTGTAATCCCAAGCACTTTGGGAGGCTGAGGTGGGTGGATCACTTGAGGTCAGGAGTTCAAGACCAGCCTGGCCAACATGGTGAAAACCCATCTCTACCTAAAATACAAAAATTAGCCAGGCATGGTGGTGTGCATCTGTAATCCCAACTACTCTGGGGCTGAGGCCAGAGAATCGCTTGAACTCGGGAGGCGGAGGTTGCAGTGAGCCAAGATCATGCCACTGCACTCTAGCCTGGGTGACAGAGGAGACTCTGTCTCAAGAAACAAACAAACAAAAAATAGAAATAAAGATACGTAAAAAGTAAGGAGTCCTGAAGGAGTGTGACACCTGCATAACAAAATCTTCAATGGAGCTGCTATTTAATGAATACTAGTCATGTGTCAGACACTGCCCTCAGTGTTTGCCAGGTATCTATTCATTTAATTCTCACAATAACTTGATGAGGTGTTTATTACCTCGATGAGGTAATTATTAGCTCCATTTTAGAGAGAGGGAAGGAAGCACAGAGAGGCTGATGAACCTGTACACTGTCACACAGCTAGTAATAGGTAGGGGTAGGAATTTCACCCCAGAAGTTGTTTGGTGGAATTAGGGAATAGCTTCAGAGAGCAGGGAGAGAGGACACCCTCCTCCAATCGCACACACATTGATGGGGACGGGGGTGCCTACTGGTGGGAGGTAAGCAGACTCATACACCTGAGGTTCGTGGAGTCCTAAGAAAAGTGGAGACACTTTGGGACAACTAGGCAGGGCGATCAGAGTCAGCAAGGTGAGGGGGTAAACAGCCTGACTCCTGAGCCACCCGCTTGGGTTCAAGTCCTGGGTCTCCAACTTTCTAGCTACCTAACCTCTTTGTGCCTCAGTTGACCCATATGTTAAATGAGGATAATTTCACCTACCTCTTAGAACTATTGTAAGCATGAAATAATTTTGTTTTGGAAGCTGAAGAAGGTATCAAAGCAGGTAAGTGTTAGAGGAGCTGGCCTCACCTTCCTTGTGGCCCAAGAAAGATATTTACCCCAGGGCATTCTATAGGCTTCACTGGTGAGATGTCTTTCCTCTTAGGCCATCAAATATTTGGAATTTTTTTACTTGCCCAGTCATGATGGCTCACATCTGTAATCCCAGCATCGTTGGGAGGCCAAGGTGGGAAGATCTCAAGCCTAGGAGTTCCAGACCAGCCTGGGCAAGATAGTGAGACTTCGTCTCTACAGAAAATAAACAAAATTAGCCTGGCATGGTGGTGCGTGCTTGTAGTGCCAGCTACTTGGGAGGCTGAGGTGGGAGGATCAATTGAACTCAGGAGTTTGAGGCTGCAGTGAGCCAAGATCGCACCACTGCACTCCAGCCTGGGTGACAGAGCAAGATCCTGTCTCAAGAAAAAAAAAAAAAAAAAAAAAAAGAATTTTTTGACTTAAACTTTGTGGTGAAATGAGAGAAGACCTGAACTTAGGGGTAGTGGTGGTCTTGGGGCCAAGACAGAGAAAAACGTTTCTTTCAGTCTCCACAGGCACTTGTAACACTTGTAACACTTGTAAAGTGCTAGGCCTCTGGGTTATAGGATTATCCCCACCTGTCCACACATCTCTGGGAAAACCACAACCAGGTAGCTGGTTTCCCAGCAGCCTTCATTTTTGCTTTTTTTTTGGCCAACACCTCACTTCAATTCCCTCCCATTAGGCATTTACCTGAAATTTTTGGGTGATGAAGTCTGCTTATTAAAAATTACTATACAGCTTTACCTTTCAAAGTTGGTGTGACTATAAGCTGCTTCTTTTTTTTTTAATTGAATTAAAATGAAATAACATCGAATTAGCCACTTGAAAGTGAACAATTCAGCGGCATTTAGCACATTCACAACGTTGTGCAACCATCACATCTAGTTCCGAGACATTATCGTCACCCCAAAAGGAAACCCTTACCTATACAGCAGTCACTTCCCCTGTCCCCCCCGCTTCCTGTCTCTATGGATTTACCTATTCTGGACATTCATATAAATGGAATCATACAACATATGGTTTTTTGTGTCTGGCTTCTTTACCTTGGCATGATGTTTCTGAGGTTCATCCATGTTGTAGTATACATCAGGACTTCATTCTTTTCATGGCTAGATAATATTCCATTGTATGGCTCTACTACATTTTGTTTATCCATTCATCTATTGATGGACATTTGGATTGTTTCCACCTTTGAGTATTGTGAATGACGGAATAATGTTGCTATAAACATTCGTGTTTTTGTTTGAACACCTGTTTTCAATTCTTTTGTGTATATACCCAAGAGTGGAGTTGCTAGATCATACAGTTACTCTGTTTCACCTTTCAATAAACCGCCAAACTATTGTCCACAGCAGCTGCACCGTTTTACATTCCCGCCAGCAATGTACGAGGGATCCAATTTCTCCGCATCCTTACCAACACTTATTTTCTGGCTTTTAAAATGTGTTTCTTTATTTACTCACATATAGCCATCCTTGTGGACGTGGAGTGAGATCTATTGTGATACAAACCGCTTTTTGATTTGACAGTGGTTCTCTTGGCTTTACACTGGAATCTCCTGGGTATTTATTTATTTATTTATTTATTTATTTATTTACAATCCCAATGCCCAGGCTGTACCTGGGGCCAATTTCATTAGACACTAGGGCTAGCCCCAGGCAGTGGCAGTATGTTTAAAGCTCCCAAGGTGATTCCAGTGTGCAGCTGAAATTGAGAATCGCTGTAAAGATCCTAGCCCCCTATTGCTTACATACTTTTTTTCTTTTTTTTTTTTTTTTGAGATGGAGTCTCACTCTGTCACCCAGGCTGGGGTGCAGTGGCCCGATCTTGGCTCACTGCAACCTGTGTCTCCCGGTTCAAGCGATCCTCCCATTTCAGCGTCCTGAGTAGCTGGGATTACTGGTGCCTGCCACCACGCCTGGCTAATTTTTGTGTTTTTAGTAGAGATGGGATTTCACCATGTTGGTCAGGCTGGTCTTGAACTCCTGACCTCAGATGATCTGCCCGCCTTGGCCTCCCAAAATGCTGGGATTACAGGCGTGAGCCACCACGCCTGGCCTTACATACTCTTTTTAATCAAAATCTTAAATAGTGTTAAAATAGCTGGGTGAGTCCCACATTCATCTGAAAAAATGGCGGGGAGTGATCCAGATCTTTGTCAGCCACTCTAACCCTAATAGCTAATGCCAAGTTTTTAAGAGGGGAAGTGATTTCACCACAGCGGCACACAGGGGCCAGGGAGGCAGAATGTCTCCAAGGGTCCCAAATGAACTGGTGAAAAAAAAATTATGTTAAAAAAAAAAAAGAAACAAAAGGCTTGATGACCAGGGCAGCTATTAAGGACTGCCAACCCCCATCAGCTCCCTCACCTGCCCTGCAATGAAAGTTTGGGACAGCAGCATGATGGGTGGCCTTACAGTGCAGGCCAATAGCCTATGGATATTTCCAATTAGCACCTCAGCTACCCAGCCACTGCCACCACCACCACCACCACCACCTCCTCCTTTTTAACAGAGGGCTCTTTTCTGCTTTTGACTTCCTTCTTCCCAGTACACACTTGCTCACTGTGTAGGACAATGTGGCTCTTTCTCTGAATTTTTAGAAACTCTGTTGCTGATGTCCAGCTTGGCCTGTCTGCTCAGAAGCAAGTGGGCCCATTTGAAAGGGAGGTAGGGATAGGACTAATACTTAGTACCAGCATTTTGCTAAGTGGGTCACCAAAGCTCTCACCCTAAGCCTGGACTTCATCTTGTTGTCTATATTGTCACTGCACTGTAGTCACACACTCCCAGGAACACACCTAGAGTTGAACAAGCAGTTTTCTTCTCCTTGCAGGCGGGGAAAACACATACCATGGGAATAGGGGCAGTGATGGGGCAGGGGCTCTCAATAAGAGGGTGCGAGAAAGGATGACTTAGAGGATTTGCACCTGGGTATGTTAGAGGCACCTGACAGCAATAACCTGTCAGGTGAGAATGACCCTGTATGTCAAGTGCACCTGAATGTGTGTTTGGAGTTCCCAGCATGGCCAACCAGAGAGTCATTCCTTATCTATGGGGAACATCTGAACCTCTGGCCTGGCCAAAGCAGTGTGGGTCCTGAAGCGGATTGAGGCCCTTAGTTTAGGGTAAATGAAGGTTGCCAGGTTGTTAGGGGGAGGGTGTTCTCCTGTTGAGCCCACTGCCACTGGATCGTCCCCGTATGTAAGTTACCAATAAACTCTATGTCTTTGAGTCTCTTCTTTGGCCGCTTGAACCTGGTGCCTTCCCTACTGAAGTTAATAGGCATCTGGCATGACACTGTGTCAGGTGGTTTTGGGGAGCGTTTAGGGAAGCCAGGTGTTGCTCTGGATTGGGAGCTGGTGCAGGGGGCTGGGGTGGGGGGAATTCTGTGATTGGATGGTTTAATAAATGTCCTCTAGAAGCAGAGAAAATTAGAGCCAGGCTACAGCTGTGGTTGGTAAAGAAGTAGCAGTCACCCATATTAGCCAGGACTGGGGGGAGAGGTGGTGTTTGGTCATATTTGTGGTTTGGACAAGGCTTATGTTTTCTCTATATTCAGACATGATTACAGAGTGGTCTTGTTTGTGTTTTGTCCCACCCTGGTCATAGAGTGGCCTTGCCTGATGTTGGTGTTTTCGGGAGTTGTTTCTGTTCAACAGGACATCCAGGCACAGCTGTGAGTGCCTGGCCAGCTCCGTGAAGGCAGGACTGCTTTACTCTTTCTCAGTCTTCCTTTTCGGGCAAGAGTAGTCCAGCGGCAGGCTGCAGGACATGAATCCACGATATCCACATTTTCACCATTGGCAAGACTGTTTCAAGAATGCAGTCTCTAGTCGGACTAGGGTAAATCTAGTCTCTGCTGAGTCTTTTGTTGCAGGACGAGTTGCTGAAGTGTCTGATAACAGCTGTGCAGTATTTAAGACTCTGCACAGGATCCACTGGTCGACTATAACACAATTACCACAAACAAAATGATTATTAGTCCTGAAACAGGCCTGGAAGCCAAGGGCCTAGATTATAAAACTCAGGTAATGAGAACATGTTCCTGAATCCAAATAGGTACTCACGGCCCAATTGGAGGTGTTTAAAAGAGGCCTCGAGCAGGATTATGTTACTGGTAAGTAGGACGTGCATTGGGAACATCCTTGCAATAACTCCTAATGTTATCCCAACAATGTAGGTTCCATATTGAGGCCAATTTAACTCTGATGCTGTGCTAACATCATGAAGCATTTGTTGTGGTTTTTTATTTTTCGTTTTTTGAGACTGTCTCGCTCTGTTGCCCAGTCTGGAGTGCAGTGGCATGATCGCGGCTCACTGCAACCTCCACTTCCTAGGTTCAAGTGATTCTCATAGCTCAGCCTCCCGAGTAGTTGGGATTACAGGTGTGCACCACCAAGCCCAGCTAATTTTTGTATTTTAGGTAGAGACGGGATTTTGCCATGTTGACCAGGCTGGTCTCCAACTCCTGGCCTCAAGCAATCCGCCTACCTCGGCCTCCCGAAGTGTTGGGATTACAGGCATGAGCTGCCATGCCCAGCCAATGAAACATTTGTTAAACTCCACTTTTGCTATGGCTGTCTGATAAGTTAAGCAAAAGCATCTCAGGTTTTTCATCTCTGCTTTGTACCTTGCAGGAAACAAGGCGAGGCACAAGTGCTGGGGATGAGATTTCAAGCCCGAGCCCGAGGGCCACCTGTGCTGCCAGACACAAGCTGCAGAGCATAACCAGCTACGCAGTTTGCAGGCCAAGGGCAAAATAAAAACACGGGGCCCCTTGTTCGAGAGTTAAGAATTTCAAGATGGCAACAGCAGAGAATTAAACCAAGTGCAGGGCCCTTTTGATGTGAGGCCCACACTGGTGCTGAGTGGGGAAAGGCACACCTGAGGCCCATGGAGCCCTACTGCTCCTGCAACATGCAGGACAAAGACAACTCTATTGTCAGTGACCTGACTCCAGGGGAATGGCAAGAAGTGAAGAACATCCCAGGAAGAAAGAGGAGCTGCAGACTGACATAGCTAACTGAAGGATGAGAATTGCAATAGCTAACAAAATTGAGAATCTAGGACACAGAGAAGAATGGTAAGACATGCAGAATAACAAACAGGTGGCCATGGGTAGACAAAAATTAATGCAGGTACTAGAAAAAGATTCAGTTCTTAACAGAGAAAGGTCTGTTCAACAGACCCTTGTTGAACACTTGTGAAGACACTGCCCAGTTTTTGTAGAAAGGTGAAGAACTCAGCAAAACAGCCGTTGCCTGGGGGAAGAGGTGAGTTTAATATCCAGGTTCTTCGTTGCTTTTGTGGAGGTACATGAGTTCATGGATTTAAATTTTGTCTAACCATTACAGCAATTCCTGTGGCCGTGAGAGGCACAAAAGCCTGACACGATGATGGAGGCATTTGCCCAGGGATATTGTCAGTGCAGTAAAGAATAATTTTAGTTCAGACGCTCATGCTGTCTCCCCTTTGCCATCATTTTGTTGAACAGCAGCCATAACCCCAGTGTCAAAAATAAGCCCCCCGCAAAGGCTATTGCCATTAATAGAGGCGCCAGTGATGGAGGAGTCCTGCTAGACAAGCAACTCCGGAGTCTGCAGTTTCCTAATTCAATATTAACAACAATGCTGTCCTCTTACTGGCTTCTCCCTCATTTTATTTTGCGTGAAACTGTGGATAACGTAAATGCCCAAGCGCTTTCTATTCAGTCCTCAAATGCAAAGCAGACCCTTGCTAATAATGGTAATAATCCGAATGGGTTTAACTGCAGCATTGTAAGAAAAGGCAGGCAGTACTCTTAGACTACAGGGGTGGATCTCATCATTTGATTTTCCCGACTCCGCCAGGAAATAAGAGGGGCCTTGGCTTGGGGAGAGGTGTGTGGGGAGGCGTAAGGGGTGGGCCCCCCGGAAATCCTGCTGCGCTGTTTAAACCTAAGGTGACCTAACGGATGGCGGGAGCGGCCGCGCGAGCCTTGGAGCAGGGCGCGGCCATTGGTGACGCACGCCGGGGAGCACGGCGCCCACGTTTCCACCATTAGCGAGGCCTCACACCCGGCGCTCCAAGTTCGGGGCTGGAGGCGTCCCGGCTTCCTCCCTCCCGGAGCGGGACCGGCCCCGCCCCCGCGCCCCGGGTCGCTCCCGGCGGCCCCTCCCACCTCCTAGTCCTGGCCTCCCCGGGCGCAGCACACTCCCAGCCGGCCGCAGCCTGACACGCCGCGCGGCCCCCCAGTCTCCCGCGGCTGCTCCCCCAGGCATGGCACAGGGCCTCGCCTCACTATGGCAGCAGCACGGCACAGCACGCTCGACTTCATGCTCGGCGCCAAAGGTGAGGGCGCCCGCCGCCACCTGCGTGGCCATCCCCGCCGCTCCCGCCGCCTGGCGGGCTGGGGCGGGGGTCGGGCGTGGCGTGCGCCGCGGGCCGAACAATGCGGGCGGCCCGCGCGGCGCCGCACTCTCCCGGACTGCCACGCACAGCGCGCTGCGGGGCCGCGTGCACCGGCGGTCGGGCGGAGGCCGCGCTCCTGCTGGCTCCGCGCTCCGTCCCGGCCGCAGCTCGGGGCCTGCAGGGGCAGTCCCGGGTGCCCGCCGGCCGCGCCGCCCTTCCGGGCCCTGGCCGTCCACCCGCGCTCCCACGCGGGCTCGCCGCCTTCGCGCTCCCGCTCGGGGAGTCCCCGGGCTGCCGGGCGCGGGCGGACCCCCCATGGGACGAGGGTTGCAGGGACTGCGGCGGAGCGAGGCGTGACCCGCGCGGCGAGCCCGGGCTGGGGGCGTGCGCCGAGCGGGGCTGCCCGCGCGACCTTTTCCTGTTCTTGCAGGCGGGTAAATTTCCCTCTTGGGGGCGGGGGTTTCCCCTCGTAGGGAGCTGGGGCTGGGGAAAGGTCTGCGGACGCGCAGCGCTTGCAGAATTCTCAGCCGACTGCGTAGGAGACGGATCCCCCGGAAAGGAACTGGGGGACGGGAAAAGGAAACGATTATTATTATTGGGGGTGGGGAGGCATGAGGTCTGGGCGCGGGAATCGTTTACACCCCGAATCGGGGAGCTATCAAAAGACAGCCGGCCGGGCGCGGTGGCTCACGCCTGTAATCCTAGCACTTTGGGAGGCCGAGGCGGGCGGATCACGAGGTCAGGAGTTCGAGACCAGCCTAGCCAACATGGTGAAACCCCGTCTCTTCTAAAAATACAAAAATTAGCCGGGCGTGGTGGCACGCGCCTGTAATCCCAGCTACTCGGGAGGCTGAGGCAGGACAATCGCTTGAACCTGGGAGGCGGAGGTTGCAGTGAGCCAAGATCGCGCCATTGCACTCCAGCCTGGGCGACAGAGCAAGACCCTGTCTCAAAAAAAAAAAAAAAAAAAAAAAAAAAAAAAAAAAAAAACCCGACCAGAAGAGAGAGGCCTGCTAAAGTCGGAACTGTGTGCAGGAAATTTGAAGGGGAAGGATAATTTGCAGGCTTCTTTTCTCGGGGTGCCTCTGTCGTGGGGGGTGGGAGTCGCGGGAAGGATAGAACTGCCCTTTCTTTTTCTGGTGGCTTTTAAACCTGTGACTGCCGCAGACTTGAATCTGCACTTCCCATAGGTTCCACTTGGAGTGTCTCGCTCATACCTTGCTTTTCCCACTGTTTTCCTCGAATTGGATAGAGCAGGCTTTTCTCTTACCATTTTTAACACTGTTCCTTTCTTTCTGAATTTCTGAGTACTCACTTTGCATTTTCTCCCGCAAATTTAAAGGATCTCCGAAGGCACAAGATCTAGTGAAGACTGAGGATTTGGAGCAACACCTGGGTTTGAGTCTGGCTTCTTCCTGATGGGCTCTGCGTGTGGCCTTGGGTTTATGTTAACCTTTCTGAGCCTTCCCTGTCCATTAAAAAGAAAAAAAAAAGTGTACACCTCTTCGGGCTTTTACTCTTAAGGGGGTAGCTGTGGAGCACACTGTAGGGTTTTTAAGCAATGTCAGTGTATTTAGGTGGTCTGAAGTGACTTAGAGAAAACAAAGCATGTTAATTTTAGTTCCCACATTTCTTAGGTGAGGATGGTAGGGCATGGAGACTGCTAGAGATGAAATGGTGCTTGAGTGGTGGAGCTGAAGAGCCAAGGTTTCATTAATAACCCTGCCAGCCTTAGGGCTGAATGGTTAATGAAAGCTCTAGCATACTGAATTTAGCGGTGAGGAGAAATAGTGTATTAGGGTCACCCAGCTAGTAAGGGGTGAGTCTGGGAAGTGTCCCTGTTGTGAGCACCTTGTGAACACTCACCTGTATTTATCGTCCATGGATTTTCTTAACTTTTTTTTTTTTTTTTTTTTTTAATTCTGAGATGGAGTCTCACTCTGTCGCCCAGGTTGGAGTGCAGTGGTGCGATCTCGGCTCACTGCAACTTCCATCTCCTGGGTTCAAACAATTCTTGTGTCTCAGCCTACCAAGTAGCCGGGATTACAGACTCGAGCCACCACGCCCAGCTAATTTTTTTTGTTGTTGTTTAAAGTAGAGACAGGGTTTCACCACGTTGGCCAGGCTGGTCTCAAACTCCTGGCCTCAAGCGATCCGCCTGCCTCAGCCTCCCAAAGGGCTGGGATTACAGGCATGAGCCACCGTGCCGGTGTGTCCATGGGTTTTCTTTTATGCTTTAAGGAGGGTGATCTCAGCATGGAGCCCAAAGACTCTGGCACTTCCCTTTGTCCTTAAACCTCCTTGGCCAAATTTAGATTTAGTCTCTTGAAGTGCTGGTTCACAATAGGATGTTTTTGTTGTTTTGTTAAAGTGGGAAAAGAGCGAATGAAGAAAAAGTGAGAGAATTTTAACACTTGGGGCTGACACTGTCCAGGAGAACCATGGATGTATCGTGTGGGAGGGAGGAGGAGAAACTGACGTTTTTGAAGTTGGAAAGGTGTGGAAGTGGCATCTTAATTTAGTTGTGCAAAGAGGAAGTAAAAAGATTGACGATAAAGACGTGTATAGATCAGAATAGAACGTTCTTAAGAGGGAAAGATGAAACATAAGCTGTTAATATTTTAATTCCCAGTCTGTTCTTAAAGATGAGAAAGCTTTGATGGCAAGGCGAACATTCTAGAAAGAACTATTACGTGTGTGTGGGGGGGTGGGGAATGTGTGTATGTATGCATCTGTCAGACCTTGAGTCATTACAAGTGTTCTGGGCGTAAGAACTCCGATTCATATTGCATTCTCTTCCATCACTTTATTTGGGGTGAAGCACATCGTCCTGTCAGTATCCACATTTGAAAAATAAAGAGATCCTGGCTAGATTGGGATCTAAGTTCACTTAGTTTTTAGTAAGGGGAACTTGGTGAAAAATCGACTTGTGAGGTCTCCAGAAACACTTAATTGATAATGAGTCAAAAGGCATTACTCTTGGCATGTGAATATTGGATGTGACTCAAGGGTGAGTCAAATGCCTGTGGAGCCTGGATTCATGTTCTTTTCCCCGTTTGTCAGTAATCCTTTCTAATGTTCCAGTTCCATGATGTGATTTTAGTGGAATTAAACTTGAACCACTTAGTTATGATGTTGTTACTGTGTTGGGAACGCAGCAGCCACCAGACCACCAAGAGCAACTGTAGGTTGGGCTTGGTGGTGCTGGTTTAGTGTTGTGGCTGATGAGGTGTAACCCAGGAAATTTTTATTTTTGCTTTTAAAAAAACAACTCATCTGTGGTCATCTTGTAAGTGAAGTATTGGACTATAAGGACTCTTGAGCCCGAAAAACATTTTGTGACTTAGCCTGAGGCTAACAGGAATAAACTTGTCCCATGTTCAGATAGTTTAGGCATATCTGAGTTGGTGGAGGAAATGTGATCTGTTCCTAGCCCTATGTGCTAGGCAGGATGCCTGGGTATCCAGAGAGTGAGTGAGAGGCCCGGCGCGATGCCGCATGCCTGTAATTCCAGCACTCTGGGAGGCGAAGCGCTTGAGCCCAAGAGTTCAAGACCAGCCTGGGCAACATGGGAAAAACCTGTCTCTACAAAAAAAAAAAAAAAAAAAAAAAGAAAAAAAATTAGCCAGGTGTGGTGAGTTTTCTGCACCTGTAGTCCCAGCTAGTTGGGAGGCTGAGGCGGGAGGATCCCCTGAGCCCAGGAAGTGGAGACTGCACTCCAGCCTGGACAGTGGCGTGAAACTCTCTCAAAAACAAAACAAGGGCCAGGCGTAGTGGCTCATGCCTGTAATCCCAGCACTTTGGGAGGCTGAGGTGGGCAGATCACCTGAGGACGGGAGTTTGAGATCAGCCTGGCCAACATGATGAAACCCTATCTCTACTAAAAATACAAAAATCAGCCGGGTGTTGGTGGCCTGTGTCTGTAGTCCCAGCTACTCTGGAGGCTGAGGCAAGAGAATGGCTTGAACGAGGGAGGTGGAGGTTACGCTGAGCCCAGATTGTGCCACTGCACTCCAGCCTGGGCGACAGAGAGACTGTGTGTCAAAAAAGCAAAACCCGCACACAAAAACAGTGGTGAGTGAGCTGCTGTAACCTCTTCTTGCCATGTTGGAGTGGAAGGTCTCTAACAGGCCAGCCAGCTCTGAAAAGGTCTAGCAATCCTATGTCCATTTTTTTCCCCTGGGCTGGGCGTATCTTTTGAAGGCAGACCTCCACCAGGGTCTGTATCCTGGAGACAGCTCTGGTACATGGTAGATATTTGGTACACGCTGATTAAATAGACCAAGTTTATGTTATGGTAAAGGTGGAATGCTGGTTCATGTCCATTAGGGGAAAGTGAGATGCTCATTTACCTTGTAGAATTATGAGGATGGTCCAGAATTCAGAAACGTGGCAGATACTGTTAGGTCTGTCATTTGGACCATTGCTATATGATTTGTGCAGGGACACAAGGAGATTTGTGTCGCTCAAATTCACAAATTCTATAACCTTGTTTAATAATTTAAGAACAGAAGGCTACTTGGGAATTACGGGCTTAGCGGAGAAGGTTTGGGGCAGGGGGTTCTTTTGTACCCTTGACCCTCATCAGGGAAGCCTGTGCACCTCTTCTCAGAGTAAGAATTTTAGATGCGTGAAATAACCCAATCTTCAAAATACAAAACCCCCACCGTGTGGTATGGTAACATGTGCTTTGCTTCCCGTCCCCCCCCCCACCCCCTACAGTCTCGCTCTGTCGCCCAGAGCTGGAGTGCAATGGCACGATCTCAGTGTAACCTCTGCCTCCCAGGTTCAAGCTATTCTCCTGTCTCAGCCTCCAGAGTAGCTGGGATTACAGGCACGCGGCACCACACCCGGCTAATTTTTGTATTTTTGGTAGAGATGGGGTTTCGCCATGTTGGCCAGGCTGGTCTCGAACTCCTGACCTCATGATCCACCCGCATTGGCCTCTCAAAGTGCTGGGATTACAGGTGTGAGCCACCGCGCCCAGCTCATGTGCTTCTTTATTAACACATCAAATAACAAGATGTGGCAGCAAGGCTAGTAAGTTTCATAAGTAGAGCTGAGCAAAATTGATATTTAACAAATTGTTAGGCAAGGAGAAAAACCTGATTTTTTGTGACAATGACCAGGTGTAGTTGACAGTGTGTGATTTTTTGGCCTCCAAGCATAACTGAAGAAAGTGCTAAATTTCTATTAGTGAAAATAAGTCTGTGTGTTTTTTTCCATTCAAGTTCACAGGCCCCCTGAATTGTATCCATTGGCCCCTTGGGCATCCATGGACCCCAGGTTGAGACCCCCAGGCTGGGGAGGGGGAGGACTGAGACAGCCCGTTCCTTTTAGGGGGTGTAGGTTTCCACCCAAGGCCAATGCTGGAGGCACATGTCCCTAGTTATTCTTCAAAAACAAAAGCGGCTCTTTGAACTATTTGAAAACATAAAAGTTGTACTTAGTAATTGCCACAGGGGCTAAGTGCCCTGAGTGCTTTGTGCATTAATTTTAGGTAAATCCTCAAAATAACCCTAGGTAGGTCTTGTTATCCCCATTTTAAAGACAAATAAATAGGCCTAATCTTGAGGTTTTTTACTTTTTGAGTGGCAGAGCTGGAATTCAAAGCCATGTTTGTTTGATTGGAAGGCTGGTTCTGCTTCCACGATTCTGAAGCCTCTTAGTTTAAGGCGGTGATTCTCAATGTGGGTGCTTCCCTCCGTGGGTGACATCTGGCAATTTCTGGAGACAGTTTTGGTTGTCACAACTGGGGAGATGCTACTAGCATCTAGTACGTCCTGCAGCGCACAGGACAACTCCCCTGCGGCATTGACAGCCCAAAATGTCCATAGTGCCCAGGCAGAGAAACCCTGGTTTAAATTCATACTAGACCATTTCAGTAATTTGGATGACAGATCATCAGCAAAATTTCCCTGGTCCTTCTTGGAAGTGTCAGTTATGCCCACAAATTGTTAGGCAGGGAAGGAGGATGGGCCCTGTCTTTCTCTAAGGTTGGCACTGGGCTCTGTTAGGAGCTTGGTCATTGCTTCCTACTGAACTGAGCCTGTGGTTTGAGGTGACCTTCCCTCCCTGATTTCCTGAACCATCGCTCTTTTTAACCAGCTCCCACGCTCCCCTGTATTTGAGCTGCCTTCTGGTGGAAGCATGTCTTCTTTGTGTGTTTTAAATAGCTATAACTGTCTAAATAATAAAACCTAAACAATGTAGTTCAGATTGCATCTAGCTTTCTCAAGAGTAGAGAAAGCTTCCTTCCTCCCGCTCCTTCAGCATTATTATCCTGTCCCACTACACTTTAATCCCCCATTGTGATAACACCGCAGGCACAGACGCTGTTGCTTTAACAATGCAGCCTTTCGGGGCTGATGACTGGGAGTGGGGAATGCATGCTTGGGCCCTACTCTACACGGACTGAATCACAGTTGGTGGAGGGGGGTGAGTTCCTGGATTTTGCATTTTTAATCATCTGCCTCACAGTAATTCTGTTGCTGATTAAAGTATGAGAACTCCTCTAGTAGGTTCCTTATTTAAAACAACAACAACAAAAACTTGTCTGAAACCTTTGGCACACCTACCTCACTCAGCCCAACCAGTCAGCCTAGTCAGTCTCATTAAGTCCTGTGGCTTCTGCCTGCCAATGTTCTCAAATTTGTTGCTCATCACCTGTTCCTTACTTTAGTTTCCTGGCTACAGTCTCCCCATTTGTCTCCGTTTGGGGATGGGCCCGATCATTAGGAACTCAACAGGATCCCTGTCCCTTTTCCCATTTAAAAACTCTTCCGTGGGTCCCTATTACCCCATGGATGAAGTCTAAACTCTGTATCAACACATACAAGGTCAATTTCTACCCGGTTTTTCCTCTTCCCCCAGTATATTCCTTGTGCTTCCCGGTAGCCAGGAAGCACCTGGACTCAGGATTTGACAGCTTTGGAGAAGACTTTTTTGTGTGCTTTACATAGGAATTCTCATGCGTTAATTGTGTTTGAAAATATTTTATGGGCTGCTTCCGGGAGATCCCTTGTTGGCATTGCCTTCCTTTGGCATGCGCTTTTGCTTTGTGATTTTTTTTTTAAATGCTCTTTTCCCAACTCTGCAAAAGATTCTTAATTGCACAGGTTATGCTCTATATGACTCCAGGCTGAATAACCTCATGTTGCCGGGAATTAGTTTTGTGGGCTTGCCATTAAAAAATTGAGTAAACCACAATGATTCTTTTTAGATTGTAGTTTCCAAGTTATACCGATTTCCTTAAACCTATGGAGGTAGCATATGGTAAGATTTTAGTTTCTACTTCATATCTGTAATCCTCATCTAGTTCTCATTGGGTAGTTCAGTATTTAAAATGCTTTGGAAGGGATGACAGCTGTTTAAGAAATTGACTCCATAATCAAGGCGCTAGGAGTGACCCCCATCCTGGCTAACAAGAGAGGGGTACTTTTTCAAGTAATCTGAAGCCCCGCATGAGACATTCTAATTTAATAACCAGTAGTCAGTCAATGTGTCTTTTTTTTTTTTTTTTTAAGAAAGTCACTTTTGCATTTGCAGTGGAGGAGTTACCAATTGGGAATCTTCTCATCCCCTTAGTATGTAATTTACTCCGTTTTGTTTGAATTGGTAGTTTCAGGCCTTAGCTACCTTCTCAGGAGATAAAGATTAAAATGCTGTGTTCTCTAATAGCTTTAAAAAGTTAGAGCTTTTGATTTTGGATTTCATACCCAGAAGATTGGAGATTATGGGCTTTATAATTGCGATCACCATGGTTATGCTAACCTTTCACAGATAAGGATTAGTTATAAAGTTACTAGCATCTGTTTAAAAACGTCAATAAAGTTCTTAGTTTAGTTTTTGGAGTCTGCATATTCCAGGTGTTTTAATTCACTATTTCACTGCAGTTGTAACCTAAGCCTGCTGGTGTGCACTGTGGCTCCGACCACCATTTCATGGTATAGACTCAGTTCTTTTGAAAAGTCAGAAAACCTCCTCAATTGAATCTGCGAACCACGTATGTAAACCATGCACAAATGCTCTTTAAAACCCTTACAGCTAGGCACTTTTCCAGACCCCAGGAAAAACAACCCTGCGGCCCTGAGGTGTGGTGGGCCTGGGTTTCATTAAATTGACACTGTCATCTGTGTTCCGGAAGGAGCCACCGAGCTAGCTAGTGGTGATACTGGTGATAAATGTGTTTACGTGCTAAGCCACAGATTCAAAAGGAGCTGGTAAGAGCCAGTAGCATGTTCTAGATTCCTGAACTGACTTGACTCTGGGTAGTTTTACACACACCTTAATTTTTCCCTCTCCATGAAGGTGCTAATGATACTAAAATCCCACACACTGTGTCGTTGGGTGGAATGTCCAATAAAATGTTTGGAAGAGTATCAAATGATACATAAAATACCTAACACTAATTGCAATACTTAGGGCAGAGTACTTTGAAATTGTGCCAGTGGATAAAGATGCTCAGTTATAAAGAGGTGTGAATTTAACTTACTTGAAGGGTAACGAAAGCTCTGCTGGCAAGAGAAGAGGCAGAAAATAATGGGTTGCCCTGTGTTTTGAAGGTTGGTCTACTTTATTTAAAGGGCTTCCTCCCTAAGTGATTAAAGCAGAATTTTAAAAGGACACTTTGATTTAAGATATCAATTACTTGTGTTGCATGACTCCATTTTTTTTCATAAATGAAAATTTCTCCAGTGAGAATCCTGAGCAATTCCTAGAACACTGCTGTATTTAATTCTGAATTCTCCCTTCTAGAAGGACTGTAGATCACAGTGTTCAAACAAGACTTATGTGCCTGTGGGCATTCCAAATTCCTTTGCTGGCCTTACAGTGCAGAGGTGAATATAGAACTGTTCCTCAATCCTTTTTCTTAGAGTACAGGTTGAGCATCCCTAATCCGAAATGCTCCAAAATCTGAAACTTTGAGCACCGACATAACACAAAAAAATGCTGATTCGGGATTTCCAGATTAGGGACTTTGAGTCAGTGAGTGTGATGCAGATATTCCAAAGTGGAAAAAAAAAAAAATCCAAAACACTTTCGGTCCCAAGCATTTTGGATAAAGGATATTCAACGTGTATTTTCAGGGCCAGTGCCTTGGATCATGCTTTGGAAAACAGTAGTGGCATAGTTTTTTGTTTTTGTTTTTCAAAGATGGGGTCTTGCTGTGTTGCTCAGACTGATTTCGAGCTCCTGGACTCAAGGGATCCTCCAGCCTGAGACTCCTGAGTCACTAATGTTACTGGTGCACACTGCAGTACCTGGCTGAAGTTTTATAAATGGCTTAACACTGAATCTTTTAACTGTATAAGGCAGTAGCTAAGTGGCCCAGTTGCATGTGGAATTTTGAGGAAGATGGTCATGGGTTTCTCAGTCCAAGTGTTTGTTCCTACGTGGGGGTTTGTCTAATTTGGAGCTGGAGGCTTGATGTTGAGAAGAGAGAGGAAAGAGCTTACTATTAACTCCCTTTGGTATGAGATGCAAGAATATGACAGGACTTTTTTTTTTTTTTTTTTTTTAATTTGAGTTCTGGGATGCAGTACAGAACGTGCAGGTTTGTTACATAGGTATACATGTGCCATCGTGGTCTGCTATACCTATCAACCTGTCATCTAGGTTTTAGACCCTGCATGCATTTGTCCTAATGCTCTCCCTCCCCTTGCCCCCCACCCCCTGACAGGCCCAGGTGTATGATGTTCCCTTCCCTGTGTTCATGTGTTCTCATTGTTGGGCTCCCACTTATGAGTGAGAACATGTGGTGTTTGGTTTTCTGTTCCTGTGTTAGTTTGCCTAGAATGATGGCTTCCAGCATCATCCATGTCCCTGCAAAGGACAGGAACTCATTCTTTTTTATGGTTGCATAGTATTCCATGGTGTATATGTGCCACATTTTCTTTATCCAGTCTATCATAGATGGGCATTTGGGTTGGTTCCAAGTCTTTGTTATTGTAAATAGTGCTTAGTAAACATACGTATGCATGTGTCTTTATAGTAGAATGATTTATAATCTTTTGGGTATATACCCAGTAATGGGATTGCTGGGTCAGATGGTTTTTCCGGTTCTAGATCCTTGAGGAATCACCACACTGTCTTCCACAATAGTTGAACTAATTTACATTCCCACCAACAGTGTAAAAGCATTCCTATTTCTCCACACCTCTCCAGCATTTGTTGTTTCCTGACTTTTTAATAAGGACCATTCTAACTGGCATGACATGGTATCTCATTGTGGTTTTGATTTACATTTCTCTAATGACCAGTGATGATGAGCTTTTTTCCCATATGTTTGTTGGCTGCATAAATGTCTTCTTTTCAGAAGTGTCTGTTCATATCCTTCACCCACTTTTTGATGAGGTTATGTTTTTCTTATAAATTTAGTTCTTTGTGGATTCTGGATATTAGAGCTTTGTCAGATGGGTAGATTGCAAAAATGTTCTCCCATTCTGTAGGTTGCCTGTTCACTCTGATGATAGTTTCTTTAGCTGTGCAGAAGCTCTTTAGTTGAATTAAATCCCATTTGTCAATTTTGGCTTTTGTTGCAGTTGCTTTTGGTGTTTTTTTGTCATGAAGTCTTTGCCCATGCCTATGTCCTGAATGGTATTGCCTAGGTTTTCTTCTAGGGTTTTTATGGTTTGGGGTTTTACATTTAAGTCTTTAATCCATCTTGAGTTAATTTTTTGTATAAGGTGTAAGGAAGGGGTCCAGTTTCTGTTTTCTGCATATGGCTAGCCAGTTTTCCCAGCACCGTTTATTAAATAGGGAATCCTTTCCCCATTGCTTGTTTTTGTCAGGTTTAGGGGCTTTTTTTTTTTTTAAGCATTTTGTGACTGCTAAATTTTTAGTGGAGTTCCTGTAATTTATTTCTTTGAACAAAGGGTCTGGCTTTGCTTCAGAAGGCTGCAGGAACTGTTCAAGTAGTGGTTTGTGCATTTGTCTTTTTACTACATCTGCTCATTTTACACTATGGGGTTAGGGAAATGTAAAGAAAGAGGGGATACAACTGTGATACTGTCACAAGTAGATAACCACTTTGATGTGTGGTACAAATGGCTTGCTTATTCTTGTTGCATATATAACAATGTTGTACGTAAAAACACTGGATTTTGGAGCCCAGCTGTTGGGGTTTGAATCCTGGTTCCACTACTTACTAGTGTGTGTGACCTTGGGCAGGTTGTTAATCTATGTGCCTTACTGTGCTGGCTATACTTTGGTTACCCTTGAATAGCAGCTGTGAGAACAGACATCCTTGCCTTGTTTTTGGACCTTATGGGGAGAGCAGTCTTTTACCATTTTGAGTATTATGCTAACTGTAGGTTTTTTGTAGATACCCTTTATCAAGTTGAGAAAGCTCTCCTCTATTCCCATTTTTGTGTGTTTATCTTGAATGAGTGTTGGATTTTGTCAGGTTCTTTTTTGCATAAATTAATATAAAATGTGGGTTTTTTTCTTTAACCTATTATGGTGGATCACGTTGTTTGTTTGTTTGTTTTTTTTTTTTTTTGAATGTTGAACTAGCCTTGTATACCTGGAATAAATCTCACTTGGTCATGGCATATTTTTCTATATTGCTGAATCCTATTTGCTAATGATTTTGTCAAGGATTTTTGTGTCTATACTCATGAGGGATATTGGTCCATAGATTTCTTTTTTGGACTGTCTTGGTCTGGTTTTGGTATTAGCATAATACTGGCTTCATAAAATAGGGAGGCCTTCCCTTCTGGAAGAGATTGTGTAGAATTGGTGTTAATTCTTTAAATGTTTGGTAGAACTCTCCAGTGAAACCATCTTTGTCTCAAGATCTCTTTTCTGGAGTGTTTTTTTTCTTGAGAGACGGTCTTGCTGTGTCACCCAGGCTGAAATGCAGTGGTGTAATCTCAACTCACTGCAGCCTTGACCTCCAGGGCTCAGGCAATTTTCCTGCCTCACCCCCCTCCCCTCCCGCCCCGCAAGGTAGTTGGGACTACAACAGGTACGCACCATCATCACTGGCTAATTTTCGTATTTTTTTTTAGAGACAGGGCTTCCTCATGTTGCCCAGGCTGGTCTCAAGCTCCTGACCTCAAGCAGTTGACGCACCTTGGCCTCCCAAAGTACTGGGATTACAGACATGAGCCACCATGCCTGGCCTCTTTCTGGAATTTTTAAGCTATAAATTCAGTTTCCTTAACAGTTATAGGACTCTTCATGTTATTTCATATTCGGTGAGTTGTGGTAGTGTAGCCGGATTGGTAAGGCATCAGAGAGACCAATGGGGTTCAGGAGGATATTTATTATTTAGGTGCACCGGCCCAGTCGGATTAACATTCAAAGGACTGAGCCGTGAACAAAGAGTTAAGTTACCTTTTAAGCATTTCGTGGGGGCAGGGGGAGATCTGTGCAGGGGGGAGCATATTACAGAAGCAAGAAACAAAGACAGTTATTCAGTTAATTGAGACATGCATTACATCATTTCTTACTTTTTAAGGAAAAACATGTTTTACGACTTGAGTTTGTCTAGTGACCTTGCAGCTGCACAGCTAGAGAAACAGGGTCTTCACAATGCCTGGGAAAGGAGGAGAGATAAGGCTCACTAGCCACAGAAAAACAAGCAGTTAATTTTTAAAGGACTCCAGCTCTTTCTCTTTCTCAGCGGGAACTGGGTTTTCTTGCATACAACTGAGTTTCTGCTTACACATTCTTTAATTTCTTTTAATTCCTATTTCATTAGTTTGTGTTTTTAGAGGAATTGCCCCATTTCATTCTTAAGTTGCCACATTTATGTGTGTAGAGTTGTAGTATTCCCTTATCCTGTTGGTGCTTGCAGAGTATCCACAGTGATATCTCCTGTTATTCCTAATATTGGCAATCTGGTTTTTTTTCTTTGTAAGTCTTGCTAGAGTTTATCTTAATAATCTTTTCAAAGAAATAGCTCTTTGCTTAATTTTTTTCTCCTCTAGTTTTTATCAATTTTATTGATTTTTTTTTTTTTTTGCTGTTATCCTTCTCTTTTTGCTTTGGACTTTTCTCTTTTTCTAGGTTCTTGAAGTACTAGTGTGGATTAGGAATTTGAGATTTTAAAGTGGAATTCGGTACTCTTAAGTATTCTCATTCTCTAGTATGCAGTTTCTGTTGATACTAGTTGATAATGTTCGACGTATTCCTTAAAAAGCAAGAGTCTTAGTTATGTTGGTTGTTAGCTGTTCTTTTTTCAACACAATAAATTGCTAACTTGAATATAGGAAATATTCCTCAGATTATTCTAGTTTCAAATGCTAAGAATGTTCTGAAGTCCTTGGACCAGATTCTGCTCATCTGGCCTGTTTTTGTGTGACCCTCCAGCTAAGAATGATCTTTACATCTTAAAAGGGTTGTAAAGCACACACACCAAAGAATATGTGACAGAAACCTGATTTAGCCAGAATGCTTTACCACGTGGCCCTTTACAGAAAAAGCTTGCCCGTTCCTGCCTTTAGACCATCTAGGTGCAATGATTTTGATTGCCCGTTTCAGAGCCAT
Source organism: Homo sapiens (assembly GCF_000001405.40). Lineage (NCBI taxonomy): Eukaryota > Metazoa > Chordata > Mammalia > Primates > Hominidae > Homo > Homo sapiens. The sequence continues at coordinate 21,954,431 of NC_000023.11, forward strand.
CTGGAAAAATTTGGAAGTACAGATTTCCAAGCCCTTCACATGGCTGCCTTCTCGTCTGGAATCCATCATAGTGCACGGCCATCTCTGTGTTTGAGTAGTTTTGACTTGTGTCCTCTGTCTTTCATCTTTATTCTCCAGTGGCACTTACTTGTCCAGCACCTCCTAGGTGCTGAGTAATCTCCTTGGGGGCCCAGTTGAATGTGGTCTTGGCTAATATACTCTGGTAAAGCCACAGGAAGGGAAGGCAGAGGGACCTCCTCAGCGACATGTGTATCAAGTACGGTCTAATATAAATGTGATATTTTTTTTTGACATCACACAATTCCCAAAGTCCAGACTGTTTTATCTTTGGAAATGCTATTTCATTGTTGATACACAGCCTGGCATAGATGCTCAGACAGAACCCTTGAAGTATTGTTTTTTTTTGAGACAGTCTTGCTCTGTTGCCCAGGATGAAGTGCAGTGGCGTGATCTTGGCTCACGGCAACCCCTGCCTTCTGGGTTCAAGGGATTCCCTTGCCCCAGCCTCCCGAGTAGCTGGTATTACAGGCACCCACTACCACAGCGGGCTAATTTTTATATTTTAGCAGAGACGGAGTTTCACCATGTTTGTCAGGCTGGTCTTGAACTCCTGACCTCAAATGATCCGACCGCCTTGGCCTCCTAAAGTGCTGTGACTACAGGCGTGAGCCACTGCGCCCGGCCTTGAATTATTTTTAAACACAAAAATGGTATGACCTGTAAGGGATTCTGCCCGGTTAAGGTTAGTGAGAAGAAAGCTGGATGTTCATGATAGTGCTACAGTGCTCAGAAAGCATATTTCATCCTTCCCAGATAATAAAACTGGCAATCCCATGGTTTCTACTTTGGCAAAGAAATCTTGTTTCCCCTTCTGGACGGAGCTAAAGGAAACCATTGTCATTTGACCAGGGCCAACCTGTGTCCTCTGTTTCAGCCTGCCCCTCTGTGATGAGGGGGTGAATGTAGGTTGGTGGCTGGGGCCGTCTCCACACGTCACATGCCAATTTTGAACTAAAAGTAAGGGCTGGTCACTTTACCTGGTCCAGATGCATTCCTGAGTCATCTCCTGTTCCCTGACCTCAAACACTGCAAGTCCCCTCTCAAAACCTTCTTTTTGTTACTTCTCTAACTTCTCCTTTCTGTTGGGTTGTAGCATGACCCCCACCCCCTGCTTTTCTGTGGGTTCTGATCTCTTTTCCTAATCCTCTGCCTTGGTTCTCTTCCACCGCTCTGGGCCAGAGTTCCTTCCTCTTCTCAAAAAACATGGTCCTTAAGCTGACGGGGCCCACTGAAGAGCATCGTAGGATACCTTACGTTGTTTGCATGATTCCTTTCAGGAGAGGTCAAGTGGCCTGGTTATTCAGTGTCTCATAGCCACAAACTAATGGATAATATTCCTTCCAGATGAAAGGCAGGCTTTAGTATACTGTCTTTTGTCTGTGCCTTGTTTTCTGAGTCTTGACTCTCATACGGGTTAAATCAGAAGGGTGAGGATGGGTGAGTTTGAATCACTTGACAACCAGCAAGATGCTGCCCTCCCCAGTCCCAGTGTCTGTGGGAAATGCTCTCCCTTGCAGTGGGAATGACAAGGCAGGGCAGTGAAATAATTAGCAACACATTTAAGTTATGCTATAACTTAGTGCATTGAGTTTTAAGAAGTAGTCATTGTGGCTGGTACTCTGTAAACATGCCCACATGGCTTCCCTTAGTGCATGTTTGCATGAAAAGAGCTTGGGTGTCATTTCTGTGTTGGTGTTGTGTTTTTCTTCTGTAGTTAATTTTTCTTGTCTGGTTGCTCTTCTCTGTGAACATCAGAAACCATTCTATGAAAAAGTCCTGTAAATTTTTCACGCCACTGTCTCTGTTCTGTCACCCAGGCAGGAGTGCAATGGCAAGATCTCAGCTCACTGCAGCCTCTGCCTCCTGGGCTCAAGCAATTCTCCTGCCTCAGCCTCCCGAGTAGCTGGGACTACAGGCACGCACCACTGCACCTGGCTAATTTTTTTTTATTTTTATTTTTATTTTTTTATTTTTTGAGATGGAGTCTTGCTCTTGTCACCCAGACTGGAGTGCAGTGGCGCGATCTCGGCTCACTGCAACCTCCGCCTCCTGTGTTCAAGTGATTCTCCTGCCTCAGCCTCCTGAGTAGCTGGGATTACAGGCATGCGCCACCACGCCCGGCTAATTTTTGTGTTTTTAGTAGAGACGGGGTTTCATCATGTTGCTCAGGCTGGTCTCGAACTCCTGACCTTGTGATCTGCCCGCCTTGGCCTCCTAAAGTGCTGGGATTACAGGTGTGAGCCACCGTGCCCGGTGTATTTTTAGCAGAGACGGAGTTTCGCCATTTTGCCCAGGCTGGTCTCCAGTGATCCTCCAGCCTCAGCCTCCCAAAATGCTGGGAGTACAGGCGTGAAACACCACGCCTGGCCCCTGTCTGTATTTTGCAGCCATACCTCATGGAGGCCTGAGATTGGCTGCAGGCACTTTAGTGTTAGGAAAGCTGTGTGGGAGCTGGGCACCAGCCACCTCACTGTGCAGTGACAGTGCCTACACACCGCAGCCACTCAGATACTTGGTAGTCTATGATAGATGGGGACAGGTAGAGAAGACCACTCCTTGCAGCCCCTTTACCTGATGCGTGTTGCATCTGAGCCCGTGCCTGGTGGGCAGCTTGTGGTGGAGGAGGAGGAGAAACCAACTACTTTTTTTTTTTTTTTTTGCATAAGAATGTATGTATTAGTTTTCTATTGCTGTACAGTAAGTTACCACAAATTTAGTCACCTGACACATAATCACAGTTTATGTGGATTAATAATCTGAGAATGGCTCAGCTGGGTCCATTTTTATTTTATTTATTTATTTTGAGACAGAATCTCTTTATGTCACCCAGGCTGGAGTGCAGTGGCACCGTCTCGGCTCACTGCAACCTCCACCTCCTGAGTTCAAGCAATTCTCCTGCCTCACCCTCCCAAGTAGCCAGGGCTACAGGCGCCTGCCACCACACCCGGCTAGTTTTTTTGTGTTTAGTAGGGACGGGGTTTCACCGTGTTGGGCAGGCTGGTCTCGAACTCCTGACCTCAAACCTTGGCTTCCCAAAGTGCTGGGATTACAGGTGTGAGCCACCGTGCCCGGCCTTCTTTTTCAAATAATGGCTTTTTTTCCTCTGGGTATATACCCAGTAATGGGACTGCTGGATGCAATGGTAATTCTACTTCTAGTTCTTTAAGGAATCTCCATGCTGTTTTCCATAGTGGTTGTACTAGTTGATATTCCCACCAGCAGTGCAGAAGTGTTTCCTTTCACCACATCCACGCCAACATCTATTATTTCTTTGACTTTTTAATTGTAGTCATTTTTGCAGGAGTAAGGTGGTATCTGATTGTGGTTTTAATTTGCATTTTCCTGACAACTAGTGATGTTGAGCATTTTTTCATGTTTGTTGGCTGTTTATCTTTTGAGAATTGTCTGTTGCCCATGTCCTTTGCCCACTTTTTGATGGGAATATTTGTTTTTTTTTTTTTTCTTGCTGATTTATTTGAGTTCCTTGTAGATTCTGGATATTAGCCCTTTGTCAGATGCATAGTTTGTAAATATTTTCTCCCACTCTATGGGTTATCTGTTTGATGATTATTTCTTTGGCTGTGCAGAAGCTTTTTAGTTTAATTAGGTCCTATTTATTTATTTTTGTTTTTGTTGCATTTGCTTTTGGGTTCTTGGTCATGAATTCTTTGCCTAAGCCAATGCCTAGAAGAGTTTTTCTGATGTTATCGTTATCTTCTAGAATTTTTATGGTTTCAGGTTTTAGATTTAAGTCTTTGATCCACCTTAAGTTGGTTTTTTGTATAAGGTGAGAGATGAGGATCCAGTTTCTTTCTTCTACGTGTGGCTTGCCAGTGGAGAAACCAACTTCTGAGTCTTCTCCGTTGCCTTGGCAACCTTGCCGTAAGTGGGATTCTGAAGGCTCAGCGTGTTAGTTTGGGATTTTTGGGGAACAGCTTTATTGAGATATGATTCATATGCTATATAACTCCTTTATCGAACATGTACAATTCAGTGGCTTTCAGGATATTTGCGGTTGCGTGACCATCATGACAATCAACTTTAGAACATTTTCATCACCTCAAAAACAAACCCTGTGCCCCTTAGCCATCACCCTTATTCCTCCCCGCATTCTTCCCAGCCTCTGGCAACCACTAATCTGCTTTACATCTCTATGAGTTTGCCTTTTCTGTTTTGTTTTTTGAGGTAAAGTTTTGCTCTTGTTGCCCAGGCTGGAGTGCAATTGCGCCATCTCGGCTCACCGCAACCTCCGCCTCTCGGGTTCAAGCGATTTTCCTGCCTCAGCCTCCCAAGTAGCTGGGATTACAAGCATGTGCCATCACACACGGCTAAGGATTTGCCTTTTCTGGACATAACAAATAGAATCACTTATTTCACTTAGCATAGTGTTTTTAAGGTCCTACCGTGTTGTATGGAGCGTGTATCAGTACTTCGTTCCTTTTATGCCTGAATAGTGCGTGGATAACCACAGTTTGCTTCTCCATCTATAACCTGATGGAAGTTTGGGTCGTTTCTACTTTCTGGCTATTGCATATCATGCTACTGTGAACATCTGTGTCAGCTTGGGTTGTGTGTCATGAGCTTCATTTCATCATCATGCAGCTGTTGTAAAAAGGACTAGACATAGGGCTATAAAGCCAAGCTGTTAAGTAAGGCATGCCAAAGGACCACCTGCTTGACCTAGAAATTCATTAAGCTTCTAATATCTGAGAAGTCTAATAGGCAGATCCTTTTTTAAAATTAAGTTAAACTTTTAATTGTAAACTAGAATTTTCATTTGTGAAATTGAAGTCTTTTTTGCATATCACTTGATTTCTGTAATCTGGACCTGCTGCCTGTCAGTCTTCGTGCTTTTGATGGACTTAGCACATTCTGAGTTCAGAAGATGCTCTCAGACCCTTAGGCAGTGCTCAGCCATGGGCTTGGGTGAAAAGGAGACTTGAGGGATGCCGCGCTCTTTGTCATTCTTTTCAGAGGGGTTATGCCAGTGGTGTTGGTGACTTCTGAACAGATACTTCTTTAACTTGGTATAATTTATGTAAATTTTAGTGTACCAGTTCTGAGTTTTGACCAATGCATACAGTTGTGTAACCACCACTAGTATCAAGATTAGAAACATCTGAACGTGGTTTTAAAGCAGCTACCTGATTTCAAATTGGATTGGAATCCAGTTTCCTTTCCTCTTTTAGGTTTAGGGGTCTATCAAGAAAAATCAGAAAGCTGCTTTATGTGTGAAGGGACATTGTGCACAACCTGAGCCTGGCTGTCAGGTTATCTGACGTTAGGATCTGGGGTTTAGGGGAAAGGATGCCTGCGTTTGTGCTTCCCCTTGCGGGGGAGTTGCAGACTGGCTCTATTGCCAGCCAGCTCGCACACCATCTTCCCGTGGAGAGAGTGCAGATCCCTGAAAGGAGCAGGCAAGAAGGGGCCGGGTATAAGCCTGACCAAAGGTGGGCCCTTGGACTTAGGTGGCAAGTGGTAAGCATGGGCGGGGAAGGCGTGAGTGACTGTCTGTGTGTACATCCGTGTGTGTGTGTGTAGGGGCACTGAGAATAAAGTGTGAGTGAGGGCTTGGAGCTCTGGAAATCTCGGCAGTTCTTTGGTGGCTGGGGCTGCAGTTGCTGGAGCAGTAGGTGGGCTGGAGGTTCGGCTTTGGGTCTTATCACTTGGCATGATGCGATGATGGGGATGACTAAACACCCCTTGGAGCCAGTTCTGGGAGAGACCTAGGAGGGAAAGGGGCTTTTGATAGTGAGGTATGAAATTTTCAGCCTTCATAACTAAAAATATGCTTGGCGAGAATAGAAATTCATCTCCCAATTTCACAAGCCAGGTGCTCCTTGACCATGAGAGAGCTGAAAGGAATGTGAATGTAAATCTTCTGTTCCTTTTTTTTTTTAATGTATAGATCATGTATACAATAAGGTAGATTATCAAACATGTACAGCAGAAGGCTCATTTCAGATCAGAAGTTCTACATTCAGTGAGGGTGGTAGAAATGAAAACATTTTATTCATTTTGCATGTTGCCTATATTTTCTAATTTTAAAAATACACATATTGCTTCTTTCTGTATTAATAAAAGCTTATTTTAAATGACCGTACTAATACAGTTTGTACTGTGGTTAAAATATACATGACCTTGACCATGAGAGAGCTAAATCTTCTGTTCCAACCGCCTCATTTTGCAGAGGACAACGTCAAGGCTCTGGCCTGTGGAATCTGATGGCTCTGCCTGAGGGGAGGGGTGTTGACAACACACAAGACAGTTGGAGTTGTGTAGCCTTCAGAAAGCCCTGTGTGCTCATGGCCTGAGTTTTCTTAGCTAAAGTTTTTGAAGTTGAAAAAACAGCCACAAGCCAAGGTCACAAGTAGAGAGAGGTTTTTTTGTTATTGTTTTTTGTCTTTCTGGATGTGTGAGAATTGCATATTTCCTTAGGGCAGCCTCTAATGGAATTTAGTTTGTTGAGGAGGATGTTAGATTCTCAAAGCTGAAGGAGGAGCAGGAATATTATATGCATGTCTTTTTTTTTTTTTTTTTTTTTTTTTGGTGCCAGGTTCGATTTTGATTCAGAGTGACTCCCTGGCCTAGTAAGGTTGGCTAGTACAGCTAATCTACTTTATGCACATGGGGCTGCATACCATGTGGATCAGTGATTAAATAGCAGTACAAGACCATGAGGGAAGGAAGGAACTGATGTTGATTCTGGGTTCTATATAGGAACCCTACAAAGTAGTGTTTCTACTTTATGAGGAAGTTAGGTCTGTAAGTGAAAAGTCCTGGCCAGTGAGTTTGGTTGGGGTAGGCTCTGGTGGGAGGCTTGGGGGAGCCTGTTATGGGGAATGTTAAGTGGCTGGTGATGTAACCATCGATGAGAGTAGGGAAGTAACAAGCCTGATTTTGATCCAAGACTTGTGATTGGAACAGTGCTGGGAGCAGTTGCACGGGAGGCAGGTTCCAGCTAGATACACAGATTTGTGCTTTGGGCATCTGGAGCTGATGCTCCGGGTCAGAAGAATGAGTTTCTCCAAGACGGGCCTGTAAATGGTTCCCTGGTAGAAAATGAGGCAGGAGGGTGAAGCTTAGGCCTTGATTCTTTTTTTTCCCTTCCTGTCTTCCCTTCCCTTCCTTTAGTAGTGGTGTATTTAATTTGGACCAGTTTATTCATTTTAAGTTGTTGTTGAACAAACACACAAAGTAGGCAGTGGGCTGGAAATGGGGACATTGCGTTGTTCAGTAGACAAAGGACACGTTTTGCCTTGGGAGAGGTCACTGTGTTTCTGAGCGCTTTGGAAGGCTGACTGATCTACTAGTTACAATATGTTGTTCTAGCCTGGCCATTGAAGTGAATTTTCAGAGAACTTCTGCCAAAGAAGAACATTTCATTGGCCTAATTTGGATGACTATGTCTCCTTCAAAGTAGTGTGATGAGCTCTGTTAGCATTTGAACCTGTCTTCACATTTTCTTCTGATTTGTGGACACTTACGACCTTGCTATCCTGTGTTCTCAAGTTTGGGTATATTCTGACCTCAGGCTCGTTTTCACCTGTGTATAGAGCATCTAGTAGTTCTCAAGGGATTGTATTGCCCCTCTCCTGCCCTTGGGGCAGTTGGGGTGTGGGGTCTTTTATTGACAAGCAAGGGCATTCCTGACATTTAGTGGGTATGGCTGGGGTTACCAAAGTCCTGTGAAAGACAGGGCAGCCTTTCTTACCACGTTGTTAACCTTACCCCTGATATCAAGGAACCCTGATAGAGCAAGTCTGATTTGTTGGGTCATTTTACAAGTTCCATACTAGACAGGCATAAAGGTTGAAATTTGGAATAATTACAAAGCATTTTCTGGGGCATGTGACAGGTTACCCATGGCTTCAGTTAGTAAAGAGTTCTAACTTTTTTCAGCCCCTCTGTTGAGCATTTTCTATAACTTTTTGGTGAGTTGAGTATAACTGGTATGGAAATGGTAGGGGGTTTCTTTTCCTTTTTTTGTGTTGGGTGATTTAGATTAGTGGTTCTCAACTGTGGCTGGACATTGGAATTTCCCAGGGAGCTTTTGAAAATACTCATGCCTGGGGCCCACCCCCACATTTCTACTTAATTGGCCTAATGTGTGGCATTGGAATTTTTAAAAATTCCTCAGGTGATTATTATTACTTATTTTTTTGAAATAGGGTCTCACTGTTGCCCAGGCTGAAGTGAGGTGGCACAATCATGGGTCACTGCAGCCTTCACCTCCCAGGCTAAGGTGTTCCTCCCATCTCAGCCTCCTGGGTAGCTGGGACTATAGGGGCATGCCACTATGTCCGGCTAATTTTTGTATTTTTGGTAGAGACAGATTTTACCACGTTGCCCAGGCTGGTCTCGAACTCCTGGGCTCAAGCGATCCTCCTGCCTTGACCTCCTAAAGTGTTGGGATTACAGGCATGAAACACCATGCCTGGCCTCCCTGGGTGAATGAAAATGCACAGCTAGGATTGTAAACCACTGGTCTAGATGTTTTTGAACCTCTGCAAAGATACAGTAATAAAGGATGATGAATTCAGCCAAATAAAATAATTTTTTATTTGCCACCAAACATTTATTGAGCACCTGGGATCAAGATGACTAAGTGAGCCACCTCATGCTTTTGCTTTGTTTTCACTTTAAAAGCCCTGATTTGGAAAGAGATACTACTGCGGAGTTTTCAGCTCTAGCTCCCCTTCCTGGAGTGTCTTCCCCAAGGGCTGGGTGACAGGGAGGCCCCAAATCAGGAGGAAGGTGAGGATGAAGGGAGATGAATGGTGGGCAAAATGGTGGTGTCCCCATAAGGCCCTGCAGACACCTTCCTGGCAGGGCTAGCATACTCAGATGCCCACAGGGACCAGGCGGCCGCACAAATGAATAGGGCTTGTGGGTAAATGAGCTTCCAGAAACACGTTCAGCTTTGGCCTGTTTTTACTGAACTTGGCGGGTAAGCCTATAGTGTGGGAACAAGTAATACTTCAAATCGGATTTCTTGTGTAGTTTTTCCTTCAGTTTGAAACCTGGCCGGAGGACTTTCTTTAGCCCACACGGTGCCTTTCTGTTAATTGTGCCAGTTAGAAAAAGGGGATGGCCACTACACTGGGCTTGGCCAGCAGTCAAAGCCTTTGCATAGATCAGACAAAGACACCCCCTTTCCTTGGCCTAAGGGATGAGGTTCACCCCAGCTCAGCCACCCAGGCCAGGGTCCTCGTTCACTGCACAGCCTGGTCAATTACACGCAGGGTGGCCTTGTCTAGATTGTTCGTTCACCAGCATGGGGGTTCGGGTTCTGTTTTGTAATGTGCCAACAGAACCATCTTGAGGCCATTTACCAGGAGTGATGATTTGTTTTATATGCTTTCAAAACAGAAAACATCTGTTCTAGCCAAGGAGGGATTGCTTAATTTCAGAATGGCTCTTCAGATTCAGGGAAAGTTCTGCCTGGCTCAGTACACTCAAGCCACCTCCACAGTGGGCTGGCCAACCACACTTCAGTGACAAACACAAACTGAACAAGGTTAGTTTATCTTACCAAGTTTGAAATCAGATTTTTTTTTTTTTTTTTGTGAAGTAGAATTCAGTCTTAAATGTTACAGTTCTGGGGATATAATTCAGACCTTCGCTTTTAATTTCCTGAAACCAATTTCAGAATAGCAAAGCAAGCTAGATTATTTTCTGCCAAACGACTTTCCCAAAGGCACAGTTTTGCTAGGAACAAATGAGAGCTTAAGGATTCATTGGGCCACCGCTGCTCGGTGTTTATAGATGCTTGTGCTGCTGTGGGAGTGTGACATGGATTCTGCGCTGGTAGTTTCTCCCTGATGTGGGACTTTTTCTTGGAGGCTCTTTCATTTTGGCCATCTGTAGGGCTTGACCACCCTGACATCCAGCCCTACCCAAGTCCTTGCAAGTTTCAGCTGCATCCTCACTTTGGCTAGCCAGACCCCTGCATTCTGAGGGGGAGGAAACCACTTCTTTGGGGGTGAACACCTGTTGGTGACTTTTGGAAGGGGTTGCTCTAGTTCTTAGGGCTGTCTGAAGTCCCGTTGCTTTTTCTCTTCTTCCTATCTCAATTGCTGATACCCCAAGGGTCTCAGGGCTGTGGCCCATTTATTTCTACCTATACCTGTTTGGGGATTTAGGGTTACACTCTGTCATCTAGTTTTGTTCCAGATGTTGTCCATGAGTTTTGGCTGGGCTATCAACTGCTCTGCTTGACAATTCCGAATATTAAATTATGTTTTCACTGCCACTTTTAGTATTCTGTTTGCTATTGTTAAAGTTGAAAACGAATTTTGGGCAGGTGTATTAGCTTGCTAGGGTTGCTGTAACAAAGTACTACAAATTGGATAGTTTACAATGGCAGAGATGTATTCTCTCACAGCTCTGGAGGCCAGAAGTTCCAGATCAAAACGTGACAGGCCCATGCTTCCCCAGAAGGCCCTAGGGGAGAATCCATCCTTGCCTCTTCAGCTTCTGGTGCGCTTCTAGCTGTCCTGGGCTTGGCATGTTGCTCTTAATCACTCCAATCTCTGCCTCCGTCTTATGTCACCTGCCCCCTTTTCTCCCTGTATCTTCTCTTCTGTCTCTTATAAGGGCACTTGTCATTGGGTTTAGGGTCTGGGTACCTGGATAATCCAGATGCTTTTATCTCAAGATCCTTAACTTAATTACATCTACAAAGACCATTTTCCAAAGAAAGTCACATCCCCAGGTTCTGGAGATTAAGATGTGGATATATCTTTTTGGTGCTACCATTATACCCACTACAGTGGGAGAGAGTGAAATCTTCTGATTTTTAAATGGCAACTGATTTACACTTTTAAAAAGTCTGTGCAGGGACTGGGTGCGGTGGTCCACGCCTGTAATCCCAGCACTTCGGGAGGCTGTGGCAGGTGGATTGCTTGAGCTCAGGAGTTTGAGACCAGCCTGGGCAATATGGTGAAACCCCATCGCTACCAAAAATGTACAAAAATTAGTTGGACATGGGCCGGGCGCGGCGGATCACAAGGTCAGGAGATTGAGACCATCTTGGCTAACACAGTGAAACCCCGTCTCTACTACAAATACAAAAAAAAAAAAAAAAAGCCGGGCGTGGTGGCGGGCGCCTGTAGTCCTAGCTACTCGGGAGGCTGAGGCAGGAGAATGGTGTGAACCTGGAAGGCGGAGCTTGCAGTGAGCCAGGATCACACCACTGCACTCCAGCCTGGGCTACAGAGCCAGACTCTGTCTCAAAATAAAATAAAATAAAATAAAATAATAAATAAATAAAAAAAAACAAATAAATAAAAATTAGTTGGGCATGGTGGTTCGCACCTGTAGTCCCAGCTACTTGGGAGGCTGAAGCAAGAGGATCACTTAAGCCCAGGAAGCAGAGGTTGCATTGAGCCGAGATTGCGCCAATGCACTTCAACCTGGGCGACAGAGGGAGATCCTGTCTCAAAAAATAAAAAAAGTCTGTGCAGGCCAGAATAAGTCATATCTGTCCACTTTGGCCTCTAAACTTCCCGTTTGTAGCCTTCATTCAGTGGCCTTGGGAACACAGTTCTAAGTCACTAGAGATAGACTCTTTATGCATAGTGAAAAAATCCTTAACTTCCCAGTTCTAGTTTCGGCACTACTTAGTTTATGGCAGAAATTCTAATGTAATTTTCTTGGCAAATCACACTGCAATCAGCTGTGACTCTTTGTTTTTTTCTTTTACCTCTGTTCAGGTCACAGAGATGTTTCATTTTGATATTTTTCCCCTCACAGGAGCCAGCCTTCAGAGGGCTGGTGGGAAAGTAAAGAGTAATTCCTCTTGTCATATCTTGGTTCTTTGTTTTACATTTATTAGGGAATGCCTGCTTTGTAGATAGAACTAGAGAAGAAAAAATTGCATTTACCCCTTATTCTAAGTATTGTAATGTTGGATGTTCTTGAAGATCCTGGCTTCAAGTGAACCTGCGGAGGTTAATGTACTTTACCTGGGAACACTGATTGCACTTTTGGGAGTAGGACACTGGGCAGGATGGGAGACAGGAGGATTGGCTTCTGCGACCATGGGGGTGGGGTGGGGAGACCGACAAGCCAGCAGGTTGTCCCATATGGAATCGTTGTCCAGTTTCTACCATTTAGAGCTATGTTACTGAGGATTACTGTTGGATATTTTTTTCCAGTTATAAAAGCAGCACATCCTTTTTGTAAAACATGGGGAAAAAAAAGCTTGTCATTTATATTACTCATCAGCAGTGGACAGGTATCCCCTTTCTAGTACCATGTGTCCTCATTAATTTATTTAACCTGAAGTGGAATCTCATTTGTTGTACTTGAATTTATTTGCATTTCTTTAATTTCTGCTTAGGGTGAATATTTTGTTATGCTGTCTCTAGGCTGAATATGTCTACATCCTTGGCGCAGCTATTTGTGGTCGGCTTTTGTGTTCTTACCGTCGTGTAATCTGGTGGTCTGCGTTGCCTTTCCTTGCAGGGTGGAGAATGTTTATCGCTCATGTCATGACAAGGGATAAGTGACACTGACAACTTTGTTCAGGTTTTTTAATTTTTATTTATTTATTTATTTATTTATTTATTTATTTACTTATTTATTTATTTTTAAGCTCAGTCCTCAAACTGTGCCTCATTGGCCTTCCTTCTGAACGTTTCTTTCTGACCATCTTGCCTTCTTCCCCTTGTTCTCCAGCTGATGGTGAGACCATTCTAAAAGGCCTCCAGTCCATTTTCCAGGAGCAGGGGATGGCGGAGTCGGTGCACACCTGGCAGGACCATGGCTATTTAGCAACCTACACAAACAAGAACGGCAGGTGAGCAGTCTCCAGTGCTGTTCTTCATACCTGGTCACTTATGAGCAGAGAGGGTGACAGAGTGGAGGATGGGGGTGGCATCCGGCATTTTTTTTTCTCCTTTGACATCTTTTAGGATGGGAATGGAACTTGGTGCTTCTCAACCGTAGCTGCACATCAGAATCTCCTGGTAGCGTTACTGACCACAGGTTCTTAAGCTCTCATGTATATAGAGATTGACAGGAGGCCAAACATGTTTCCCAGACAAGTTTTTTGTTAAGACTGATGCCCAGAGTGGGCATAAGGGAGGCAGCCCAGGAAAAGTTTTGTGGCTTACTCCCCCAAGGGCAGCTGCAGGTGATGTTTTGAAGGGAGTGACGTGAATAGTTCATGAGGTAGATGAGTGTCATTACAGGTACGCACCCAGGGAGTGGTGTGCAGACTCAGTGAGGCCTCCTGCTAATGTATACACCCTGAAGTGGCTGGTGAGCCCCGCTCTTGGCGGGGACTTTAGCGTAATAGTAAGACGGGCAGGATCGCTCACTGGGCTCCTGCAAGCGGTAGGTCAACTCCCTGGAGTAAAAAGTTTATGGTAGAACTCAGCCTCTTAAGTCCCTGGAGTAAGATTTACCATAGGAAGCTGCTTATCTTAGTGTTTTCCAGGTCTCTGGTCAGCAGAGATGATATCGGAGGGGCTGGGGTCCAGATGGATGGGTTGGTTGGGGTGCCCACCACCTGTGGGGACCCACTAGTTTGCAGCAGAGGCCCGTAGGGGGCATGCCGAGGCCTTCTCGCTGCAGGATGCTGAGCTGCAGATGCCCTTGCTCAGCTCGAAGTAGGGTGGGTGCAGGCTGAGGTTGCCTGCTCTAGGATGGCCAGCAGCAGTGCTGCAGGGCCCCAGGGGCAGCCCGAACAGAGCCTCAAGCAGCGCTTTGCCATCTTCCTGGCTCCTAGAGCCTGGTATTTCTGTAAGTAAGTGTGTTATTACGGTTGGGGGGAGCCCAGGTCCCTTCTCTACTCTGTTTCTGGAGAGCTTTCACGAAACACTCGTGCATTTCCCCCAGAAATTGAGGTCACAGGGCCTGGACATCTGGATTTCTCCAAAGCCCCAGTGGTTCTATGTGGCCAGGACCAAGAACCCCTGGTGGCATAAGCAGTTTGAAAAGGCAGGCAATGATCTCCTGGGCCCCTACCGTAAGAGTTCTTGAAGCAATAAGTGGATCTGCGGCAGGGCCCAGATTCCATTTCCAGGAAGCTCCCGGGGGATGCTGATGCTGCTGGACAGCTGACCACACTTGGAGTAGCACTGTTATGACTGATGATCAGCTACCGCAGACCATGGTAAAATGCAGAAGAAAACCTAAACTAAGAAATGACTGATAACAAGAAACCAGTGCGTTGAGCTCTTGGTATTTCCTTAAATCTTGGTTTGTATTATATCTGGACTGGCTTAGTATGTAAAACTACTAATTAAGATTCTTAGTAATTTGCACTATTAATTTAGAAATGTAATAGGGTGCAGTATGTACTGCTCAGGTGATGAGTGCACCAAAATCTCACGAATCAGCACTAAAGAATTTACTCATGTAACCAAACAACACCCGTTCCCCAATAACCTATGGAAATAAAAATTAAAATAAATAAAAATGTGAACTCCAGGATGGGGTATTTTCGATGGCTTTTATTCTGTTACCTCAGTGGGTACCCAGTACTGGAATTCCACGTGGCTTCCTTAATGTCCCACTTTTTCTCTCTTTGTTTCTCTATTAAAGGAAAAAGTACCCACCTCCATGATATTCCAGAGACCTAGAGATGAGGGAAACCTGTACTTTTTGAGCTCACTGCCCCTTCCACTATTCTCTCTATAAGTCTCCATGGCCAACCCCTGTGGCATTAATTGGTGTTCTCTATCCTGATACCTCTCAAAGACATCCTAACCCCTTCTTCCCCAAGCCCAGGCTTGTATTTCTAACTGTGTAGCAAACCTCCCTGTGTGTTTAGTCGATACCTCAAATGTATCTAAGATGATGATTTCTTCCTCATATGAACACCACCACCAAACCCTCCTCTCCCCTGTGTCCTTTTCTTCCCTGCTGTGACCCAGTTGATGGATGGTCTCTTGGAAGCAGAGGCTGTAGCTGTCCTAGAGCCCTCTGGCTCCTGCAGGATTACACTGAGCCCCTCCCTGTACCTGCCGCCTCTCACTGTTTTTACTGTGGTCCATCTTTTGGGGACTACAGCAAATTGGAACTCATCATCCACCGCCTCCGGTGGCAGGCTCCTCAGCCAGCACCAGGTGAAAAGTTGCACTTCTTATCTCCTAAAGGCCTTTGCTGCTGGGCCCTGCCTACCTCTGTATGACAGTTATTGAAGTTTCTACCATAGGCACCAATTCCAGTTGTACAGGAGACTTAGAATTCTTCCCAGAAGGGGTTTTTGAGTGACAAGAGCTGTTCGGAAACTGCTTCGAAAAGCAATAAACAAAAACAAAAACCCCAAATGAACTGCTTAGGGTTTTCGTTGTTGTTGTTGTTTTTGAGACCGAATCTTGCTCTGTTGCCCAGGCTGGAGTGCAGTGGCACAATCTTGGCTTACTGCAACCTCTGCCTCCCGGGTTCAAACAGTTCTCCACCTCAGCCTTCCAAGTGGCTGGAATTACAGGCACTCACCACCACATCCAGATAATTTTGTGTTTTTAATAGAGACGTGGTTTCACCACGTTGCCCAGGCTGGTCTCGAACTCCTGGCTCAAGCCATCCACCTGCCTCGGCCTCCCAAAGTGTTGGGATTACAGGCATGAGCCACCGCGCCTGGCCAGCTTAGTTTTTAAGAGTTTTCTACCTGGTCTCCTTCCTCTCTCACTTGGTCAACTGGTACCCACCCCGAGGTGCCTGTCCTGAAACCTCACCTCTCCTACCCATGCATGGGCTTGGGGAAAGGACCTGAGCCACCTTTTATTCAGGTTCTCTATTCCCTGCCCCCGGACCCCAGGCACACTTTCCCCCCTCTATTTCTGGTTTTATCCCTAGTAGCACCTTAATCCTTGACACTGCCTTCTAGCATTCTCTGTGTTCATGCTAGAACCACCCAAGTGGATAAAGGGGACCTTACTTCTCTATTGTTCCTTCCCCCTCTCCTCTCTGCTGCTGGTGAAGGAGGGAAAGGAAAGATGATCCTCTCATTCTGGTGTAGAAGAGTTTGTGGACTCTGGGGAAGAACTTGATTTCTGAGGTCACTTAAGGGCTGAAGGTGAAAAATTAACTAGTTTTGTTTTATTTTAAATTTTTTATAGAGACAGGGTCTCACTCTGTCGCCCAGGCTGGAGTGCAGTGGTGCGATCATGGCTCACTTAGGCCTTGACCTCCCGGGCTTAAGGAATCCTCCTGCCTCATCCTCCCAAGTAGCTGGGACTACAGGCGTGTGCCACCATGCTTAGCTTATTATTTTTAGTTTTTTTTTTTTTTTTTTTAATCCAAGCACACTGTCTGTATTCTCTGAACAGAATTGATCTTCTAATTTAGTATTTTTCAAACATTTCTTTACCTATAATTTGTAGTAGGAGGTAATCATAACCCTGGAAATAACACATCTGTGTAAATGCAAAACAAATACATGCATAGGCCGGGCATGGTGGCTCACGCCTGTAGTCTCAACACTTTGGGAGGCCAAGGCAGGTGGATCACCTGAGGTCAGGAGTTCAAGACCCACCTGGCCAACATGGTGAAACCCCGTCTCTACTAAAAATACAAAATTAGCCAGGTGTGGTGGGACACGCCTGTGGTCCCAGCTACTCGGGAGGCTGAGACAGGAGAATCGCTTGAACCCAGGAGGTGGAGGCTGCAGTGAGCCGAGATCATGTCACTGCACTCCAGCCTGGGCAAGACAGAGTGCGACTCCATCTCAGAAAAAAAAAAACCAACATGCATATAACTAAAACAGAAGTTTCATCAAATACATCTTGGTGCATGTGATACACTCAAATATGTTTATTTCATTAAGAAAAAGGGCTGGTCAGAAAATTTTGTGTAAAGGTTGCTGTCACATTTTTAAAAATCTTTAAAAATGTAAACCATTCTTAACTTAGCTTGCAGGCTTTACAAAAACATACTGTGGGATGGATTAGGTTTGCAGGCAGTTGGCCTGGATTTTCCAGAGTGCCTACTAAATTAATTTACCTACCACCAGCCTGCAGTTAGGAAAAAATGGCTCTGGTTTGAACTCTGAATGTTAATGAGAAAAACCAGTTTACCCTTCTCCACACTCCCTTCCTCTTAAGGCAGTAGTTACTAAACCTGGCAAAATTACCTAGAGAACCTTTTTAAAAACCAGATTCACAGAACTGCTACTGAATCACTTTCTGGGCCCAAGAACCAGTTTTGAAAACCTTAATATTTGGTAATGCCCTCTAAACCTTCCACAAATGATTGGTAGTTTCTCCCCGCAAGACGCAGCCCTAGTAAGAAAGCAAAAAGCTTAACTGTATACTTTTGGGGAAATAAAGAGCAGTGGTCTTTTAATTGGGTGACATCTCTCTCTCTCTCTCTTTTTTTTTTAATGCCCCGATACAATTCTTAAGCTTAAAATTATATTTTCCTTTGTAGCTTTGCCAATTTGAGAATTTACCCACATGGATTGGTGTTGCTGGACCTTCAGAGTTATGATGGTGATGCGCAAGGCAAAGAAGAGATCGACAGTGTCGGTTTTTCACTTTCATTTACTCAGTGTTTAAGGATCATAGTATCTGCTTAGCTTAGTGTTAAAATAATGTTCTCTTCATTGCTTACTTTCCAGTTAATTTTAAACTTTCCTCCCTCCACATAAGTGATTTTAGAATAGAAGTAGTTGTTTAGTTGTTTTTAGGAACCTGGGTGTCAGCGTTCCCTTTTAACTGCCTTAGTATGAGTAATCTTATTTTCCACTGGAGGGAATAGAAAACCTTTAACCAGGATTTTATAGCTGCAGTACCCTTTAGCCTTCCTCTTCCGTGTTACTTTGTTGCTAACTTACGCTAAGGTTAGGTCAGCAACATGAAGGGATAGTTGGTATGGGAGAGTGGAATTGGGCCAGGCGTCTACAGGCTGCTAGAGGGTAGGAGGAGGGACAGGTCAATCTTGCACAGCTCTGTCAACATGGCCTCAGTCGTTGGGTCTGTAATTTAGTTCTTCCATGCAGCTTATTCTACAAGCCCATTGATTTTTCTTTTAATTGTAGATTTTGAACAAAGTAGAGGAAAGAATGAAAGAATTGAGTCAGGACAGTACTGGGCGGGTGAAACGGTAAGTCCACTCTTGAATGTCCTTTTATATTTAATCGATTGAAACAATCATAGTTGGCTGGGCGCGGTAGCTCACACCTGTAATCCCAGCAATTTAGGAGGCCGAGGCAGGCGGATCACTTGAAGTCAGGAGTTTGAGACCAGCCTGGCCAATGTGGCAAAACACCGTCTCTACTAAAAATACAAAAATTAGCTGGACGTGGTAGTGCATGCCTGTAATTCCAGCTACTTGAAAGGCTGACGCATGCGAATGGCCTGAACCGAGGAGGCAGGAAGCAGAGGTTGCAGTGAGCTGAGATCATCGCACCGCTGCACTCCTGCCTGGGTGACACAATGAGACTGTCTCAAAAAAAAAAAAAAAAAAAAAAAATTCAGAATGGCAGTGTGGTCCCCAGTAGTGTCTGCTTAAGATGTGGAAAAGATCAAACTCAGCACCTCCTTCTGGCAACATGGTGAACTGAACTACTGGGCCCCTCACACCAAAACAAGACAGTGTATGAACATTCATGTGCATGGATGCACACACACAAATGCTAGGTAAAATGAAACTAAGGCAGAAAGGGGATATGGACCAACTCCAAGGAGTTGGAACTGCCTAAAGTGGAGACCCAGGTAGAGCTGCCACCTCATCAAAGGGAGCTAGAAAACTCCTGACTTCAGTTCGAGACCAGCCTGACCAACATGGGTGAAACCCCGTCTCTACTAAAAATAGAAAAAGTAGCCAGGCGTGGTGGTACGTGCTTGTAATCCCAGCTTCTCAGGAGGCTGAGGCAGGAGAATAGCTTGAACCCGGGAAGCGGAGGTTGCAGTGAGCTGAGATCGCACCACTGCGCTCCATCCTGGGCAACAGAGTGAAACTCGCCTCAAAACAAAACAAAACAAATACCTGACTTCAACCTTTCCAGGAAAGAGAAAAGGTCACTTTTTCTCCTTCAGGCTCTAGGCCCCAGAGTGAAGTTAAGCAATTTTAAGAGACTTCCGACAGGGTGGGGTGATAAGAAAATTTGCCTCAAGGCGTTCAAAGAAGAAAACTTTCCAAGATACTAAGAATTGATAGGCCACCAACTTTAAGCTGCCATAGGCAGGTTATTTTCAAGTGATCATGAGGAAAATGAAGCTCTCCCTATCCAGTGGGATGGGCACTAGCCCCACATGGCTATTTAAAGTTAATTAAAATACACAATTCAGTTCCTTAGTCACAATAGCTAGTGGTTAGTGTCTGCCATGTGGGACAGTACAACTACGGAACATTTTCATCATCCAAATTTCTATCGGACACTGCCGAAGTGTTTGCCAGTGGTGTCAGATTTTAAAAGAATGCAATTCGGACATCGTGGGAAGGAACTAGTGTCTGGTACATCATGGGAATTAAGAAGTGCTTTGGATACACAGCATGCAAATGCAGGACAATTTACTCTTGCCCTGCCTTGGTGGATCCTCATCAGGCCTTAAGGCATAGAAGGCCTGTCCCTTGCTCATAAAATTAACCTCAGTTGCAGAGACCAACACAGAGGGACTTCCTCATTGCTGAGCAACGGAAATACAGGTTTCTCCAGTTCATGGCACTTTCCAGAAGAAGGAATCCTTATTGGCAAGTGTTAGGATGTTTAAGTACTTAATTACTCAGCATGCTAAGTTTGATCAGCCCACAAGAAAGCTCCAGAGCAGATGTAAGATAACTAGGTAATTGTTTAACCTTCTGTAGTTAAAGAGGAAAGCAGGAAACTGAAAGTGAAAAGAAGACGCCACAGTATAGAACTATTTTTTTGAGATCTGTTAGAGCACTCAGGCTCTTTTGGAGCACCCAAGCTCAGTTTAGGGTCCCCAGCCATGTCTCTTACCCTTCACCTTCCTTTAAAAACACATCCACACCCATATACCCATACCACTTTTTGGACATTTCATCTTTTCCTGTTGGCAGGGTTTTCCTTATCTGCACCCATTTGGAATGAACAGGTTCCCCACTGTCAGAAAGGGTCTTAACTTTATGATAATGAATTGGTCCACATCAAAATGTGGTCTGATTTTTATCAGTTGCCTCTAGGAGTGAGTAAACAGCATACATTTATGGGCTTCAGCATTCATGAGAAGTCTGGTTCTTTTCCTTTTTTGGTATAGGAGTTTTCTAAGAGTGGAGTTAAGCTTTAGATCTTCAAAATACCTTGCTTATGCT
Organism: Homo sapiens; assembly: GCF_000001405.40. Lineage (NCBI taxonomy): Eukaryota > Metazoa > Chordata > Mammalia > Primates > Hominidae > Homo > Homo sapiens. The sequence goes on from NC_000023.11 coordinate 21,974,744, forward strand.
TGTCACAGTTTTTATTATCTTTTCATGAAATAAGGTTGACGACAGCTAGAAATTGGGTATACCTTGTTGTAAACCCTTTGTTACTGGCCTCAAAAGGACAAGGATTGCTATCCTTTTTTTTTTTTTTTTTTTTAAATCTGGAGAATAAAGATCAGAGGTTAAATGTTAGAGATTAAATCATTAACAAATAACCCAGTAACATTATCTGAAATTATTCCCCTTTGATAAGTTAAGTCTGAATTTTCGACTAAGAAGCTATGGGATGTACTTGAATTTATTTTTGTTTTCTACTTTCAAGTGAAAAAACAAGAAAACAAGGTCACATAAATTAACTTTGATTTTAAAAGGTTCTTGCAATTTACACAGTATACCTAAGGCCTGGGCTATAATCTACCTGAATTGGTGTAGTCCAGTTTCATTTTTCAGCAGTGAAGGTTGAAACGAGTTTGGTAGGGTGCTCTACAGTACCTCCTGGTAGCCCGTTATAGGGCTACCAGCGAGATGCCCTTTAATGCTAGGTTGAGCACTTCATCAGGGTAATGGCATTTACATCCTGTTAAGATCCTTCTTTCTTTGCTAGTCTTTAAAAAAACCATAGAGTTACAATGTAGGAAAGAGCTCTTCACCTTAGCCAAGGCACTATTGACACAATTGAGAACAGGCACTGTTTAGTTTCAGTGGGTTTGCCTGTAGTGCAGTAATTGCCGATAGGTGGCTGGCTGTCAAGGAGAGGGTAGTCTTCCTCCCCTGGAAGTGAGTGACTTTGTCGTTCATCCAATGCCATGGGTGGCTCACTCTCACCTCACTCCCCACCATCAGCCAGGGGTGGAAGAGGCTTCCTCCAAGTCCTGTTCGCCTGCTCTCTAGCAGTTGTCCTGATTGGTGCTTCACATTTTACAATTTACAAGAAAAACCCTCTAGAATGCCTCACATTCTGAAAGCTGAATTTGTTCACATGGAAGGTGAAGAAGTGGTTAAATGAAGAGTTGTCAGGATGACATGAATTTATGGGAGTTTGCCTTTTCAATCTCGGTGTTCTTTATAGATGTTAGTATTCCCTCATAGAAAGCCTTGTTAACTTGTAACAGGTTTAGACTGTACTCTTGGAAGCTGGTGAGCAGGGAAGGGAAAGAGACTCATAAGAGTACGTCAGGCCGCATATCCCAGCATTTTACATGTCTACAGCTGTACATCATGGCGTTTTAATGTTGAACACTACTGTGTTTGAGAACACATGACTCACGCAGTTGTGTTATGTATGCAGTGAGCTCTCGTTTTCTTTGTGTTTGGGTTAGACTTGCCAAGCCCCTTTTCCAGGTCTTTTTTTTCCTGTCATTTAGTGTCCTCTGCTGGTACCTTCTAGTACATTCATCCTGTGAAAAATACCGGGTATTTACAAAAGAATGAATGAAAAAATCATCATTTTGCAGCCTCTGTAGTAGTAACTGGTTCAGGCCAGAATCTTCTGCATGCTAAAACCACTGGTAAAGGTTTGTTGGGGGGTGAGGACTTCTACCTAGTTTCAGAGCACCACCCCACAGCCTGCTTAGTAATTTCAGAGGGTGAAAAAGGTACCTTTGCAAATGGAGAGAGCCCATGAATACCACTTTAACCAAGTGATCACAGACTTAGCATCACCAATAATAGGACAGATACACATCTTGTGTTCCCGATGTGATGCCTGTGTAATATATGTCAACCTGATTCTAACCATGAAGAGTGAGAGATTATCAGGTAAACCCACGAGTCATTTTTCAGCAGAATAGCTGGTCTGTACTTGGAGATATCAGTGTCATGAAACATACCAGTAAAAAAAAAATTATACGTTACATGAGGATAAAAAAGAAAAAAAAAACAGGGAAATGCAGTGTATGAGCCTTTATTCAAGAGCAGAACATCTATAAAGGATATAACTGGGGACACTTGAAGATGGACTCTGTACTAGATAACCATATCATACCCATGTGAACTGGTGTAAATGTGGTAATGTCCATGTAGTTATGTAGATAGTCTTAAGAGACAGATGCTGCTGGAGCATTTGAAATATGAAGTGTGCAGTGGCCATCTTCTCCTTCAGCTTTTTGTTAGAGAAAATCTAAAGCATGACAGGATTTTTTAAAAAGTGAACTGTGTACAATAGTTGTCAACATTTGGTGGTGGCCGTGATTATATAAAACTAAAAGCCCAAGCTTTGGATTCGTTTTGTGCTTGTCAAAAGTCGGCAGTCATGTGGCTTTCTTTTGCACACTCTTCATCCTAGCTCCACTTGTAAGGCAGTGTTCTAGTAAGGTACATTTCTGTTTTTCTCTTTTTCCAGATTACCACCCATAGTGCGAGGAGGAGCCATCGACAGATACTGGCCCACCGCCGACGGGCGCCTGGTTGAATATGACATAGATGAAGTGGTATATGACGAAGATTCACCTTATCAAAATATAAAAATTCTACACTCGAAGCAGTTTGGAAATATTCTCATCCTTAGTGGGGATGTTAGTAAGTATTCCATCCCTGCCCCGATCACGTAACAAAGTGGTGATGTGTTGAATGATGGTGTTTTCCTGACAATTACTACTGTCGTGGATTTGTTTGAGTTTGTTTTTGACACTGCTGGTTTTTGAGATGCACATTTATGTCATATTAACCTGTGGATTGTCTGGGCTTTCACATAAACTTTGTCTTGACATTGCTTCCTTAGTGATGAGTATTTGGATTGTATTTCAAAAGAAAATGCATTTGCATATTTAAAAAAAAAAACCTTTTTGTTACAGAACAATTCAAACCTAAGTAGACAAACTAGTGTGATGAACCCACATGTACTTACCATCGAGTGTGAACAATTACCACCTCCTAGCCAGTCTTATTTTACCTAAACCCCAGTCCACTTTGTCCCTCTCATATTATTTTGAAGCAGCTCACAGACATCATATTATTTCATTTGTAAAGATGTAATTGCTTTTAGTTATTCGGTATATTGACACATTTTTAAGGCTGGATTTTCTTCCCACTGACTAATGTCCATTTGTATTAGGTGTCAGATGATCAGGGTTGATGAAAAAGTCCTCAATGGAAAAAAAGCTTGCAAATTGTTCACAGTTTTAAAAAATTGAAAATGAAAAATTTACATTTTGGTCTAGATCCCAGCTCTTCAGTGTGGTGGGGCCAGGTGGTTTGTGTGTTAAGGTAGACTCACCATTTGGATCTGTTTCTCCTCCCTAGATTTGGCAGAGAGTGATTTGGCATATACCCGGGCCATCATGGGCAGTGGCAAAGAAGATTACACTGGCAAAGATGTACTCATTCTGGGAGGTGGAGACGGAGGCATATTGTGTGAAATAGTCAAACTAAAACCAAAGATGGTCACTATGGTAGAGATATCCTTTGTTGTATAAGAGAACAAGTTCAGTGGGCTTCTTTTGTTTCCTTCCTTCAGTGTCTCACAACTCAAATTAATGTTACCACAGACTAGAGGCAAATGTGTTACCTAGACTGCCTTGAACAGACAATTTAGTAACAGTACCCTTTTATGTGGCCATCAACAAAGAAATAATCAGCTGGGCACAGTGGCTCATGCCTGTAATCCTAGCACTTTGGGAGGCCGAGGCGGGTGGATCACCTGAGGTCAGGAGTTCAAGACCAGCCTGATCGACATGGCGAAACCCTACCTCTACTAAAATTACAAAAATTAGCCAGGCATGGTGGCGGGCACCTGTAATCCCAGCTACTCGGGAGGCTGAGACAGGAGAATTGCTTGAACCCTAGGTGGCAGAGGTTGCAGTAAGCCAAGATTGCGCAACTTCACTCCAGCCTGGGTGACAGTAAGACTCTGTCTCAAAAACAAACAAATAATCTACCTAGTTGAGGATTAAAGAGCAAAGGACTTTGATACTGTGTCTGCTGCCTAGCAGTTTCCAAAATGGCTTCTCTAAAGCCATCTCATGAGGAGAAAAGAAGATTAAGTTCCTTTTGAGTGTCCTTAGTGTGAAAATAAAGTCACTGCCTCATTCATCATTTTGTTAAATTTGTGATACCCAAGTTAGTATTATAAAACCTTTGTTTGTCTTAATCCTTTCTTTAAAGTATTACTATTTCAGAATTCTTTGATATACCCAAATTCTCCTTAACCTGTTGCGGACATTGACCAAATGGTGATTGATGGGTGTAAGAAATACATGCGAAAAACGTGTGGCGATGTCTTAGACAATCTTAAAGGAGACTGCTATCAGGTAATTGTTTTCTGGATAATGTAGTTTTAAGTGAACTAATAATATAAGTTATTGATCAGAATTGTGCCTTATTAAAACAGCTTTTAGTATAGTTGGTTGAGAAGATAAATACATCATCTGTCTCTTCATATGAGTTATATGTATATTTGTATTTAGGGTGCACACGTACCAATGATGGGAAAGCACCAACTCCAGATTCTCTGAATTAAATAAAATTAATTCTTTTTTTTTTTATTATACTTTCAGTTCTACGGTACATGTGCAGAATGTACAGGTTTGTTACATAGGTATACACGTGCCATGGTGGTTTGCTGCACCTATGAACCCATCATCTAGGTTTTAAGCCCTGCATGCGTTAGGTATTTCTCCTAATGCTATCCTTCCCCTAGCCCCCTACCCCCGATCGGCCCCGGTGTGTGATGTTCCCCTCCCTGTGTCCATGTGTTCTCATTGTTCAGCTTACACTTAGGAGTGAGAACATGCGGTGTTTGGTTTTCTGTTCTTGTGTTAGTTTGCTGAGAATGATGGTTTCCAGCTTCATCCATGTCCTTGCAGAGGACATGAACTCATTCTTTTTTATGGCTGCATAGTATTCCATGGCATATATGTGCCACATTTTCTTTATCCAGCCTATCCTTAATGGGCATTTGGGTTGGTTCCAAGTCTTTGCTATTGTGAATAGTGCCGCAATAAATATACGTGTGCATGTGTCTTTATAGTAGAATGACTTATAATCCTTTGTATGTATACCCAGTAATGTGATCGCTGGGTCAAATGGTATTTCTAGTCCTAGATCCTTGAGGAATCGCTACGCTGTCTTCTACAATGGTTGAACTAATTTACACTCCCACCAACAGTATAAAAGTGTTCCTATTTCTCCTCATCCTCTCCAGCATCTGTTGCTTCCTGACTTTTTAATGATGGCCATTCTAACTCCAGCTTGGGCTGCAGAGCGAGAATGTCTCAAAAAAAAAAAAAAATCTTAATAAAAAAAAAAACCTTAATAATAATAATAAAAAAGAAACCTTAGTAGTAAAAATCAAGTAGTACACAAAGCTAAAGATTGCTTTTACATATGTACAAAATTTCCAAGTAAAATAATAAGCTAAATCTGGCAAATTAAGTCTATATTATGCTCAAGTAGGATTTAGTTAGAAGTGTAAAGATTTCAATTTTAAGAAATCTGTCAACTTAATTCGTTAGGTGAATAATTTAAAGGAGGAAAATAACAGATGACAAAGAATTTGAGAATATTTAGCAGTCATTTTAAATAAAAACTAATGCAGTATAGCCATGTAAAATTAGCCAGGTGTGGCGGCGTGTGCCTGTAATTCCAGCTACATGGAAGGCTGAGGCAGGAGAATCGCTTGAACCCGGAAGGTGGAGGTTGCAGTGAGCTGAGATTGCACCACTGCACTCCAGCCTGGGCAACAGAGGGAGACTGTCTCCAAAAAAAAAAAAAAATATATATATATATATATATATATTTCCATCTAACAAATCTGTACATGTACTTCCTGAATCTAAAATAAAAGTTAAATTATAAATTACTTGAATAAAATAAAATTGCAATAGAGATGAAACTACCTGAACGTTAATAGAAACTTAGGTTGTGGTAAATAGAAAAATAGAAAATATAATAGATAGCAAAAGCCATTTCCACTGAAAATAGGAAGAAGATGAGGATGCCTATTATCTTTTTCAACATTATTTTTTGAGGTAGCTGAGATAGTAAAGTAGATGAAAACAGTATAAATCTAATTATTTGTAGATGATGTGAATACTAGAAAATCCAGGAAACTTACGTAGGAAATTATTTGAATTAATGAGAATTTGATAAAGTGATTGGATAAAGCCAGCCTAGATTTTTTCTCTATACTAAATGCTAACTCATTTAAATAGGATTTCCTTCCCACCCATTTCCTTTCAAAGTAATCAAGTGTTAAATTCCTAGGAATATATTTAACAAGAATGGTATTGTGAGACTGGTATGAATTATGTTAAGATGTTATTGAAAGACATCAAAGTCTGAATATGTGGAGAGGCATGCTGTATTTCTTGTATTGAAAGAACAGGCCGGGCTTGGTGGCTCACCTGTAATCCCAGCACTTTGGGAGGCCGAGGTGGGTGGATCACTTGAAGTCAGGAGTTGGAGAACAGCCTGGTCAACATGGTGAAATCCTGTCTCTACTAAAAATACAAAAATTAGCCCGACGTGGTGGTGGGTGCTTATAATCCAGCTACTCTGGAGGCTGAGGCAGGAGAATTGCTTGAACCCGGGAGGTGGAGGTTGCAGTGAGCCAAGATTGCACCACTGCACTCCAGCCTGGGTGGCAGAGCAAGACTCCGTCTCAAAAAAAAAAAGGAACAATGTCTATTCTTCCCAATTTATTATGAGTAATCCCAAGGAGGGGGGAGGGGTTTAAAAGTAGACCAACTGATTTTGAAGTTGATTTGTAAAAATAAGTATCTAAGAATACCCAAGAAAACTTGAAAAAAGAATCATAGTGTGAAGCGAAATATGTCCTATTTGTTGTTAATGTACTATAAGGCACGATAATCAAATAGGAAGTATGAAAGGAATACACAAGGACCTAGGAATGTCAAAGGAACTTGAACAGGTCTGAGTATGTATTCCTACACACTGCTAATATGGTCTAAGATACATTTCAGTTGACTTGGGAAAAGCGTTAGTTGAGTTAGTGTGTGATGCCGGTATAAGAAGTTATCCATCTGCATGAGAACCAAGTTAGCTAACAATAGAAATAGGAATTTTGGTGACTTAGGCTCTAAATGTAAAAACTAATACATTTAAGACAATTTAGAGTACTTAACCTTGGAGTTCAGAAATCTCTTAAAGATAGGACACTCAAACTGTTAATGGTATTATAATGTTGTCATTACCAAGCCAAAAGTCAGACTAGAAGAAAGACTAGTAACAAGCATGACAGGGAATTGATCCCTTGAATAATGCAGAGTCCCTACAACTTAGAAATGAAGTTAGCTAAATTTAAAAAGGTATAGAGGATATTTACTGGTACTTCTCAGAATAAGTCAAATAACCTGTAAAAAGTACCACAAGACAGGCCGGGCGCGGTGGCTCACACCTGTAATCCCAGCACTTTGGGAGGCTGAGGTGGGCGGATCACGAGGTCAGGAGATCGAGACCATCCTGGCTAACATAGTGAAACCCCGTCTCCACTAAAAAAATACAAAAAAAAATTAGCTGGGCGTGGTGGCGGGCACCTGTAGTCTCAGCTACTCGGGAGGCTGAGGCAGGAGAATGGCGTGAACCCGGGAGGCAGAGCTTGCAGTGAGCCCAGATCGCATCACTGCACTCCAGCCTGGGCGACAGAGCAAGACTTGTCTCAAAAAAAAAAAAAAAAAAAAGTACCACAAGACGGTCAACCCTGTTGGTGGCCCAGGAAGTTCTTGTGAAAACATTAGCAACAGACTTCACAAAATTTAGTAGAGGGGCAATATCTCATGCTGGGGAGGTTGTGGGGAGACAGGTGCTCATATGCATTGCTGGTTGGCGTGTGAATTGCTATCAAAACCGGAACACACGGCTTCTAGCCGGTGTTTGAGCACACAGCCCACAGTTAAAAAGGTGTCACTACAAGGTTTTATTATAGCTGTGCTTGTAGTGACCAAGGCTTGGCAATGACAACAGAAAGAATGTTTTTAGTGGAATGGTGTATTTTTTAAAATGTGTGTTATTACCTGGAGAGATGTTGGGTGAAATGTTCAAGTTCCAAATGATGTGTGGGATTCAAATTTTACAAAAGAGAACATACATTTGTGTTTGTGTGCAAGTATTCGTAAGAATCTGTGTGAACGTATGGAAAAAATATGAGCATATCAAACAGGATTAATACATGGATTGAAAGCAACGGTGGTGTTAGTACCTCCTATATTTTTCCATAGTTGGACTTGTATGATGCATTGAGGCAAGTTATAAAACAATAGGACAGAAAAGTCCCAGTTTCTTAAAATTATAACTGTGAGGCTATAAGAAGAATGATGAGAAATAACATGGGATAGGTTATCTTAGGGAATTGTGGTGAACTTTTTTTAATTTTTTTTGAGTCAAGGTCTTGCTCTGTCACTCAGGCTGGAGCACAGTGGTGCGCGATGATCATGGCTCACTACAGCCTCAAACTCCCGGGCTCAAGCGATCCTCCCACCTCAACTTCCTGAGTAGCCGGGACTACAGGCAGATACCACTAGGCCCAGCTGATTTTTCTTTTTTTTCTAGAGACGGGCTTTCACCATGTCGCCCAGGCTGCTCTAGTACTCCTGGGCTCCATTGTTCCGCCCACCTCAACTTCCCAAAGTACTGGGATTACAGGTGTTGGGCCACTGACCCCAGCCTGGCAAACTCTTAAACTCTTGGTTTCTGACTATTATATTTAATTTTTCTTTTACTTAATGTATTTTTTTTTTGAATTAGAAAACTAAAAGATGACAGTAACTCCTGTTTAGTTCAGGATGTTGCTTAGATCCAGATGTGTCCCCAGCATAGAGCCTCAGTACTTCAAAGATACAGCCAACCTCAAACTTCTTTTCTGTGTTAACTATATATGATCTGTATGGGAATTCCAGCTGGTCTCTTTATTGACTCTGATGGTGGGAGCTGTTATATATAGCTTTATTAGCAGTAGCCCAAGCGTTAGAGAAAATTGAGAAATAACATGTTAATAGTTTGAGTAAGGTGCAAAAGTGAATCCATAAACAATGAAGTCATTCAGTGCTTAGTATAAAAGAAAAATTAGGCTGGGTACGGTGGCTCATGCCTCTAATCCCAGCACTATGAGAGTCTGAGGTGGGCAGATTGCTTGAGCCCAGGAGTTCAAGACCAGCCTGGGCAACGTAGTGAGACCCTGTCTCTAGAAAAACTTTTTAAAAATAGTTTATTAATTAAAAAAATAAAAATTAAAAGAAGATGATACAGATAGTGATAGGAGAGGCAGTATAGATTAGAGATGAAAGTATGAAGTTGGCTTTCAGATAGTAATAGGTATACTTCGTGGATCTATGGGCAAGCTGGATAACACCTCAAGTTTGTTTCTGCATTGGTAAAATGGGATGATAATAGTGCCTCTAGGATTGTTGTTTTATTGAAATGAGAAGGCATATAAAGCATATATGGTAAGCACTTAATTTTTGCTGTTAACAGACATAGATGAAAGTTTTTTGGTTCCTGTAGCAGTTGCTGTGGATAGCTGTGGATATAAGCCCATACTTGGCGCTTTTTTCCTCCTTCCTTTACTATTGTTTTTTGTTTAACTACATCCACATGTTGGCTCACTCATCTATTCCTGTTCTTTCTGGAAGGTTCTAATAGAAGACTGTATCCCGGTACTGAAGAGGTACGCCAAAGAAGGGAGAGAATTTGATTATGTGATTAATGATTTGACAGCTGTTCCAATCTCCACGTCTCCAGAAGAAGGTAGATTTTTTTAACCAAGATATTTATGATGGAAATGTTTCTCTTGGCACCATGTGAGGGTGAAAGGATCCTAGAGATTGTGTAGTTCTCTCACGTTTTTGAAAAAGGGAGTTAAATTGAGGTCCATGGTGGAAAGATGACTGGATTTGGCTTCAATTCCTGTTCTGCCACTCAATGAGTGAACTAATTCAGTCATTTGAAACAAAAATGAAGTAAAATGACTCATTACATTAATGAGACAGTAAATCATTTGACAATTTATTTAAATTATGTGATTTTCAACCTGTATTGGTACAAACTGGTCACTTATCTAAGCAACGACATAGATAATTCCCTTTCTCAAACCAGATGTTTGTTCCAAATCACAGCTAGTTCGTGTTTTTTTCTATAAACTCAAGTTCCTGCTGAGTTTGCAGGCTCTGAATTTCTCTCAGGATTTTGCTGCTTGCCCCCTTATTTAAAGCAGTTTTCTTTCACGTTTCAGCCACTGCCTTTGTGTCAAATCTATTGGTATTTTGAGAGCGAGCAGTGCTAGGTGGATGTGATTTTGGCATCCAAAATCAATTTCATTATCGTTCATGAACAAGCTCTTTGAATAGTGGGTCTTACACTCGTGGCTCTTTTTCTTTTTCCTCTTTTGGTATTGAGTATTCGAATATTTTACTTCAGATGTTGTGGATACATACAAACCCATATTTATGAAACTTGTTCTTTTAAACATTCAGATTCCACATGGGAGTTTCTCAGACTGATTCTTGACCTCTCAATGAAAGTGTTGAAACAGGATGGGAAATATTTTACACAGGTAGGCTACTTAACAGTTTTTTCCCTCAAAACGCTCTAAGACTTTCCTGTTTTGAAATCTGAATGCACATTTTTGAAATGTATATCTATTAAGGATAGAGCGGCATCATCGGATTATGTTCTTTCAAACAGTAAGCTTCTACGTTGACCTGTTGTCTGTTGGGAATTAATGAGTTATCAGCCCTGGTCTTTCGCTGTAGTATGAGCTGCTGCCACCAGATGGAGACACAGACTGATTTTCTTTTTTCCCCTCCCCTCATCAACATACACTTGATGACAAAGCTCTGGCTGTACTGTGAACTCCTGCCACCAGATGGAAGCAGATTGTGGTGTTTTTCTCATTCTCTAGGGGATTCTAAACTTAAACTTTAAAGATTACATTAATTGGGGTTAAAAATATACATATATATCTCCTATTGAAATCCTTAACAAAATTTTGAAAATGACAGCAAAGACAGCTAATTGATAATCCAGTCTCTTGGTACAAAATTCCTTGATGCATAAACATAAGATAAGCACTTATGTAGCATTGCACTCTGGATCTCTGAATTATTCTGAGTTTACAGGAAAATCCCCTCCGCCATTTTTTAAAAAAAGTACTGCCAGCCTGGACAACATAGTAAGACTCCATTTCTACAAAAAGTTTAAAAAATTAGCTGGGTATGGTGGTGCATGCCTGTAGTCCTAACTCTGGAGGCTGAGGTGGGAGGATTGTTTGAGCCTGGGAGGTTGAAGCTGTAGTGAGCTGTGATCGTGCCACTGCCCTCCAGCCTGGGTGACAGAGTGAGACCTTGACTCAAAAATAAACACAGTATTAGTATACTGTATTTAAAAGTCAGGAAGAGGCCAGGTGTGGTGGCTTACGCCTGTAATCCTAGCACTTTGGGAGGCCGAGGCAGTTGGATTATCTGAGGTCAGGAGTTCGAGACCAGCCTGGCCAACATGGTGAAATCCCGTCTCTACTAAAAATACAAAAATTAGCCAGGCATGGTGGCAGCAGCCTGTAATCCCAGCTACTCAGGAGGCTGAGGCAGGAAATTGCTTGAACCTGGGAGGCAGAGGTTGCAGTGAGCCGAGATTGCACCACTGTACTCCAGCCTGGGCCATAGAGCAAGACTACATCTCAAAAAAAAAAAAAAAAAAAAAAAAAAAAGTCAGGAACAGGTAGAGGTTTTCACTTTAACCTTCTGAGGAGGTGTCTGCCAGCAGACCCTATCCTGGACATTTTATGGAATCTGAGATTACTAATGCTGAAAACAACTTAGCATTTCTGAGAGACATCTTGATTCAGGCTCCAGCCTATCCTGTTGTTCCCCTCTTCCCTCTGCGTGCAAGACCTGCAAGCACATTGTGCTTAATCTTGGACTTTGCGCTTGGCAAAATTGTTCAGAGGCTTTGAGGACAGCAAAGCACTATCAATGAATGGAGTGTCTCTGCCCCCCACAACATTTAGAAATGATTTTTACAGACATGCTGTAGATGGATATAACTATTTAAAGCAGGAGTCTGCAAACATTGGGCCAAATCTGGCCTCCTGCTTGCATGTTTGTAAAGTTTTCTTGGCATGCAGACACGCCCATTTATTACATAGTGTCTGTGGCTGCTTTTGTACTGAGTAGTTGTGGTAGATACTGTATGATCTGCACAGCCTAAAATATTTTCTATCAGACCCTTTACAGAGAAAGTTTGCTGATCCCTGTCTTATAGGAAACCAGTGAAACCTGCTCAAATGAAGCTTTCTTATTGTAAAGAAGCAAGTTGGACTTATGATGGTTTTTTTTTTTTTTTTTGAGATGGAGTTGCGCTCTTGTTTCCCAGGCTGGAGTGCAATGGCGCGATCTCAGCTCACCGCAACCTCCACCTCCTGGGTTCAAGCGATTCTCCTGCCTCAGCCTCCTGAGTAGCTGGGATTATAGGCATGTGCCACCACGCCCGGCTGATTTTTTGTATTTTTAGTAGAGATGGAGTTTCTCTATGTTGGTCAGGCTGGTCTCGAACTCCCAACCTCAGGTGATACGCCCCCCTCGGCCTCCCAAAGTGCTGGGATTACAGGCGCGAGCCACTGCGCCCAGCCATGATGGGTACTTTTTAAGCAGAGCATATGGAAATTTTTTCTTTTCATTTTTTTGAGGTAAGTTCTTGGTCTGTAGCTTAGGCTGGAGTGCAGTGGCACAGTGGCACTCATTGCAGCCTCAACCTCCCAGACTGAAGTGATCATCCTGCTTTGCCCTCCCAAAGTGCTGGGATTTCAGGCATCCATTGCCATGCCTGGCTAATTTTTGTAGAGATGAGGTCTCACTATGTTGCCCAGGTTGGCCTTAAACTCCTAGATTCGAGTAATCCTCCTCCATCAGCCTCCTGAAGTGTTGAGATTACTGCCATGAGTGACCGTGCCCAGGCAGAATTTTTTCTTTTAGGTTTCTGCAAATACATAAAAGGAAATCTCAAGCAGCTTAAATTAATCAAGGAAAAATGTGAGGCTCTGGGATCTTGAACAAAAAGAGACTGAAAAAAATTTGGATCCACTACAAACTAGTCAGTCTGTAGTACAAAAGGCAGGACAAAAGAAGACAGCCACACTAAGTCCACCTGTTGTCTACTACAGCCGAGTGGCTGTTCTTCTTTTGTTCTGAATATTGGCATGGCAGGCTGCCTCCTATGGAGAGCTGTTATCTTAGTATGAAAGGCTAATAGAATACTTGCTTAGAATACTACCACAGCCCATTTGTGAATATTAATGACCCAGGCTTTGATATCTTGCCTTTGCCAATAGACTTTTTACCAAAATCAAAAGGATTGTATGCCCAGGGCTGTCTTGGTTTCTAAGAATTGTCCAAAAGACATATGACATGTTTTCTGTCCCCATGTTCATTACAGTTGGAACCACAAAACAGTCTCATTATGTAACACCTGGGGTTCATTCAGTACATTTGGTGATTGACACTGTCACATGGTAAGATTTATGTGGACCGGCATGTATAGCCCTTTCAAGAAGTAGTAATTAAGTCAAAAAGCAAGTGATTTGACTCAGGATGTGTTGATGTAGTTGCCACAGTGCAGTTTTTTTTTAACTGCCAGGTGACACGCTTAGGAGGTAACCCAGATTCTTGGCATGCCCACCCGCTTTGCCCAAGTGTGCAGCTTAGAACTGGAGTCAGGTTGGCCGGGTGCGGTGGCTCACGCCTGTAATCCCAGCACTTTGGGAGGCCGAGGCAGGAGGATCACGAGATCAGGAGATAAAGATCATCCTGGCTAACGTGGTGAAACCCCGTCTCTACTAAAAATACAAAAAATTAGCCGGGCGCGGTGGCAGACGCCTGTAGTCCCAGCTACTCGGGAGGCTGAGGCAGGAGAATGGCGTGAACCCAGGAGGCGGAGCTTGCAGTGAGCCGAGATCACGCCACTGCAGTCCAGCCTGGGCAAGAGGGAGACTCTGTCTCAAAAAAAAAAAAAAAAAAAAAAAAAAAAAAGGAGTCAGGTTAAGGGTGGGATGAAAATGTTGTGTTTTACAAAAGCTAAATGTTCCCACCCAAAACTGCTAGCTGTGAGTTCGTGATGTCATTGGTTTTACTGTGGCTGCCTGAAGGCAGCCTTGTCAGCATCCCAGGAAGCTGGGGAATGCATCGTGGAGGGACGTGGGAATCAAAGTGGGCCAATAGAATTTGAATTGGGGAGGAAGTGTTTTCATGGAACCTAGGAGGCGGATCCTGGGACTTGACCTTCCTCTCTTGTCTCCCCACAGCCCCATTTAAAAAAAACTGTAAGTTATATTTCTCTCTCCTTTCTGCTTGCCTTCTAGAAGCAACCCATCTTTGGTCTCACTTTTTTCCATTTCTGCATTTTATAGATGGTTCTTACATGTATGATTTCCTAAATCATTATACTATTTAATTTTACTTGCTTTTGAACTGGATAAAAGTTGCTAAGGATGTATTCTTCTGTACCTGTTACTGAGGTGTCATGTGCCTGTAATCCTAACTACTCAGGAGGATTGCTTGAGCCCAGGAGTTCGAGGACAGCCTGGGCAACATAGTGAAGACCCCACCTCTAAAATAAACAAAAGCAAATGTCACCTGTCCACACCTAACATGGGGAAAAGAACTTTCTAGAACTGAAGCTATCGAATTTGGATTTAATCCCATAGTGAAGCCTCAAAGGGGTAAAGAAACCAATGACTAATAAAATCTGGACTTTGCAGGATTACGGGTAAAAAAAGAAACAGCTTGCTGAAACACTGAAACTCCCTCCACTTAAGAGAGAAAATCATTGGCTAAAATCTGTTAAAACCAATATGGCCAATTAGAATTTGCATAGAACAAGCTTGCTGATGTCACAGCCTAAGTTTCCACCACTTGCTTCATGCTAACCACTTCCCCGCCCTCAAGTTTGCACACAAGACCCATTAGTGGGCATAAAGAAATAACTATACACGCCTGAGGATTTTCCAGATCTACCCTTTGCTTTCCATCCACGAATCAATCACCTGCACATCTCAGAACCTACCCTTTAAACTTTTTTTTGTTGTTGTTGTTGAGACAGAGATGGAGTCTCACTCTGTGGCCCAGGCTAGAGTACAGTGGCTTGATCACTGCTCACTGCAACCTTTGCCTCCCGGGTTCAAGCACCTCTCCTGCCTCAGCCTTCCGAGTAGCTGGGATTACAGGTGTGAGCCACCACACCTGGCTAATTTTTGTATTTTTAGAAGAGATGGGATTTCACCATGTTGGCCATGCTGCTCTCGAACTCCTGACCTGAAGTGATCTGCCTGCCTCTGCCTCCAAAGTGTTAGCATTATAGATGTGAGCCGCCACACCTGGCCCCTTAAACCTTTTCTAATAAAAGGACTGCCCGTAAGCCCAACACAGGGAGACATATTTAAGCTGGACTCCTGTCTCCTTGTTAGTTGACTTACAATAAAAAGCTTTTCTTAGGCCAGGCACGGTGGCTTATGCCTGTAATCCCAGCATTTGGGGAGGCTAAGGCGGGAGGATTGCTTGAGGCCAGGAGTTTGAGGCTGCACTGAGCTATGTTCACAGCGCTGTACTTCAGCCTGGGCAACACAGCAAGACCCTGTCTCTGAAAAGAAATTAAAATAAGCTTTGCTTTTCTTAAAACCCCAGTGTCCTAATATTGACTTCAAGCACATTGGGCAGTGAGCCCCTTTTTCTTCGATAGTGCCAGGTGTGACCCCACCCCTTGTTCCATCCCTTCTTCTTATCCTTAATGAGTGCTTAATTCTTTGCTATTAGATTTTTATTCTGCATCTCCCATTTGTTTCTCTTAAAAAGAAAAAATGTCATTCCATTTAAATAGACAGGAAAGTGAAATGTATCATGTTACTTTTTTGGGGTAGGTGTCTATTTGTGGTGTGTGTTTTCTTCTTTGAAACTTCTTGACAATGTTGGGAAAGAACAAATTGAAACTTTCCTATTTTCTTACCACAGTCTGTGTAAGGAAGTCTTCCCATATAACCTCTATAAAGAGAGAGTGTGGTGTCAATTTTAAGATGGCAAAGCCATTTACTGTGCACCTTGGTGGCATTTTCATTCTATAGCTTCCCCAGTGGTGATGTGTTCTAAAAACAACTGGGCAGTTTTCTATTTGTGAATCTTAAATTACACGTGTGGTGTTTATATGCTCTTACGGTGAACTTGATGTTGAAACCAAATTACATGCTGGCGAAGGGCACTTTGGCCATGGCCATATCCCACTGCAGGACCCTAGATGATGGGTTACTAAACAGGCTGACACTGAAGGATGACGTCACGTTGAGTGAATGTGCTAAGTTAAAACCACCAAGGCCAGCTCTCAGAATAGTTCTAACCTCTTGCCCGTGACTAGCTGGCTGGTTGGTTTTGAAAGCCATTCTCAGGAGTTCTTACATCACAGGCTGCCTTTATTTGTAAATAATTTTCATCTTGCATTATACTTGGCTATTTTGAGGCAAATTAATAGTAACTTTTTTTTTTTCTGAATTGGAGTTTCGCTCTTGTTGCCCCGGCTGGAGTGCAGTGGCGCCATCTCGGCTCACTGCAACCTCCACCTCCTGGGTTCAAGCGGTTCTTCTGCCTCAGCCTCCCGAGTAGCTGGGGTTACAGGCGCATGCCACCACGCCTGGCTAACTTTTGTATTTTTTAGTAGAGACAGGGTTTCACCATGTTGGCCAGGCCGGTCTCAAACTCATGACCTCAGGTGATCCACCTGCCTCAGCCTCCCAAAGTTCTGGGATTACAGGCCTGAGCTAGCATGCCCAGCGAACAGTAATTTTCTTAAGAAACGGAATCAGCCACCTGGATTCAGTAGTCTTGTGAATACCAACTTCAGAGATTAAAAGGAAATAGGCGGTATTAAATACCACTTTCGTTTTCTAAATTCATAATGAAAAGCATTTGGGGAAAATTGTGCTAAGAGGATGATAAATGCTTCCCTAGACTTAATCCAAATCTACATTTTAACAAGATCCCCTATGATATCATATGTACATTAAGGTGTAAGAAGCATTGCTCTAGAGTTAGGCAAATACTGTATCCATTCAGCAGCTCTGCTATACCTTGGCTGGCATCTCTTGATTATCTTCACCTTTTTTTTCCTTGTGGTCACAGGATGGCTGCTGCAGCTCCAAATATCACATCTAGGTCATAGCTTAGAAGAAAGTTGAAGAGGCCGGTGGCTCTTTCTTTGTTCAGAATCAAAAGCTTTTCCAGCAGCTACCAGCAGACTTCCAGTATATCTCATTGACTACCCCTAGCTGCTGGAGATGCTGAAAATGGGGTGACTGGGAAGGGAGAAATGTTAGAATAATGAAGTTAAGAGAAAGTTTTTGATAAGGTGTGCAACTAGGGGATATCCCTATCGTATATATCCTGAATAAACTTTTGTTCTCTTATACACAGATTCTAGGAAAAAAATGGGGGTGAATATAGTTCTGTGTCAACATTTTAGACTCTTAGGAGAATTGTAGTTTAAACCATTGTGGAAATCAGGAACACTATATTTTTGATACTTCATTTGTAATATAATGGTGACCGTTATTGAGAAAATTTCCTTTGAATGAGTTATTTGTATGAATCTTTGCAAATTGCATGGTTTTAATTCAGTGAGTGTCACTAATAAGAAATTGGTTTCACTGCTTTCTATCATTTCATATTCTAATAATTTGAAATGGCTTGGTAAATGAGGTAGAAGGATAACGAGCTCTAATGGGTCTATAAATAGAATGCAGTGTGATTTGTGAAAATACAGAAGCCTTATCTTGTTTTTAAAGATGAACTTTTATCTAAAGCTAGAATTGTTCTCCTTTATTAAAGACCTTCAGATGAGTGGGGCCCTTGGAAGGACTCAAGAATCCCATTTGCTTATCTCTCTTTGATTTAGGGGAACTGTGTCAATCTGACAGAAGCACTGTCGCTCTATGAAGAACAGCTGGGGCGCCTGTATTGTCCTGTGGAATTTTCAAAGGAGATCGTCTGTGTCCCTTCATACTTGGAATTGTATCCTTTGACCGTGACATTCTGTTGCCAGATCAAAGCACCCAAGTAAATCATATGCCAATGAAAAAATTTAAATCACAATAATAAACAATTAGCTTAGCCATAGAGTATATAAAGCCCTGGTTCTCCAGCTTAGGTGCACATTGGAATCCCCTGAGAAGCTTTAAATAAAATCTGAGATTCTAGACTTCCATTCTCAAAAGTTTTGGGGTCTGGCTTGCCACAGCTTTCCAGGTGCTTTTAATGATCAAGCACTACTGGTCTAAAGCATTGGTTCTCAAAGGTGTTGCCAGACCTGCAGCATCGCTCAAGAACTAGTTAGACATGGACATTCTCAAGCCCCACCCCAACCTGCTGCCCAATCAGAGGAATTCTGGAGGTGGGGGCCCAGTGACCTGTTCTACCAGCCCTCCCAGGGATTTATGTGCACCTGAAAAGTTTGAGAAGCCCTAGTCTAAAATAACCACCCTACCTGTGGCAGGTAAAATGTCTAAAGACACTCATTCTACTCTTACATTAAAATAACCTGACATTAATACTAGTTTCTACACTTGATGCTAATTTGCAACAGAAATCGAGAACTAGAATGATGTTGGGGACTGCACGGTTAACATTGGTGTTCTCTGTTAGTTCCGCTTAGTAAAGTTAGTCTAGAGAAGTAAAACACAGAAAGAAAAAAGGAAATGAGCATTATCATTGGAAATTTGTGCCGCAACACAGCTGTGGGCTGTAGTCTGCAGATGACGGCTTCCTTATCTGCTGTTGCCAAGTCCAGGTTCCTGTGACGGCAGGGTTTTTTTGCTGTCAAGGGAGCAACTGCTGCTGACCTCCAGTGAGGCCTGGTCCCATCAGGCTGGGGCAGAGCCCGACGGGGCAAACTGCCTGCTGAGACCAGATGGCCAGCAAGAGGCAATGAGAACCCTCTAGATCCTCCATGTGAGGAGGGGAGTACTCCGCCTGCTGGGTGGCCGTGTCCCTCCACAGCCTGTACAGAGCTTCAGCATCTCCTACCAACTGTCCACCTTTGTTTAGGGTTCCCCTCAGCATTTTTGTCAGGCCTGTGTTTGCATGTTGGGAGATTTGAGAAATCAGTTGATAACATTTGAGGCAAAGTCTTCCACCTGCTAGTTCTTCTCTCTCCCTCCTTCCTTCCCTCTCCTTTCCTCCTCTGACCTTTTTTCCCTCTCCTCCTCCTTCCCTCTCCTCCTCCTGCCCTCTCTTCCCTCCCCCTTCTCTCCCTTGTATCTCCCGCTACCCTAACTTTCCCTCCCTCCCTCCTTTCCCCCTTCCTTCCTTTCCTTCTCATACTAATTCCCTAAAACTTGTGAGACTTTGGAAGCAGTAGTGTTACCTGAGAGAATATTTGTGTTCCTTTAGCCTTCTGTTGTCTACTCAGTACCTCCTTCAGACCTCCCAGGTGGTGAGGATGTCCCCAGGCTGCAGAGTGGCCTTATTCAAAGTCCTTCGTTCTCATTCCCACAGTGCTCTAAGCCATGAAGCTTTTCATCCATCTTTCAATTTGTAGGCCAGCAAACGAATTACAAGTGATGTCTTTTCTTCCTTGAATTACCTGCTTTTATTCCTTGACTCCCTGTCCAGGTGGGTATTTTACACTGTTTGGAA
Organism: Homo sapiens; assembly: GCF_000001405.40. Classification (NCBI taxonomy): domain Eukaryota; kingdom Metazoa; phylum Chordata; class Mammalia; order Primates; family Hominidae; genus Homo; species Homo sapiens. The sequence goes on from NC_000023.11 coordinate 21,994,336, forward strand.
GAAAGCTAAACCCTGAAGATCAGTAGCCCCTAATCACATGTGCTGCAAATAGCCTTCCTGACCTCCATATGCTGTACATGACATCAAAATGAGTCAGGCAATTGATTGTGAATTCCTTAAAGTTTTCCTTTTTTTAATAATTATTTTTAATTTAAAAAAGCAAATGGAAAATGTATATTTTGATGAGCTTAGGGTGTTTTTTTTTTGAAAGTCAGCTGAAGGATGGTTAGACAGCACAGCGAAGACTGCTAAATGCACTGACCCCCCCCATTAGAATGTGATTTTTGTTCCTTTTTATTTCTCTGTGGGCTTTTGTTTTTGTTTTTGTTTTGGTAGATCTTCAATTTGGATATTTGGAGGAGTGAACATCGTTGTTTTGCTGGAGGGAAGATCTTGATGGTGTTTCTTTCCCCAAAAATTGACTTAGATATTAAAATTTGGTGCTTATAAGAGAGAGTTAAAAAAAAATAGGATTGCTTCAATTAAAATTACAAAAGAGACATTTTGTGTGTTCTGTCGTTTTATTTCAGCCCAGTCCCCTCTTTCTGACTTGTGATCTCATAGAGCAACAGTATCTCCTGGTCTGTTTTTAGTTCTGTCACTCGATGTCATTTATCTCTTTATAATAGGATGGCCCCGGGGCCTTTTTTGAACAGTAGTAATGACTTCATTTGCCACCGTGCTAAATGATACACAACCTATTACATTCACCAGTCCTTCATTATACCATTGACCTGAGGCTAGCAAGAGATTTTGTCTGACTGTAAAGTTGAAAGTCAAAAGCTTATTTCTGGTCCCACTCTTAGCAGTGTATTAGATGTGGAAATAAAAGTCATTTTGGGTAGCTGCTATGAAACTTTCTGAGCAGATTCTTGGCTGCACCGATGTATGACAGAATTTATGGAGAGGCCTATGGCAATATGAGCAACTTGAAAACTCCTAAGGAAGTGCAGGTAGCTAACAGCTTGGTGTGGTGTGTGTGGGTAACAATCCACATCAAAAGTGAGCTTTACATTGACTTGGATTGTTAGACATCAGTGGGTTATTCTGTTGTTTTTATAAAAGGTTTATACTGTATCAATGGAATGAGTCATTTATGATGAATTTGCAATAAGCAAAGCATTAAAAATGAAATATTCAGTGTCCATTTTGAGGTAGAATTGGTGTCAACACAGAACGTTCTTCCTCTCAAGGTGTAGGAATCAATAGTATGGTATTTAAAAAAAAAAAAAAAAATTTTTTTTTTGAGACAGCGTCTTGGTCTGTCACCCAGGCTGGAGCGTAGTGGCCTGACATTTTTTTTCTTAAATGAGTGAATGTCTACTTTTTCTTTTTCTTTCTTTCTTTTTTTTTTTTTTTTTTTTTTTTTTGAGACAGTCTTGCTCTGTCGCCCAGGCTGGAGCATAGTGGTACAATCTCTGCTCACTGCAACCTCTGCCTCCCAGGTTCAAGCAATTCTCCTGCCTCAGGCTCCCGGGTGGCTGGGATTACAGGCGCCGGCCACCATACCCAGCTAATTTTTGTATTTTTTAGTAGAGACGGGGTTTTGCCATATTGGCCAAGCTGGTCTTGAACTCCTGACCTCAGGCGATTGGCCCACGTCAGCCTCCCAAAGTGCTAGGATTACAGGTGTGAGCCACCACACCCGGCCGCCTACTTTTTCTTTGTATTAGATTGTCATGGAAGAAGATGAAGAAGAAAGGAGTTAGTCATGTTGTAATTAGATAGACTTAACTTAAATTTTTCTTGTGCACATAGGTTAAAAATAGCATTAGTAGACATTCTCCCCATCCCCTCCAACTCTACTATAGTGCTTTGCAAAGCTCTGTGTACTGTGTAAGATATAAAATGATGGTACTGTTACTGTAGAACACTGTTTGGGAGTCAATAGAATTGGATTTTTTTCTACTTTATAAAAGAAACCAGGTATATGTACCTGCTGTCTGGATATCGTGTTTTTAATAACTGGGCATGACTTTGTACTTGAAGACTAGCTTGAGGCTGGGGCAGCAGATCCACTGATAAATCTGTTGACACAAGTCCTGCAAAGACCTGAGAGGTGGAAATGAGTGGATCAGGTTGTGCCAGGCCATGGGAGATAGATTCAGGAGACAGTAAGGGATGTGGAATAGGAAAGAAAGGAATGGAAATATCTGTCTTTTCATTTAGGGTGATAATAGTGAATTTTGACCCAACTCACTTCTTTGTGTTGGAGAAAGGATGATGTATGTTTTGAACATCTTTGTTACTGTTTTAAAACAAAAGCATGCAAACTGAACTCTGAAAACTGAAAATCCCCTCTGCTTTTGCTGACTTTTAAAGAAATGTTATAAGATCTAGCATTGTTGTTTTACTTTAATGGCTGTAGTGTTATATAGTATTACAGTCTCCTTTATAACTTAAACTGGAATATACTGTAGTATCCTATAGCTGCTTTTTAATTAGAGACAAGACAAATATGACTGTTTAAAATTCCATTTAACACATCAGCAGATGTCAATAATTTATTTAAAAAGTGAAATGCTGCTTTCTCGTAGAAGTGTGATTGATTGAATATTTTAGAGACTTGACTAATGGTGATCCAGCGGGGCTAGAGGAAGGCTGGGTTGACAGTGTTTTTAATGGGCTGGAGCAGTGCTGATGTCGAAATAAAAATGTGCTAGTACTTCCTGTACAGTCTGCATAGTCACTTCCTTGCTTGCATTAACTATTGCTGACGCAAGACTTTGCATTTCTACCATCTGTCTCAGTAGATACATCAATTTCATTCTGGTCCCATGACTCCTGGGATAGGGTGGGGAATTGTGGGGGTGTGGGTTTTATGTTAAATATCACTGGCCTGTGTTCAAGGCTCTAGAGCAGGACCAGTCAAAAGTGTAGTTTGTCAACCAGCTCTTTGTTTTCTAAGCGCTGCACTTCAGCTGACCTGTTTTTCACAGCAAGACTCTCATTGAAAGAAGCAGTGTGCTGATTTTTCCCCGTGGCACAAGCTCCTTACCACATCTTGGAGCAGCATTTTTTTGAGACCGAGTTTTACTCTGTCACCCAGGCTGGAGTGCAGTAGCGCGATCTTGGCTCACTGCAACTTCCGCTAGAGTTCAAGCAAATTTCTCGTGCCTCAGCTTCCCGAGTAGCTGGGATTATAGGCGTGCGCTACCACACCTGACTATTTTTTTTTATTTTTAGTAGATACGGGGTTTCACTATCTTGGCCAGGCTGGTCTCCAACTCCTGGCCTCAAGTGATCTGCCCGCCTTAGCCTCCCAAAGTCCTGGGATTACAGGTGTCAGCCACTACGTCTGGCCTTGGAGCAGCAATATGAGTACTACTCTTCCAGAAGCCAGTTGGGCCGCATTATTGAATACCTAGTTCATAGATAAGAGCTGATATGTGACCTTGAAGAAGTACTCTATCTCCTTCAATTACCTTCTTGCCGCGTGTCTTTGTACTAAATCTTTAACCTTGCTGTTCTTTGGGCTAATAAACCACTTTCATTTACATTATCCTGCTCTGTCTTAAAACAGCTTTGTGAAGGAGATGTTAATAACACTAGGCAGGCTAGCAGTCCAAGTTTGAAATGTGCCTGAGGGTCCCGTGAATCCGGGTTCCAGCATTCTTAATTTCTAACATGGATGCTTCCATCAGAGGTGCTTAACTGTTTTTGTACCTTGGACTCATTCAGCAGCTGCCTGGTGAAACCTGTGAACTCCTTCTCAGAAACATTTTAAATACATAAAATAGGATTCCAAGAAACAAGTTAAATTTTCCAAAAACTTACGATAGAATATTTGTGCTGCTTTATTTGTTACATAGCTAGATCAAGTGGTGGGTCACACACCATAATTGTGAAGTAGTAATACGCATAAGATCTGTAGCAACTGAAATGTGATGAAAACACATTTGATTTGTTGACAAAGTTACAGGAACTGCTGTGTACTAACGTGGTTTGTCACCCGTGTTCATGCTTAAAGGAAATGCTAAATTTCAGTGGGAGTTAGTAAAGATAAAGATAGAAACATTTTCCCATCCAAGTTTATGGGGTCACAGAATTCTGTCCATAGGCCCCAGGTTAAGAAATCCTGACCTACAGTTTTTGCTTCCATTGTTTTCATTGTATTTGAGCGGTGGGGGAAGGGTAGGTGGGATCCCTTCACCGTTCTGTCAGAACCTGAAATCAACACTGGCAGATCAGTTCTCCTCAGCCAGAACCATTTAAAATCTCAATTACCTCATGTAGTCATCCTACTGATTTCTGCTTTACTCATTATTTCAAAAATGAAAAATAGAACATGGGCAAGAAATAGCCCAGTGCTTTTGGAAAGCTATTTGAATCCTCTTGGATGTGATTTCCCTGGGAAATTGGATGATAAATGTGACTGGACAGGTAGACTTAGCTCCTGTATCTGGGGGTCCTGGGATGCTCAGGCCAACTAATTAATGCAGACAGTTTTCCCATGTACCAACCAACCATGTGATCATTTCAGTGAGCAATTTTTTTATGATGAAGCATCAGGGAATAGACCCTTCTCTGTGCAACTTTGCACAGGAATGTAAAAATAAGTGAATTAGGCAGCCTTTCTAGGAAAGAAGCAGGCCAGGTATATTTTAATGGAAGGCCTCCAATATCCAGAGAAGGGAGGGTTGGGGGTTGCTCCACCCCATTTCCTAAAAAAGACTGGCAGGAGGTCAGTCTCTGTAGCCCTTGGCTTTGACCATAGAGTTACTTATTAGAGATCATTCCTAGTTCCACCTATTAGGGAATACTTTTTTCTTGACTTTGTTCTAAAATAGTCCTAATCTTGGTAAGTGATTATGATGGTAGCTTAGGTTCTTGCTGAGTGATTCAGACTGCTCCTGTCTGTTCATTGCTAAGGGACAGAAACACTCCTTGGACTTGGTCACGCACACAGCTCTACACTACATTCCATGTCCTCTTATACTTTCTAGATGTTCTGTCTTTCTCCAGTTTAAATTTGGCACCTGAAATTCCCCCTCTGTCCATCTTCCCAATGCTAAGGGGGAGCTTTTGCCAACATGTCCCATGCATTGCATGTTCCCTTCAGTGTTTATATTTTATAATCCTCATCCCATATCTACTGACGATGTATGTTTACTTTTTATTATTATACTTTAAGTTTTAGGGTACATGTGCACAACCTGCAGGTTTGATATATAGGTATACATGTACCATGTTGGTTTGCTGCACCCATCAACTTGTCATTTACATTAGTTATTCCTCTTAATGCTATCCCTCCCCCAGTCCCCCACCTCATGACAGGCCCCAGTGTGTGATGTTCCCCGCCCTGTGTCCAAGTGTTCTCATTGTTCAGTTCCCACCTATGAGTGAGAACATGGGGTGTTGGGTTTTCTGTCTTTGTGATAGTTTGCTGAGAATGATGGTTTCCAGCTTCATCCATGTCCCTACAAAGGACATGAACTCATCATTTTCTATGGCTGCATAGTATTCCATGGTGTATATGTGCCACATTTTATTAATCCAGTCTATCATCAATGGACATTTGGGTTGGTTCCAAGTCGTTGCTATTGTAAATAGTGCCGCAGTAAACATACGTGTGCATGTGTCTTTACAGTAGCATGATTTATAATCCTTTGGGTATATACCCAGTAATGGGATTCCTGGGTCAAACAGTATTTCCAGTTCTAGATCCTTGAGGAATCGCCACACTGTATTCCACAATAGTTGAACTAATTTACACTCTTACCAACAGTGTAAAAGTATTCCTGTTTCTCCATATACTCTCCAGCACCTGTTGTTTCCTGACTTTTTAATGATCGCCATTCTAATTGGCATGAGATGGTATCTCATTGTGGTTTTGATTTGCATTTCTCTGATGGCCAGTGATGATGAGCATTTTTTCATGTGTCTGTTGGCTGCATACATGTCTTCTTTTGAGAAATGTCTGTTCAAATCCTTTGCCCACCTTTTGATGGGCTTGTTTGGTTTTTTCCTTGTAAATTTGTTTGAATTCTTTGTGGATTCTGGATATTAGCCCTTTGTCAGTTGGGTAGATTGCAAAAATTTTCTCCCATTCTGTAGGTTGGCTGTTCACTCTGATGGTAGTTTCTTTTGCCGTGCAGAAGCCCTTTAGTTTAATTAGATCTCATTTGTCTTTTTTGGCTTTTGTTGCCATTGCTTTTGGTGTTTTAGACATGAAGTCCTTGCCCATGCCTATGTCCTGAATGGTATTGCCTAGGTTTTCTTCTAGCGTTTTTATGGTTTTAGGTCTACCATTTAAGTCTTTAATCCATCTTGAAATAATTTTTGTATGAGCTGTAAGGAAGGGATCCAGTTTCAACTTTCTACGTATGGCTAGCCAGTTTTCCCAACACCATTTATTAAATAGGGAATCTTTTCCCCATTGCTTGTTTTTGGCAGGTTTGTCAAAGATCAAATGGTTATAGATGTGTGTTATTATTTCTGAGGCCTCTTTTCTGTTCCATTGGTGTATATATCTGTTTTGGTACCAGTACCATGCTGTTTTGGTTACTATAGCCTTGTAGTATAATTTGAAGTCAGGTAGCGTGGTGCCTCCAGCTTTGTTCTTTTTGCTTAGGATTGACTTGGCAATGCGGGCTCTTTTTTGGTTCCTTATGAGCTTTAGTTTTTTCCAATTCTGTGAAGAAAGTCATTGGTAGCTTGATGGGGATGGCATTGAATCTATAAATTACCTTGGGCAGTATGGCCATTTTCACGGTATTGATTCTTCCTACCCATGAGCATGGAATGTTCTTCCATTTGTTTGTATCCTCTTTTATTTCGTTGAGCAGTGGTTTGTAGTTCTCCTTGAAGAGGTCCTTCACATCCCTTCTAAGTTGGATTCCTAGGTATTTTATTCTCTTTGTAGCAATTGTGAATGGGAGTTCACTCATGATTTGGCTGTTTGTCTATTATTCGTGTGTAAGAATGCTTGTGATTTTTGCACATTGATTTTGTGTCCTGAGACTTTGCTGAAGTTGCTTATCAGCTTAAGGAGATTTTGGGCTGAGACGATGGGGTTTTCTAAATATACAATCATGTCATCTGCAAACAGGGACAATTTGAGTTCTTCTTTTCCTAATTGAATACCCTTTATTTCTTTCTCTTGCCTGATTGCCCTGGCCAGAACTTCTAACACTATGTTGAATAGGAGTGGTGAGAGAGAGGCATCCCTGTCTTGTGCCAGTTTTCAAAGGGAATGCTTCCAGTTTTTGGCCATTCAGTATGATATTGGCTGTGGGTTTGTCATAAATAGCTCTTATTATTTTGAGATATTTCGCATCAATACCTGGTTGATTGAGAGCTTTTAGCATGAAGGGCTGTTGAATTTTGTCAAAGGCCTTTTCTGTATCTATTGAGATAATCGTGATTTTTGTCGTTGGTTCTGTTTATGTGATGGATTACATTTATTGATTTGCGTGTGTTGAACCAGCCTTGCATCCCAGGGATGAAGCCCACTTGATGGTGGTGGATAAGCTTTTTGATGTGCTGCTGGTTTCAGTTTGCCAGTATTTTATTGAGGATTTTTGCATCAATGTTCATCAGGGATATTGGTCTAAAATTCTCTTTTTTTTGTTGTGTCTCTGCCAGGCTTTGGTATCAGGATGATGCTGGCCTCCTAAAATGAGTTAGAGAGGATTCCCTCTTTTTCTGTTGTTTGGAATAGTTTCAGAAGGAATGGTACCAACTCCTCTTTGTACCTCTGGTAGAATTCAGCTGTGAGTCCGTCTGGTCCTGGACTTTTTTTGGTTGGTAGGCTATTAATTATTGCCTGAATTTCAGAGCCTGTTATTGGTCTATTCAGAGATTCAACTTCTTCCTGGTTTAGTCTTGGGAGGGTGTATGTGTCCAGGAATTTATCGATTTCCTCTAGATTTTCTAGTTTATTTGCATAGAGGTGTTTATAGTATTTTCTGATGGTAGTTTGTATTTCTGTGGGATCGGTGGTGATATCCCCTTTATCATTTTTTATTGCGTCTATTTGATTCTTCTCTCTTTTCTTCTTTATTAGTCTTGCTAGCAGTCTATCAATTTTGTTGATCCTTTCAAAAAACCAGCTCCTGGATTCATTGGTTTGTTTTTTTTTTTTGAAGGATTTTTTGTGTCTCTATTTCCTTCAGTTCTGCTCTGATTTTAGTTATTTCTTGCCTTCTGCTAGCTTTTGAATTTGTTTGCTCTTACTTCTTTAGTTATTTTAATTGTGATGTTAGGGTGTTGATTTTAGATCTTTCCTGCTTTCTTTTGTGGGCATTTAGTGCTATAAATTTCCCTCCACACTGCTTTAAATGTGTCCCATAGATTCTGGTGTGTTGTGTCTTTGTTCTCATTGGTTTCAAAGAACATCTTTATTTCTGCCTTCATTTTGTTATTTACTCAGTAGTCATTCAGGAGCAGGTTATTCAGTTTCCATGTAGTTGAGTGGTTTTGAGTGAGTTTCTTAATCCTGAGTTCTAATTTGATTGCACTGTAGTCTGAGAGATAGTTTGCTGTGATTTCCATTCTTTCACATTTGCTGAGGAGTGCTTTACTTCCAACTATTTGGTCAGTTTTGGAATAAGTGCGATGTGGTGCTGAGAAGAACGTATATTCTGTTGATTTGGGGTGGAGAGTTCTGTAGATGTCTATTAGGTCTGCTTGGTGCAGAGCTGAGTTCAAGTCCTGGATATCCTTGTTAACCTTCTGTCTCATTGATCTGTCTAATATTGGCAGTGGGGTGTTAAAGCCTCCCATTATTATTGTGCGGGGGTCTAAGTCTCTTTGTAGGTCTCTAAGGACTTGCTTTATGAATCTGGGTGCTCCTGTACTGGGTGCATATATATTTAGGATAGTTAGCTCTTCTTGTTGAATTTATCCCTGTACCATTATGTAATGGCCTTCTTTGTCTCTTTTGATCTTTGTTGGTTTAAAGTCTGTTTTATCAGAGACTAGGATTGCAACCCCTGCCTTTTTTTTGTTTTCCATTTGCTTGGTAGATCTTCCTCCATCCCTTTATTTTGAGCCTACGTGTATCTCTGCACATGAGATGGGTCTCCTGAGTACAGCACACTGATGGGTCTTGACTCTTTATCCAATTTGCCAGTCTGTGTCTTTTAATTGGGGCATTTAGCCCATTTATATTTAAGGTTAATATTGTTATGTGTGAATTTGATCCCGTCATTATGATGTTAGCTGGTTATTTTGCCCATTAGTTGATGCAGTTTCTTCCTAGCAGCGATCGTCTTAACAATTTGGCGTGTTTTTGCAGTGGCTGGTACCAGTTGTTCTTTTCCATGTTTAGTGCTTCCTTCAGGAGCTCTTGTAAGACAGCCTTGGTGGTGACAAAATCTCTCAGGATTTGCTCATCTGTAAAGGATTTTATTTCTCCTTCACTTACGAAGCTTATTTTGGCTGGATATGAAATTCTGGTTTGAAAATTCTTTTCTTTAAGAATGTTGAATATTGGCCCCCACTCTCTTCTGGCTTGTAGGGTTTCTGCTGAGATACCCGCTGTTAGTCTGATGGGCTTCCTTTTGTGGGTAACCCGACCTTTCTCTCTGGCTGCCCTTAACATTTTTTCCTTCATTTCAACCTTGGTGAATCTGACAGTTGTGTTTCTTGGGGTTGCTCTTCTTGAGGAGTATCTTTGTGGTGTTCTCTGTATTTCCTGAATTTGAATGTTGGCCTGCCTTGCTAGGTTGGGGAAGTTCTCCTAGATAATATCCTGCAGAGTGTTTTCCAACTTGGTTCCATTCTCCCTGTCACTTTCAGGTACACCTATCAAACCTAGATTTGGTCTTTTCCCATAGTCCCATATTTCTTGGAAGCTTTGTTTATTTCTTTTTACTCTGTTTTCTCTAACCTTGTCTTCTCGCTTTATTTCATTCATTTGATCTTCAATCACTGATACCCTTTCTTCCACTTGATCGAATCAGCTATTGAAGCTTGTGCATGCATCACGAAGTTCCTGTGCCATGGTTTTCAGCTCCATCAGGTCATTTAAGGTCTTCTCTACACTGTTTATTCTAGTTAGCCATTCGTCTAACCATTTTTCATGGTTTTTAGCTTCCTTGTGATCGGTTTGAACATGTTCCTTTAGCTCGGAGAAGTTTGTAATTACCGACCTTCTGAAGTCTATGTCTGTCGGCTCGTCAAAGTTGTTCTCCGTCCAGCTTTGTTCTGTTGCTGGCAAGGAGCTGCGATCCTTTGGAGGAGAAGAGGTGCTCTGGGTTTTAGAGTTTTCAGTTTTTCTCCTCTGATTTCTCCCCATCCTTGTGGTTTTATCTACCTTTGGTCTTTGATGTTGGTGACCTACAGATGGGGTATTGGTGTAGACGTCCTTCATGTTGATGATGGTGCTATTCCTTTCTGTTTGTTAGTTTTCCTTCTAAGAGTCAGGTTCCTCAGCTGCAGGTCTGTTGGAGTTTGCTGGAGGTCCACTCCAGACCCTGTTTGCCTGGGTATCACCAGTGGAGGCTGCAGAACAGCAAATATTGCTGCCTGTTCCTTCTTCTGGAAGCTTTGTCCTAGAGGGGCACCTGCCTATATGAGGTGTCTGTAGGCCCGTACTGGGAGCTGTCTCCCTGTTAGGCTATACGGGGGTCAGGGATCCACTTGAGGCAGTCTGTCTGTTTTCAGAGCTCAAACGCTGTGCTGGGGGAACAACTGCTCTCTTCAGAGCTGTCAGACAGGGACGTTTAAATCTGCGAAAGCTGTCTGCTGCTGTTCAGCTATGCCCTGCCCACAGAGGTGGAGTCTATAGAAGCAGTAGGCCTTGCTGAGCTGTGGTGGGCTCCACCCAGTTTGAGCTTCCTGGGCTGCTTTGTTTACCTACTCAAGCTTCAGCAATGGTGGACACCCGTCCCCCAGCCAGGCTGCTGCCTCGCAGTTCTATCTCAGACTGCTGCGCTAGCAGTGAGCAAGGCTCCGTGAGTGTGGGGCCCACCGAGCCAGGCATGGGAGAGTATCTCCTTGTCTGCTGGTTGCTAAGACCTTGGGAACAGCACAGTATTTGGGTGGGAGTGTCCACTTTTTCCAGGTACAGTCTGTCCTGGCTTCCCTTGGCTAGGAAAGGGAAATCCTCCGACCCCTGGTGCTTCCCGAGTGAGGTGATGCCCCACCCTGCTTCGGCTTGCCCTCCTTGGGCTGCACCCACTGTCCAACCAGTCCCAGTGAGATGAACCAGGTACCTCAGTTGGAAATGCAGAAATCACCTGTCTTCTGCATCAGTCACGCTGGGAGCTGCACACCAGAGCTGTTCCTATTTGGCCATCTTGGAACAGAAGAGCGTATGTTTAATTTTTTAATGTCTGAAGAAGATGGTGTGCCTTGGGAAGAATACAGACACCTGGGTTTGGGTTCTGACAGCCACTTAAGAACTGGAGGTTTTTAACTTAAGTGTAGTGAGGGCAGGAGCAGCAAGAACTTCAGCCCAAGTCCAGCTGGCATGAGCTAAAATGGAAGCTCTGAAAGCCACTGGGTCCTTCTTTTGCCTTTGATGCTTCATGCATGTAGTAGGCACTTAGTCAGTATTTCCAACCTTGGGAGATTGAAGCGTACCGTAAAAGGGAATTCTTAGAATTGCATTTTCCATGTAGGACATGGAGGAAACAGGTTGGCTGGAAGAAGTTACCCATAGCTGGGCTTGCTGAAGAAGAAAAGCAGTCTGTGATGATAAAGGGAGAAGTCCCCGCAAATTCATTTTGCTCAAAGGAGCAAAAATGTGTACTTGACACTAGCAAAGGTGCAGTCCCAGTAATGGTGAAAGTGCTGTGTTGGCGAAAGGGGTCCTCAAAGTCCAGCTCCTTCCTGGTTCTCCTAAGGGCTGAAGAGGAGCAGAAACTAGAAGATGTACAGTGGTCAGACTGGAAAATGGAAAAAGTGGAGGATCTGTAGCCATTTTGACTGTCAGCCATTTCTGTGACTGAGTCTTCTCTCTTTTCTCCTTGTTTGATCTTCACTGACCTGAGTCTTGAATATCTTTATTCCCCACCCATTTGGATGGAGTTTCTGCACCAGGCCTCCACTTTGATCCGGGCCAGCCCACAGAGGACTGTCTTTGGCTCAGGTGCCGACACCATTCTGCAGAGGCCAGGGTTCAAGGCCACACAACTCTGATTTTGGTTGCCTGTGTTTAGTTTGAGCCTGGCCCTTGGCTCTCACTTGATGAATCTACTAAGGATTTGTGCATCAAAATAATTAGGCATAGTGATGAATTATAAACGTTTTAAAAATTGGAAATCATGGCCGGGCACGGTAGCTCACGCCTGTAATCCCAGCACTTTGGGAGGCCAAGGCGGGCAGATCATGAGTTCAGGAGATTGAGACCATCCTGGCTATCACAGTGAAACCCCCTCTCTACTAAAAATACAAAAAATTCGCCAGGCATGGTGGTGGGTGCCTGTAATCCCAGCTACTCAGGAGGCTGAGGCAGGAGAATTGCTTGAACCCAGGAGGCGGAGGTTGCAGTGAGCCGAGATCGCGCCACTGCACTCCAGCCTGGGCAACAGAACGAGACTCTGTCTAAAAAAAAAAAAAAAAATCATGAGTATGTATGGATAATAAGTAGGACACAAAGGGGGCTCTTTTTTACTGTTTAGTGGCAAGTGGTTATGGGAGAGGGAGTGCTGAAATTGAAAAACTAGTATTTGATAATCATAATGAAGGCTGAATCAGGCAAGAATCATCCATTGGTGTTAGATCTTAAGGGAAATCTCAGCAAGGATCATATTTACATGGCTTTAAAGTATCTCCCATAGATTGCTTATGAGTTGTGTATCAGTTCCCTATTGCCCCTTTAACAAATTACCAAAAACTTATTTCCTTAAAATAACACAGATTTCTCTTACAGTTCTGGAGAGTCAGAAGTTCAAAATGCGCCTTAGAGGGCTAAAATGAAGGTGTTGGCAGGGTTGGTTCCTTCTGGAGGCTCCTGGGAAAATCTGTGTTCTTTCTTTAATTTCAGTCTCAAAGCCAGCAGTGGAACAGTTTCAAGTCTCTCTGCTCCTGTTGTCACATTGCCTTCCATCTCTGTCTCCTGTGTCCCTCTTGTAAGGCCACTTGTGATTACAAGTCCTACCTAGATGATCCAGGATTCTCTTCCTGCTTCGAAATCCTTAACCAGTTCTTCAAAATCCTTTTGCCATATAAAGTAACATTCTTATAAGGCTCTGGAGATTACATGGGGTGGGGCGGGGTGGCAGGGTGGGGGCATTTATTTCACCTACTGCATGTTGCAAGATAAAAGTAACTTTACAGTGCAGAAATTGGACAACATCTTGACCAGGTAATGAAAATCAACATCCACAAGGGCAGGTGGACGTCCTGTGCCTCCAGAGGTGACACTCTGAGAAGGGTCTGTCACCACCTATGCAGTATTTGGCTTAGGATCCATTACCTGAATCAAATCATGAAACCTGAGATCCCCAAAGGAAGAATGTTCTATTAAGAAAGAGGCCTGGTACAAAAGTATTAATGTCAAAAAAGACAAAGGCTGTGAAAAGATTCCAGATTAAAGGAGGCTAAAGAGACATGGCAACTAAATGTAATACCTGACCCTATCCTAGATACTGTATTGGAGGAAAAAAAATGCTGTAAAGGACATTGTCAGTTGACAAGTTAGAATGTAGTTTAATACAAATATTGTATCCTATTTATTGAAGTTCTTATTGCAACCCTGAGCTTGAAGTTATTTCCAAGTAAAATGTTAAACATTTTAAAATAGGGGGAGGAATTCTTTTGGCACAGTTTATCTCCCATCTGCCTGAGGGCCATGCTAGCAAGACTTCTGGACACAGAATTGAAGACCTAAGAGCAATAAGGCTCCAGGGACCCGCGTAACACCCAAAGGAGCATTCTTCTGCTTTACAGTGTAGCCCAGGAGGCAGTAAGGTGGCAAGCTCCTCAGGCAGCAGAAGTCCTAGTGGTTAAATTATGTCTTTGAGGCTTTCTGTCTGCTACGCAAGAAACCAAAGCTGCATGGGCTCCCACCAGAGACTACGGAAGCCAGAGGAGCAGGGTCTGCCCATGATGTCTGCAGTAGGAGAAACAAAAAAGGGAGATATGAGCAAGAGGATGGTGTGGCAGCTGGCTGTACAGCCGCACTCCAGTCCTGCTGGCTTAGAAATAAAAGGCCCCAGGGAAAGAACCTGCTTTAAAGACTTCCTGAGCCCGAGCTGCTGCTAAGACACTGCAGACGTTGAAGAGTTTTCTTTTTTTTTTTCTTTCCCTGATGTGTGTGGCAGAAGGGAGGGATGAGAGTGGGTTCAAAGACTTGAATTAAGGCAAAGAGCCCCACATTGTAATATTTCAGATTTGAAAATAGGATCTGATTAAAAAGGTTGTCCAATTAGTTTTACAAGGAAAGTGACCGAGGACTTCAAGAGGTTCTGTTGGAACAGTAGTTATCCTGCTTTCTAGAAGTAGGACTTGGCCGGGCATGGTGGCTCAGGCCTGTAATCCCAGCACTTTGGGAGGCCGAGGCGGGCAGATCACTTGAGGTCAGGAGTTCGAGACCAGCCTGACCAACATGGTGAAACGCTATCTCTACTCAAAATACAAAAAAATTAGCCAGGCCTGGTGGTGGGTGCCTGTAATCCCAGCTACTCAGGAGGCTGAGGCAAGAGAATCACTTGAACCCGGGAGACAGAGGTTGCAGTGAGCCGAGATCACGCCACTGCACTCTAGCCTGGGCAACAGAGTGAGACTCTGTCTCAAAAAAAAAAAAAATAGAAGTAGGACTAGAAAAACTAGGGCAGTGCTTCTGAAACTTGAGTGCACGTGAAAATCACGTGAGGATCTTGTTAAAACAGTCTGATTCAGTAGTTCGGGAGTAGGGCCCAAGAGGCAGCATTTCTCACAGTCTAATTAGTAGATGTTGATGCTGCCAGTATGTGGACCACACTTTTTGAGTATTACTGAGCTAGAGTAATGGTCAAATGGAAAATTGGATGGGTCACATTGCAGAAAAATGAAGACAGCTGTTGCATGAACCACTGCTTAATTTAAATGTAAATATCAATGTACTGCTCTAAGTGGCCGTGAAAGCAATAGGTGTTGCCATAGTAATTGCTAAAATGTGTGTCTGATTTCCAAGGGTTGGAAATTTTCTCATGTATATGATTAAAAAGCCAATTTGATACCACCCAAAGCAATGTATAGATTCAATCCAATCACTACCAAAATACCAATGACATTCTCAACAGAAATAGGAAAAACGATCCTAAAATGTATATGGAACCACAAAGGACCCCAAATAGTCAAAGCAATCCTGAGCAAAAAGAACAAAGCTGGAGGCATCATACTACTGGACTTCAAAATATACTACAAAGCTGTAGTAGCCAAAACAGCATGGTACTGACATAAAAACAGACATCAACCAGTGGAACAGAATAGAGAACCCAGATGGCCGGGCACAGTGGCTCATGCCTGTAATCCCAGCACTTTGGGAGGCTGAGGCAGGCGGATCACGAGGTCAGGAGATCGAGACCATCCTGGCTAACACGGTGAAACCCCATTTCTATTGAAAATACAAAAACTTAGCCGGACGCGGTGGCGGGTGCCTGTAGTCCCAGCTACTCGGGAGGCTGAGGCAGGAGAATGGCGTGAACCCAGGAGGCGGAGCTTGCAGTGAGCCGAGATCGTGCCACTGCACTCCAGCCTGGGCGAAAGAGCAAGACTCCGTCTCAAAAAAAAAAAAAAAAAGAGAACCCAGATATACATCCACACACCGCGAACTCATTTTCAACCAAGGTCCCAAGAACATGCAATAGGGAAAGGACAGTCTCTTCAATACATGGTGCTGGGAAAACTGGATAAACATACGCAAAAGAATGAAAGTAGACCCCATCTCCAAATCAAATCAAAATGGGTTACAGACTTAAGTATAAGATCTGAAACTATGGAACATCTAGAAGAAAACGTTGGGGAAATGGTCAGGATGTTGGTCTGGGCAAAGATTTTTTGTGTAAGACCTCAAAAGCACAGGCAACTGAAGCAAAAATAGAGAAAAGGGATTACATCAAACTAAAAAGCTTCACAGCAAAGGAAACAGAAAAGAGACAACCCACAGAATGGGAGAATATATTTGCAAACTAATGATCTGACAAGGGGTGGATAACTAGACTATATAAGGGGCTCGAACAACTCAGCAAAAAAATCCATTCAAAAGTGGGCAAAGGACATATCCTCAAAAGAAGACATACAGATGGCCAATAGGCATATGAAAAAATGCTCACTAGCACTAATCATCAGAGAAATGCAAATCAAAACCACAATGAGATATCATCTCACCCTAGTTAAAATGGCTCTTATAAAAAAGGGAATAATGGGTGCTGGTGAGGATGTGGAGAAGGGGAACCCTCCTATGCTGTTGGTGGGAATGTAAATTACAACAGCTGCAATGGAAAAGTATGGAGGTTCCTCAAAAAACTATAGATATATCTATATAGATATACCATACATCTATATATATATCATACATCTATATCTATATAGATATATATCTCTATATAGATATACCATACATCTATATCTATATCTGTATCTACTCCCTATCTCCAAGAGATCTACCTTTTTAGCTCCCACTTTGATACTTCTCTTACTGTGCTTGGCATGTTTCATTTAACGTGACCTCCATTTCCATCCACATTTCTGCAAATGACAGGATTTCCTTTTTATGGCTGAATAATATTCCATACTATATAATACATATAGATATAGATGTATGGTATATCTATATAGATATATAGTATATATCCAAAAGTAAGGAAATAAGTATATTTAAGAGAGATTTGCACTCCCATGTTTATTGCAGCACTATTCACAGTAGCCAAAATACGGAATCAACCCAAGTGTCCATCAATAGATGAGTGGATTAAATGAATTTGTACACAGTGGAATGTTATTCAGCCATAAAAAGGAAATCCTGTCATTTGCAGAAATGTGGATGGAACTGGAGGTCACGTTAAATGAAACATGCAGAGCACAGTAAGAGAAGTATCAAAGTGGGAGCTAAAAAGGTAGATCTCTTGGAGATAGGGAGTAGATTGGTGGTTATTGGAGGCCAGGAAGGGTGACGGGAGGGGATGGAGAGAGGTTGATTAATGGGTACAAATATACAGTGTGATAGAAGAAATGAAACCTAGTGTTTGATCAGTAGGGTGTCTGGTTTATAATTACTGTATATTTCAAAATAGAAGAAAATAGTTCTAATGTTTCTAGCATAAATAAAAGATAAATATTAAGGTGATGGGTATACCAGTGACAGTGATTTGATCTTTACAAGTCATATGGACTTACGAAATTATCACATGTACCCCCAAAATATATTATGTATCAATAAAAATAAGCACTAAAGAAAGGTAATTTGATAAACCATTAATCTGGGGCTTCTTTTTAAGCTCTCCCCAAAAGGCATGGAGACCCCCAGCCCTTGAAAGATTACAAAACAGTGCTGGTGGATAGAGGCCCATTAGGAGAGACTTTGAAGCAACAAGCAGTGCAAAAATGATCAAGGATTCTGAAAGGGTATGGATTGTTCATTTGCAGACACTGCCCTGACAGCTAGAAGGTTCTAAACACAAGGATAAGGGATTATACCCTTTATTCACCTAAGCATGCAACTTACTGAAGTCTGGATTGTGCTTTGATTTCATGGCTTTAGGTAAGTTTATTTCTGTGGAGAGTAAAACTGGAACAAACTTCACTTTGTGCTTGCGTCTTTTGCAAGTTTATTGAAAATACAAAGAATAATAAGGGGAAGAATTAGAGGTTATATGATTCTGTCCTGATGCTGTACTAGAACAGCTTTTGGCAGCGCTTATAGACCACTTTTGCTGTAGCCTCTGTGTAAAGGGTCATAGACAACGTGTGGGATATATCCACGGCAATGTGTAGAGGAAAGAACACGTGGGCAGCCTCTTTAGCAGCAAAGAAAAATAAAAGCCACAGGGCACTAGGAGGGCTGCTGGAAACAGAAGCATGAAGGGGAAGTTAAGACTTTATAAGGTGAAGGCTGTAAAGAAAGTGCACAAGTTTTAGGTTAAGGGAGGGCAGGGCTGGAGGTGATTTATTACAAGTACTTTATAAAACACTGAACGTTTAGAAGACACTGCAAAGCCTAATACTATTTAGCCCTGCTATAGCTATATAAAAAATAAACTCTTAGGTTTCTCCATAACCAAAAAGCCATCAGGCCCTTCCAATCTTATTCCCTCCCCTAACTCCCCAAGCTAGAAAGATATCTGGGCTGGTGTTAGAGATTGAATTGTCTTCCTCAAAAAGACGTTGAAGTCCCAATCCCCAGTACCTATGAATGTGACCTTATTTGGAAATAGGGTCTGTGCAGATGGTAAGATGGGGTCCTTAGGTTGAGACCTTATCCAATGACTGATGTCCTTATATTAATGGCAAAACAGCAGTTACTTTTGCACCAACCTGATAAAGGAAATTTGGACACAGAGACATGTGCAGAGGGAAGATGATATGAAGACACCGGGAGAATACCATCTACAAGCCAAAGAACAGCTGAGGCTACCAGAAGCTAGGAGAGAGGGATGAAACTGAGTCTCCCTCACAGCCCTCATAAGAAACCAACCTTGCTGATGCCTTCATCTGGGACTTCCTAGCCTTTAGAACTGAGACAATTTCTGTTGTTTAAGCCACCCAGTTTATGGTACTTTGTTACAGCATCACCAGGAAACTAGTTCAAATGGTCTACAGAATAATTAGACAGCAGATGGAGGAAGGTTTGTGTATCAGTCAGCTGTCACTGCGATAATACCGCATAGCAAGCAAACTTGAAATGTCAACAGCTTCAAGCAACAAGTGTTGATTTTTCTCCTCAGCCATCTGCAGGTTGGCTGGGGGTTCAGCTGATCTAGGCTGGGCCCTATTTCAAACTGTGTTAGGTCCACGTTTGCTCCACATGTCTCTCATCATCCTTGGATCGTTGGCTACCTGAGACGTGTTCTCACAGCAAAAGGCACGGAGCACAAGAGGACGGGCACAATGACACAAGCACATGTCAAGCCTCTGTGTGTGCCATGTCTGTCAGTATTCCATTGGCCATAGCACACCGCATAGCCAAACCCAGGGCGAAGAGACCGGGCAGTACCCTTTGCCAATCATGAGGCAAGGAGATGGATGATAGGGGAGTGAATAATTGGCAAAGAGATTTCAATCTACCCCATTTGACTCCTGAATTTATTGTAAGAGGCCAGGAGTTCAAGACTAGCCTGGCCAGATGGTGAAATCCCATCTCTACTAAAAGTGTAGAAATTAGCCAGGCGGGTTGGAGCACTCCTGTAATCCCGGCTACTTGGGAGGATGAGGCATGAGAATCACTTGAACCCAGGAAGCAGAGAGTGCAGTGAGCTGAGATCCCGCCACTGCACTCCAGCCTGGGAGACAGAGTGAGACTCCGTCTCAAAAAAAAAAAAAAAAAAAGGTGTTTTAGGAACTAGGAAAGTTCCTTTCTCAGGGATAGCAGCAGTCTAGCTTGACTCTGACAAACGTGGTGAAGACTAAATCCTATAGCCTGGTATCACACTTTAAGTGAAGCATTCAACAGATGACCTTTTATTAGCAAAGATGTTAAAACCTTTGCAGGAAATAACCAAAAGCACTAATGGGCATCTTATATGTAAAATAATACTGTGAAGTGCACAGACATCCTACATTGTATGAGATGCTAACATTTGTGGTTTCCTGGAAAGAACATTGTTCTGAAAAATGAGGAAAGGTGCCCTCTGGTGAACATATTCTTTTGGTAGTTAGAGAACCTGAAACACAGGCTAAATTGTATTCCATCCTTTGACATGAAAGTTGAGAGTTACAAGGCAGTGTTGTTCCTTCTCTCCACTCCTTGCTTTTAGTAGTAGAATCAAGACCCACTTGAGAAATCATCCTAAATTTCCAGGACTAAAAGTCAATAGTGTTGTCTCTTTACTCTGTTGTTTTTTTGGTTTTCTGTGTGTGTGTGTGTGTGTGTGTGTGTGTGTGTGTGTGTATTGAGATGGAGTTTCACTCTTGTTGCCCAGGCTGGAGTACAATGGCATCATCTCGGCTCACTGCAACCTCCACCTCCCGGGTTTAAGTGGTTCTCCTGACTCAGTCTCCCAAGTAACTGGCTAATTTTGTATTTTTAGTAGAGATGGGGTTTCACTATGTTGGTCAGGCTGATCTCGAACTCCTGCCCACAGGTGATCCACCCGCCTCGGCCTCCCAAAGTGATGGGATTACAGGCGTGAGCCTCCATGTCCGGCCAAGTATCAGGTTTCAAAAGTTAGTGGGCAAGCTCAGAATTTATACCAGCGCAGCCAGTCTGCCTACTATGTTGTGCCACTGCTGCCTTTAAAAGAAATCAGAGGCCAGGCGCGGTAGCTCACGCCTGTAATCCCAGCACTCTGGGAGGCCGAGGTGGGCAGATCACGAGGTCAGGAGTTCGAGACCAGCCTGGCCAATATAGTGAATCCCCGTCTCAACTAAAAATACAAAAAATTAGCCAGGCATAGTGGTGCACACCTGTAGTCCCAGTTACTCAGGAGGCTGAGGCAGGAGAATCTCTTGAACCTGGGAGGCGGAGGTTGCGGTGAGCCGAGATCAGGCCACTGCACTCCAGCCTGGGCAACAGAGTGAGACTCTGTCTCAAAAAAAAAAAAAAAAAATCAGATGGCAGAATCTGGAAAAATATTAATGGCCACACCTGCTTTAGTATTTACATTTACAAAAAACAATTGTACAAAACTGGTTTCATTTTTAAGACCTATTACTTTAATTTCCCCAAATGCTCAATTTTTCCCTCCAGTTTCTCCATGTGTCTCCAAGTTCACTGGGTATGTTAGATGATAATTAAATGAGGGCAGTAAAGATGTTAGATGTCCTCGATGTATCCTGGAAGGACTCATTTAAGGGAGGATAGGGTGATCTTCCATTTGTATGTTAAAAAGGGTTAAGGTTAGATATTTACTTTAAGTAGCTCTGTAAGCTCTGGAAGTCACAGGGCCCATGCCCTGTTGAGCTTTGCACCCCAGGGTTGGGCAGGCACACGGGACCCAATAAAAAGAAAATGAAAATATAAACAATCAAAGAGATGAGGCCGGGTGCAGTGGCTCATGCCTCTAATCTCAGCACTTTGGGAAGCCGAGGCGGGTGGATCACCGGAGGTTGGAGCTCGAGACCAGACTGGTCAACAGGGTGAAACCCTGTCTCTACTAAAAATACAAAATTAGCTGGGCGTGGTGGCAGGTGCCTGTAATCCCAGCTGCTCAGGAAGCTGAGGCATGACATATCTGGTGGTTTGGCTGTGGAAGACCCAGTAACATGCCAAGGACTTAACAGGGGATTCAACATAACAGTAATAGTAGTTACTAATTTATGTTTCAACTTGGCACAGATACATGGAGAAAGAAATCCACGTGAAAGAGATGATCAGCCATCTCTTTCATGGAACAAATGCATTTAACTAGGCCTGAATTCACAGGCCTTCAAAATTTGTAAGACTGATGTCAATATCCTCATGGAAGAATCAGAACACCACAATAATGTTACTAGGAAAAAGACGTGGAGAAGTTGGAAAATATTCACATTACTATAGGGTTTTGTTGTGTGCCAAAGAGCTCCTTTAAAACATGGGACCAGCCACTGAAGTCACTGCATGTGAAGGGCTAAAAAACCAAAACTGTTAGAAATTATAAAGATACTTGGCAAAATTTATCAGAGGTGACCTACACTTGTGCCCTTTTCCTGTATTACCACCCAGTGCTTGGCTCCTGGATTTGAAATTTGTAATTCCTGCACATTCATTTTAAAAAAAGAAAACCACAGTTCTTCCAGTACCTTCCATCTTCCCACATGTCTGCATCTCCAGGCTTCAAATTTATTATATGTTGTTAAATTGCTTTTCAAAACGGTGTACCAATTTACACTTATGATTAGGGTTATGAGGGTTGAAAGTGCTCCATTGCCAATTGACATTGTAGACTTTTAAATTTTTTGCCAGTCTCTGCCGGGTGCAGTGGCTCACGCCTGTAATCCCAGCACTTTGGGAGGCTGAGGAAGGAGGATTGCTTAGCTCAGGAGTTCAAAACCAGCTTGGGTAACATGGCAAAACTCCATCTCTACCAAATATACAGAAATTAGCCGGGCGTGGGGGCGGGCGCCTGTAATCCCAACTACTCAGGAGGCTGAGGCATGAGAATTGCTTGAACCCATGAGGTGGAGGTTGCAGTGAGCCGAGATT
The DNA here is from genome assembly GCF_000001405.40 of Homo sapiens. Classification (NCBI taxonomy): domain Eukaryota; kingdom Metazoa; phylum Chordata; class Mammalia; order Primates; family Hominidae; genus Homo; species Homo sapiens. The sequence continues at coordinate 22,016,549 of NC_000023.11, forward strand.
GGAGATTGTACCACTACACTCCAGCCTGGGTGACAGAGCAAGACAATCAATCAATCAATCAATCAATCAATTTTTGCCAGTCTGGAGATGTGAAATGGTCATTTCTTGTAGTTTAAATTTTCATTTACCTGAGTATTAATGAGGCTGGGCATATTTTTGTAAGTTAATTGGCCAGTGTTCCTCTTTGGAAAAATGCCTGCCTTTTTGTCCATTTGGCTATTGGGCTTTGATTTTCTTATTGATCAGTTGTACTTTAAATCTTCAGGATAATAATCCATTGTTGCTTGTATTTTTGTTAAAAGTGTCTACTCTCAGTCTGTAGTGTGTCTTTTTCATTTTTAGTAGTGTTTTTGGATGCACAGAAGTTTTTTATTTTGATGTAGTCAAATTTGTCAGTCTGTTTCCTTTATGATATGTGTTTGTGTCTTGTTTTAGAAACCTTTCCCTAACCTGATTTTCTGTATATCTTCCAGTGTTTTAAACTTTTGCTTCTCATAATGAGGGCTGTCATTTGTCTGGTATTCCTTTTGGCGGGGGGGGGGCTTTTAAAAGAAGGTAGCTGAAAGTAGAAGAGAAAAAAGGCAGTAGCTGCCATATTGCATTGATCACTTGTTGCAACCCCATTCAAAATGATTCCCTTTTAAGTATTTCCAGAATCTGATGTATTTTCACTTCACCTCTAAAAAAATAATCAAGACTCCGTCTCAAAAACAAAACAAAACCGAACAACCTTGGATTAAGTGCAGTGTTGTACCATTTTTCAAAACATAGCCAGAGCTAGTGTCCTGATGATTAGAATATGTTATTAAAACAAAATGCATTTTAAAAAAACAACATTTTCACAAGGGCATGCCTTGGCGGTCTTGTCTTTGCCACTAAATGCTGGGAGTTCTTTGTATGTCTTTCCCTACCCAGTGGGATTTGGATGGAATTATCCAGGATCTTATAGCTGGACTTTCTGATTCTCAGATTTCAAAATTTATAAAGGTAACACACGGGTTAATTCACTTCCATGGAGAATGGACTCCGATATTGTTTTTTCTTTTCTTTTTTTTTTTTTTTTTTTTTTTGAGATGGAGTCTGGTTCTGTGGCCCAGGCTGGAGTGCAGTGGCGTGATCTCAGCTCACTGCAGCCTCCGTCTTTTGGGTTCAAGTGATTCTCCTGCCTCAGCCTCCCGAGTACCTGGGTTTACAGGCATGTGCCACTGTGCCTGGCTAGTTTTTGTATTTTTAGTAGAGACAGGGTTTCACCATGTTAGGCAGGCTGGTCTCGAACTCCTGACCTCAGGTGATCTGCCCTCCCCAGCCTCCCAAAGTGCTGGATTACAGGCATAAGCCACCGCGCCCGGCCTACAACTCCTGATATTCTTCATGCCAGAATAACTCTCAATGTTACATAGTTCCTGAGGACAATAAGGTGATCATTTATTTATTTAATACATTATGGGCACTTACTATATTTCAGGCTCTGGCATGGGTAAGTGAAGCAAGATGACAAAAGGCCCTTAAGAATGTCCCCCAGTCTAAGGAGACTAACTCACAGGCATAAAACAGTGGGCTGCTGTCTCCTGATGCTGCGTGGTGTGCCCCATGGACATTTGAAACAATACAAGTAACCATGTAAAATGGCCAAAAAAGGGCTGGGTGTGGCAGCTCATGCCTGTAATCCCAGCACTTTGGGAGGCAGAGGCAGGAGGATCGCTAGAGCCCAGGGGTTTGAGACCAGCCTGGGTAACATAGTGAGACCCCCATCTCTACAAAATATCAAAAAATGACCTGGGTGTAGTGGCGCATACCTGTAGTTTCAGCTACTCAGGAGGCTGAAGCAAGAGGATTGCTTGAGTCTGGGAGGTCAAGGCTGCAATGAGCCATGATTGCGCCACTGCACTCCAGCCTGGGTGACAGAGTGAGACCCTGTCTCAAAATAAAATGGCCAAAAAGGGACAGAGGAAGGAGAGCGTGAGTGCTTTTAAGCACTCGAACGGAAACTCTGATGGTTAGGTGGAAGATACAGTCAAGGGATAGCTGTATATTTCCCATGTTTCTTTTTTCCTTTTTAAATTCATCATCCTTTTAGATAGAAATGTTTAGGGGAAACAGCAGGGAAGGGCTGCCAGGAACATAGCAATTTGGTTTACCAAGATCATTATATTTAGTACTTTAATGTCTAGCTTTTGAGGTGGGGGTGAGGGGTGTTGGATTTAAGAAAAAGTAAACAGTTGTTCTTAATTATACCATACTATGAGACTTGGTGTGCTAGCTTCAAACAAAATAATACAGTCTTTTCACCATTACAGGAACATCAGTGACTAAACAGAATCGATCATCTGGGTGGTTATGATTGGAAGTTATTGCAGTTAAATAATGCTAAGTCTTTGAGACAAGCAGTAAACTCCAAATGGAATTCATGGCTAATATCAGTGAGGCAGTCTACTGTGTAATGTAGTATTTATCACCTCCTTTGGAAGACGAATGATCTTTTCGGTTTGCATAATGTATTACATTTTTGAAATTCATATATCATCTGTGTTTTATATAATAATAATACAATAAAACGTTCCTAGAATGTGACATGTTGAAAAACATTGTCTCCTTAAACAAATGAACATGTGTATATTATTTAAGAACCCATAACTGAGGTATTTTCCTTTTTGCTTTAACTGTCAAGGCCCTCATTTGCAGTGGGTAACTCATCCTCACTCTCTTTTCACCTAAGATCTGTATTTCTCTGCTTTAAAAAAATTCTTATAATTTAAATCTATTTGAGTATTTTCAGTGGGAAAGGATTTAATATCGTAAGCTACGGGATAAGGAGCTACAGTTTTGCCCTTAGCTCTGGGCAACAGGGACCCTGCTCTGGGTCCTGGCTTCAAGAGGGCTCCACTCTGGCTATCCTGGGGCTATGCCCTTCACCATGGAGTGAAGGATCTGCAGTGCCAAGGGGATGTGCCTGTGTCCCTTTCTAAAACACAGTTTTTATCTCTGAGACTACTAATGTTCTGTTTAAACTTGCTCAGAGCTCACATCCAGGGCCCATGGGGGTCTCCTTCTCAGCTTGTCATCCCATCCTCCTGAGGGAAGACTGTGCCTGGGCTCCCATGTGTTGTCAAGGTGCTGCTGGGATGGGGGATGTGAAAAGAGAAAGGGGATGGGCCAAGGACTGGGGCCCGCTCTCCAACGCGTTTCTATCTGAAACTCCCAGGAGTCTGAGAATTCTGAATTGGAATCAGGCCTTCCAGGTGGGTATGAAGTATATTTCCAAGGTAGGAGGAGGGAATGTATTTGATTGAACAGTTTGTAGCCTGATTTACAGCTTTAAATGGTATGTGGCTGCCCCTCCATCTTCGCTCATGGGTACTCTTCGCTCAGACCCATGTAGTGATGAGCATGGGGACCTATATTATAGTTTTTTTAGAAATAGGGACAATGAGTATTCATTAAGCTATGTTTGGAAGAATAATGGCAAATTTATTATGTCAAACAAGCTCTTTTAGAGTTGAGGTCTTTCAAATGCATTATAAAACTGAAAATAATCAGTAAAAATTTGAAAATCGTATCTTAGTTTCCATCCCCCATTTGTAAATGATGCCCTATTTTATGTCCATCCATCCATTTTTTTTCTTTTCCACTGAGTATTCTATTGGCAGAAAGTTCTAGAGAAGTGAGATATGTTTTGATTTGAATAAAGTCAGGCTTGGTGAACTCAGAGAATACTTGATATCAAGGAATTCGATAGTAAGTTTTAAGGCAACCCATCAGAGGAGATGTGAACCACACTCGGTAACCACTATCTTGATCATCCTTGACCATGACTAGTAACTACAGAGTCTGTTATTGCTCCTCTCTTTTCCTTACTCTTCGTTCTGGCTACACAAATCACATACTGAACCCAGCCTTTTCAGGCTGACTTCGGTAATCTCATTGTGATTTCAGTTGCATTCATCCTGCAAGGTTAAATGCCTTCTCGGTCAGGTCCCAGAGGTATAAAGCTGTCCAAATCGTGGTCCCAACCACCAGGTGGCTGAAAGACTGGACACCTGCTGTCCTTACTACCAATAGGAACACAACCAACTAGGGTTAGAGGTTGACCAGGGTCTGCAGTGAAGAGCAAGAGACCAAAGGAGAGGTGATGTTTCCTTTCCATTCCCTTCCCTCCCCTCCGCTCCCCTCCCCTTCCCTCTCCTCCCCTCTCCTCTCCTTTCCTTTCCTGACACAGTCTCACTTTGTCACCCAGGCCAGAGTGCAGTGGCGTGATCTTGGCTCATCCCAATCTCCACCTCCCAGGCTCAAGCAATTCTCCTGCTTCAGCCTCCCGAATAACTGGAATTACAGGTGCGTGCCACTATTGCCCAGCTAATTTTTGTATTTTTAGTGGAGATGGGGTTTCACCATGTTGGCCAGGCTGGTCTCGAACTCCAGATCTCAAATGATCCACCCACCTCGGCCTCCCAAAGCTGATGTTTTCTTAAATTGTGGTAAAAAACACTTCCCTTCCCTACCTCTTCTCTCCTCTTCTCCCCCCAACTCCTCTCTTCTCCCATCCCCTCTCCTTTCATTTCCTCTTCTTTCCATTATTTCTTCATCCCTCCCTCTTTTCCTCCCCCAGTAAGTCTGGACTGAATACCTCCCATAGGCATAGACAGCCCCAAATAAGAATTTTAAAACACAAACAATGGAGACATCTATAAGGCATATCTATGGGTGGCAAACATGAAATATTAAGAAACAGAATAATAATAATGCCTGCCACTTCATCAGAAACCATTTTAAGCACTTCATAACTATTATAATCATAGTTTATTATTATCTCCCATTGCCAGATGACAAAATTGAGACCCTGAGAGATTAGGCAATTTTTTCAAGGTCACATAGCAGTAAGTAGCAATGCCAGGAATCCAATCCAGGGAGTTTGTTCCCAAATACCAGGTATTTAACCACTGTCACACTGCACTATCCTGCCTGGCAGCGTGGAAACATGTATCAACGTGAATCAACGTATATCAACGTGAATGGTGCAGTTAGCAGTTACAAGAAAAAGAGAAGGGAGCTCTGTTAGTGTTATGTGAGGAAAGCAGAAACCACTCTAGGTATTTCAAACAAGTGTATTTAATGTAGGGAATTGGTTTCAAAGGTAGTGGAAAGGCAGAAGGAACAAAGGAGAGGATGTTACCCAGAGTTCAGTGACTGCAAAAGGCCGCTACTGCCCTTAAGACTAGAGAAGCAAACAGGGAAAAGGAATGTGGCCTAAAGTCCACATCACACTCACCTCGGAGGCTGCTGCTGCTACTGCTGAGTGGGACTCTAGGAGCCACAATCCCATTGATGCTGCCAGAGTCTGCAGTCATCTGCAGCCATGTGCCCCTGCAGCTGTCACATTTGCGGTCTTTATGTAGGATCCCGGAGTTTCCTCCTGTGGCCCTGGATAAACCCAGGATCAGTAAAGAAAAAATAAACCAGGCTTCTACATTCCTCCTGTTTTTGAATTTCCTATTAATGCCTTCCCTTGACAGAGTCTAACAGGAACTCAGCTGGCAAGGGAGCCTGGAAAATGTAGTTCGTGGGCTTCCAGCTGCCAACCATACACTGAACACACTAGAAGATCACAGTGGGGCTGAAAGCCAAAGCGTATTCTACATGCTCAGTGTTGCATAAGAAAACGTGGATACAGGGAAGAAAAAAACATTTAACCGAATCTAAGATTCAATCGATTGTAAGATTGTAAGATGTATCATAATACCACCATAATAATACCATCGAGAAAGAAAAATACCGTCAAATTATGCCACATCACCACTTACGAGGTACATTCTACTTCTAGAAATGTTAAAGCTTGAAAAAAAGTCCCTGTTAAAATTGATAAGATACAGTAAATGTCTGATCTCAACTTACATGTAGTCTAATGGGGCAGACTTCTGCAGAGACTATTGTAATACAACCTGACATCCTGTGACCCTGTGACCTTACTAAGAAGAGGGGTCTGGGAAGATTTTCTCGAGGAGGTAAAATCTGAGCTGAGTCTTAAAAGATGAGCCCGAGTTTCCTAAAGAAATGGTTTTCCAGGCAAAAGGAGAAATGTTTTCTTTTTTTTTTTAATTTTTTTTTTTTGAGATGGAGTCTCGCTCTGACGCCCAGGCTGGAGTGTAGTGGCGCAATCTTGGCTCACTGCCAGCTCCGCCTCCCGGGTTCACGCCATTCTCCTGCCTCAGCCTCCCGAGTAGCTGGGACTACAGGTGCCCGCCACCACGCCCGGCTAATTTTTTGTATTTTTAGTAGAGACGGGGTTTCACGGTGTTTTCCAGGATGGTCTCTATCTCCTGACCTCGTGATCCGCCCGTCTCGGCCTCCCAAAGTGCTGGGATTAGAGGCCTGAGCCACCACGCCCGGCCGAGAAATATTTTCAAAGCGCAAAAGGCTGGGTAAAGTTTAGTGCATTTGAGAACTTGAAGGGGTTTAGAATGACTGGTGTGTAGGGTGTAAATTGAGAAGCCGTGCACAGGTGAGCCTGGAGGATTGCGTGGGCTCAATCATGCAGGAACTCAATGTGAAGTATTTTTACATTTTCCTAAAAACTGACAGCAGCCACTGAAGGATTTTAAGAACATCAAAAGTCCATTTGAAATTTGACTCAGGACTGCAATTTAGTTGGTTCATACCAGTGTGGCTGCTGCTGTTGTGAAATAGTGAAATATCTCCTTACTAGCTGTGGATGGCTGCCCCTCTGGACCCCCTGCAGCCTCCTCCAATCCACCCCCTCTCCTAGAACCCTCCAGATCCAGCAACTAAGATAGTACAGTAGGGGCCACCGAAACTGGCCCCAGTCCCCTGGTCAGTGCCATGCCATGGTGGTTGTTAAATATTTTGAATGGCATCACTGTTTTCACTACATAAGTTTAATGTTTAGTTTTGTTGGTTCTTCAGTCCACTTTACCACATTGCAGAGAGATTTAATGGTTGCCCTACACCAGTGGTTCTTACAATGTGGTCCCCAGACTAGCAGCATCAGCATCTCCCAAGAGCTGGTTAGAAATTAAAATTTCAGGCCGGGTGCAGTGGCTCACGCCTGTAATCCCAGCACTTTGGGAGGCCGAAGCAGGTGGATCACCAGAGGTCAGGAGTTCAAGACCAACCTGGCCAACATGGTGAAACCCCGTCTCTCCTAAAAATACAAAAATTACCCAGACGTGATGGTGGGCGCCTGTAATCACAGCTACTTGGGAGGCTGAGGAAAGAGAATCGCTTGAACCCAGGAGGCAGAGGTTGCAGTGAGCCGAGATTGTGGCACTGCACTCCAGCCTGGGTGACAGAGCAAGACTCCGTCTCAAAAAATAAATAAATAAAAAATAAAAAGAAATTTAAATTTCAGCTCATCTCAGACCTACAGAATCAGAAACTGTAGGGATGGAGCCTAGCAATCTGTTTTTTAATTTAATTTAATTTTGAGACAGGGTCTCATTCTGTCACCCAGGCTGGAGTGCAGTGGCACAATCAAGGCTCACTGCAGCCTCGACCTCCCGGGCTCAGGCAGTCCTCCCACCTCAGCCTCCTGAGCAGCTGGGACTACAGGAGCTCACCACCACACCCAGCTAGTTTTTGTATTTTTTGTAGAGATGGGGCTTCATCATGTTGCTTAGGCTGGTCTCAAACTCTTGGTCTCAAGCCATCTACCTGCCTCGGCCTCCCAGAGTGCTAGGATTACAGGTGTGAGCCACCATGCCTGGCCACAATCTGTGTTTTAACCAGCCCTCCGGGAGATTCTGGTGCCCACTCAAATTTGAGACCTGCTTCTCTAAGCCCCTTGTCCTCATAAACATCTAGGTAAGCCATCCTTGAACAATTGGTTGTTATTAATCAAGGGCATACAAACTTCTATAGGTTAATAGTCTAACCAAGGAGTAGGGTGAGTGTGACCAGTTTGAGGATACAGCAAGTAAACGCTAGTTGGATGAATAGTTATTTCATTTTAAAATTGTTATGCAGTGGAGTGCTTTGGAAAAGGTATTAATATTGTGGGTTTGGGAGCTGTATCAATCATGTTTTTTATTTTCTATATTTTATGATGTGTTGACATCTTGGTGCCTTGCAGACCCAGGGAAGGTCTGTCCCTCCCAGGGTTAGCTAATTCCTAGAGATAGTAACTGACTTGCCTGTGAGCATGCCTTTGATATGCAAATCAACCAATCCACGTTCATATACCCCCCACTTCCTTTTACCAGACTCCTGCAGTCAAGGACACTATACCCCTACCTTTCCACCCTAAATCATCCCAGGGCTAGGTACGAGAGTGCTAGAGACCACCTCTAGGGACCAGAGCCTGCTGAAATTATTGATGCTATCCACCCAATCCTAAACCTGCTCAGCTGCTTACCCTGCCTTGCCCATTCCTTTCTTTGAAAACCACAATAAAGTGCCTATGGTTTTCCCTTGCTCCTTCTGCTCCTTGATGCTCCCACATATGGCCCTGTGTGGCAAGGCATTGAAATGAGAGAGTTCCCTGATTCCCCTCGCAGGGTATGAGACAGTGTTGTGGCTCGCCTGTTTGGTTGCCCCCCGCAGCTCAGACCCCTTACGGGAGGGGGAGCATGCAGATGAGCAGGTGCAGGAACCGGGGTGAGCACTTTTGGGCTCTGGCCCCATGGCAGCATCTATGGGTGGGTGTTTGTGACTCCCGAAGCCCAAGTGGGCATGTGTTACAGTGTGCTCCTTTAGCTTTGCCATCTGTAGATGGCTTGTGTGTTAATCAGCTCAATGGACCCTGTGCCTTATCACAAGGGCAGGGGGCGAGTGTGACAGCCTTCTGTATCCCAAGCTCTTCCTCAGTGTCCCAAAAGAATCGGATCACATGTGGGCTTGAAGGATGAGTGCAGGGTTTTACTGAGAGGTGGAGGTGGCTCTCAGCGAAATGGATGCGGAGCCAGAAGGGGGGATGGAGTGGGAAGGTGGTCTTCCCCTGGAGTCGGGGTGCCTAGCAACCAGACTCTTCTTTGACTGCCCCTGGCCGAACTCCCCTTGGCGTCCAGACGTCCCTCCTCTTCTCTCTCTGCTGCATTGTTCTGCCGTCACTGGTCAGCTGGTCCGCTTGCCTCCTCCTCTCTTTGCTTGGGGTTCTCTTCTGGAGCTTGGGGTTCAGGGTTTATATGGGGCCAGGGTAGGGGGTGTGGTGGACCAAAAGGCAACTTTTTGGGCGTGAAAACAGAAATGCCTGTCCTCATTAGGGCCTCTGGTCTTCATGCTTGAGGGCGGGGACTTTGCCAGGGAACCGCCCTCTTCTACCCAGTATTTCCCTGTCTCTTGTCCGTATCAGCGTGCCCTCTCATCTTCCAAACTGTGAGTAATAAACCCTTTTCAAGGGCTGTCTCCATGTTTGTTGTCTTAACCATACCAGATTAAAGCAAATTCCAAGTGCATTTCAACACAGGAGCCACATCGATTTGAGTTCCAACTGGGCTCTGTCATTTACCCATCACGTGACCTTCGGAATATTACTTATCCTCAGCTGGCTCCAGTGTCCTTATCTGCAAAAGATTCCTGTATTGTAGGACTGCTCTAAGGACTGATGATAATACACATAAGGTGAGCAGGCACTGAGGAAATAGTAGCTGTGTGGGAAGGAGGTGAGAAAAAATCAATGGATAAAATCCCCTTTAAGGCTCAGAGATGAACAAGTAGAACACATGGATAGATAGCCTCTCAGATGCGTATCTCCTTCCTAATGTTCAATTACTAGCAGCAACACATCAGGAGATAGTTCATGTACTGCTATTTTTGTTCCTCAACTGAAAAATGTACCCCCCACCCCCCAAATTAAATGATGGCTGCTGTTCCTGTTAAGGAAATAAAGCCTGATAATTACTCTTTTAAACAAGAGAATTAAAGGAAGCATAGTTTATCGCTTTGCCTCTGCTCAAGTGTCACTTTGAGATGCTACACCTGCCTTCACTAATTACCCGATAAGCAAACTTATCAAGAACCACAGCAGAGAGACAAGAGGTTGGGATTTGAAACCATTCTGGCCTTAAGACAAATACTGGCCCTGTGACCTTTCGCAAATCACTTAATAGCTTCAAACTTCAGTTTCCTTATCTGTAAAAGGAGATAAGAACACCTACCTAAGGAAAATGTTTAAAAAGATCAGATACAATGTAAGTAATGTATATCGTTAGTGAAAGGCCTGGGATTTGAACTCCTCCAGTCTGAAGGACCTGCCAATAAGTAACAGAGCCCACCACAATCCCCAGATCTGAGCTTTCACTATTTATTTTAATAGCTCTTCTCTCCCTCTCCTCCCTTCCTTCTTCTTTCCTCCCTCTTCCTTCCAATGGATGGATGAAAACATTTTTCAGAATTTGAATCACTTCCTTCTTTCTCACTAAAATTATGGCCCGCATGGGATTTTACTGCTTGAAACACAGGACCCTGCACATCCAAATAATGACCAGATGCACTCATGTCTAACATAAAGACAGCTTCAGCTGTCATCCCGGCCAGTTAGCAGCTTGGGCTGTTGTTGCTGGATTCCGTTACCTCGGATAAATCACTGTACCTGTGAGTCCTGCAGGGAGAGCAGTAAATGCCCAGGCAAGTCCCTTCTTGGGGTGGGGCTCGGTCCATCTGGAAGCCTTCCTCTTGTCCTGCAAGCTGCCCATTCTCGCAAGCACTCCTTCTGGAAGTCTTCCCAATGAATCTACCGCTCTGGGATTTCTGCTTCTCTGGGCACTGACTGCCCTTATGGTCAGGCCTGCGTGCTTTAGGGTCATGTGGCCAAGTTGGGTTTCCTATACAGTATTTTCATCCCTGCATCAAGTTGACCAGTCCAGAACCTCCGGCATGGGTTCTTGGTCTTGCTTCATAAGGGTTTGCACAGGGCTAGGCATCTGAGAAATGCTCAAGAAACTTCCGTTGATTCATTGATTGATCCAGTGAATGTCCAAGGTAGTCCTGAATGTTCTTAATTGAAATAATTGGGTGGGTGTAGAGCAGGCTATTAACAGACTTACCTTGCATAATGACTTTTCAATGAACTAATTTTCACATCTCTAGAATAGTTGTAAAAATTTTTAGAATAACGCCCCCTCCCCTTTTTTTTCCAGAATAATGACTTCTCACTCCCAAACACACTAAATCGTATGCTAAATCATAATATTGAAATCATAGTTTCAATATTACAGTTTCAGGCAAAGACACATTCACCAGTTTCCCTGACACAACAGTTTCTGTTCAAAGAATCTCGAATGGAACAATTTTGAGTTACAGGTCAAGTGTGGATAAACATTTTATTTTGTATGCCATGTAGATGGGGTGAAGAGGTAGCATTTTTTTTTTTTTTTTGTCATAGTCTTACTCTGTCACCAGGCTGGAGTGCAGTGGTGTAATCTCAGCTCACTGCAACTTCCGCCTCCCAGGTTCAAGGGATTCTCCTGCCTCAGCCTCCCGAGTAGCTGGGACTACAGGCGCGCACCACCACACCTGGCTAATGTTTGTATTTTTAGTAGAGGTTTCACCCTGGTCTTGATCTCCTGAGCTCATGATCCACCCACCCTGGCCTCCCAAAGTGCTGGGATTACAGGTGTGAGCCGCCGCTCCCGGCTAGAGGTAGCATCTTTTACTACTCTTTAGTGCAGAGGTTGCTAAACTTTTCCTGTCAAGAGCCAGAGAGTAAATATCCTAAGTTTCAAAGGCCAAAATGTCTCTGTTGCAAAACTACTTAACTTTGCTCTTGCAGCATGAAAGCAACTATGCACAATCTACAAACAAATAGGTGTGACCTTGTTCCAATAAAACTTTATTTACAGGCCGGGCATGATGGTTCACACCTGTAATCCCAGCACTTTGAGAGGTCGAGGCATGTGGATCGCTTGAGCCCAGGAGTTCGAGACCAGCTTGGGGAACATGGCAAAAATCCATCTTTACTAAAAATACAAGAATTAGCTGGGCGTGGTGGCGCACCACCTGTAGTCCCAGCTATTCGAGAGGATGAGGCAGGAGAATCGCTTGAACCTGGGAGGTGGAGGTTGCAGTGAGCCGAGATTGCGCCACTGCACTCCAGCCTGGGCAACAGAGCGAGACCCTGTCTCAAAACAAAACAAAAAGGTGAAAAACAAAAAAAGCTTTATTTACAAAAACAGGCAGTGGGCCAAATTTGGCCCATGTACTCTTGTGTACAGACCCCTGCTTTAGTCCTGTGAGCACCTATTATTTCCCTGTGCTTTGAACTTCTTTATTTTGCCCTAAAGGGTTTTTTTTCTTTTCTTTTTTTTTTCCGTGTTACTTTAAGTGTGGTTTATTTTGAGGGCAAGATAATCATCATCTCCTAAAAGGCTGAAAAATTAATGCAGAAAATGGCACAGAATGAACAATGTACCTTGTAATGAATGATTCTCCCACATCCTTTCCTCTGTCAGTCCCGCCACTCTCAAGTTTTCCTTTATTCCTCTGGTGAATAAAAGAAACCTTCATTACATTACATTACACAAATTATGCTTATTTTCAATATTTTGACAGTTCTATATTACTCTTACAGACTTGTTTTCATTGTTCAAGTAATACATTTTAAAATTACTTTTTTTAATTTTTAATTTTTGTGGGTACATATTAGGTGTATATATTTGTGGGTACATGAGTTGTTTCGATACAGGCATGCAATGTGAAATAATCACATCGTGGTGAATGTGGTATCCATCCCCTCAAGCATTTATCCTTAGTGTTACAAACAATCCAATGGCAGTCTTTCAGTTATTTTTAAATTTACAATTAAGTTAAATGAATACATTTTTCTATCTGTGTTTGCATATCTTAGTTTGGGATAGAATGCATCATAATTTTCCTATTACAATTAATGAAAGTATTTTTTTTGGTTTAATGGCTTTTCACTCAGCAGTTGACCGTTCAGGAATGAATTCCTGTCGGTAAGTGATGGGTAGGTATAACTTCAGGGAATCCCCAAATTGCCCTCACCTCTGGGGGAATTGCAAGTTCAAGGCAGGTGAAGGCTACTCCAGCTAGGAACTCACGGCCACTATTCAATGTCAGTGGGGACACTGAAAGTTGTGAGGAGATTGAGAGGAGGAAGGAAAGAGGAAAGAAGTGAGTCCTGGTGTCGTGCTTGGGTGACTGTCCTCTCGCTGTGCACAGGAAGCTTTGTCAAGCAGCAGACATGCCATGTATGGCAATGATCCCATCCCCCATCTATCCATTTGTGATTTTCCCATGCCACCTGAGGCCATTCCTTGGTCTCAGTGTCCTTATTTGTGAAACAGAGTTAAAATACCTTTGCTATCAAGTATGTAGATTTACCATGAGGTTAAAGCGAATGTGCTATGCCTATATGAAGTATCACTTTTAGTTGAGCATTGAGAAGGAATAATTAGGGCCTTGAAAGATGACACCCTTCCTCCCCCCGCAGACATTAGCATGTGAGGTTCCTGAAGCTGAAGCTGGTTGTTTGTTGTTTGTTGTTGTTGTTGTCGTTGTTGTTGTTTTGAGATGGGGTCTCGCTCTGTTGCCCAGGCTGGAGTGCAGTACTGCGATCTCAGCTCACTGCAACCTCCGCCTCCCGGGTTCCAGTGATTCTCCGATTCTCCTGCCTCAGCCTCCCGAGTAGCTGGCATTACAGGCATCCACCACCACCTCCGGCTAATTTTTGTACTTTCAGTAGAGTCGGGGTTTCGCCATGTTGGCCAGGCTGATCTCGAACTCCTGACCTCAGGTGATCCACCCACCTTGGCCTTTTGGTTTTTTTGAGACACAGTTTCATTCTGTCACCCAGGCTGGAGTGCAGTGGCTCAATCTCAGCTCACTGCAGCCTCCACTTCCCAGGTCCAAGCGATTTTTGTGCCTCAGCTTCCCCGAGTAGCTGGGATTACAGTCACGTGCCACCACACCTGGCTAATTTTTGTATTTTTAGTAGAGACAGGGTTTCGCCACATTGGCCAGGCAGATCTCGAACTCCTGACTTAGAGTGATCTGCCCACCTCAGCCTCCCAAAGTGTTGGGATTACAGGTGTGAGCCACCACTTCTGGCCCCGAAGTTGGTTTTTTGTTTTGTTTTGTTTTGTATTTGTTTTTTTCCAGACAGTCTTGCTCTGCCGCCCAGACTAGAGTTCAGTGGCATGATCTCAGCTCGCTGCAACCCGCCTCCTGAGTTCAAGCAACTCTCCTGCCTCAGTCTCCTGAGTAGCTGGGATTACAGGCGCCTGCTACCACGCCCGGCTATTTTTTGTATTTTTAGTAGAGACAGGGTTTCACCATGTTGGCCAGGCTGGTCTCGAACTCCTGACCTCGTGATCCACCCGCCTTGGCCTCCCAAAGTACTGGGATTACAGGCGTGAGCCACTGCGCCCAGCTGAAGCTGGTTGTTAAGAGTAAGTGGCTAGGGCTAACTTGTATGATTTTTATTGCTCTCCTTTTCACTGTGAAGGGCCAGGAAATGTCGATGTTGGAGCTGCAACATTGAACATGGTTCCTGACTTTGTGGAACTCATGGTCTAAGATGTGTTCTAGAGTGAGGTCCAAAAACTCTTGGGAGAATCCCATACTAGGGGCCAAAGTCCTGCTAGGGTGTGTTATGGAATAACAGCAACAAAATAATGTCAACAGCCAATGAGCACAGGATAACTACAACACACCATGATGTCATAACTTGGACAAAGGCTTGTGACCCCCTGACTTTGGCGCAACATGAAATGAGCAGAAAGTAAGGTATATTATGGAATAAGCCCCAAAACTTGAGAGAATCCCATGCTAAGGGCTTAAGCCCTGACCAAGACAAGCCAGACAGGACCATGAATGTGTGGCCATGTTATACTGAGCTCATCAGCACCTGCTGAGCTCCTGTGTCACCTCTAAAGCCATGCGCACAAGTTTTGCATTGAGATAATTGCTCTACTGGTTTCTAGATATAGTTGAATTCTCCACCCCCACTCCCACTGCCCTATGACCTCCAGCAAAACAAAAGCAGGTAGGTAGTAATTGTGTTGTGAGTTAACGATATCTATATCTTTGGATAATAAAATCTATATCATTTCAGTGGTAGCATTGGAATATCAGTTGCCCTTCCCCATGAAGAAAGCACATTGTTATCGTTTAAATCATTATCATAATCAAAAATATCAAAGACCCAGTCATTCATCAGTCTTTCCAGTGAAGTCAACTGCCTTTGTTTTTTGTTTGTTTATTTTTGAGACAGGGTCTCTCTCTCTGTCACCCAGGTTAGAGTGCAGTGGCGCGATCTGGCTCACTGCAACCTCCACCTCCCAGGCTCAAGCGATTCTCCCACCTCTGCCTCCTGAGTAGCTGGGAATACAGGTGCTCACCAACATGCCCGGCTAATTTTTGTGTTTTTAGTACAAACAAGGTTTCGCCTTGTTGGCCAGGCTGGTCTCGAACTCCTGGCCTCAAGCGAGCCCCCTGCCTCAGCCTCCCAAAGTGCTGGGATTACAGGCGTGGGCCACTACGCCCGGCCTGAAACCAATTGCCTTTGAATTCATCCTGGGGAATCTGCTGAAGTGGACAGTTTATGTAAACACAAAAACATCCTAATGAATGGCTGCCTCAGTAGGAGTGGCAGACAAAACACATGGTGCACTTTTCATCAAAAACACACAAGGAAAAAATTTTTCATCATATCTTTTGTAGTTGCTAATAAACTTAATTCACGCACTTGTGTTTTTTTGTGGGTTTTTTTTTTTGTACACTTCTTAGTACCACAAAGAGGAAGTGCTTTTTCTCCTTCCTTTAAGAAAAAGTTCCAGTTCAAACCATCAGCCTCTGTAGGTTGTCTTAATTGCTACTTTGCACTGCACTGGACTATGACTGATTTTTGGCACATGCTATCATACACAAAGTTCCTGAAATAAAATGCTCCAGGATATCCTAGGAACTCTTAGAAGGCTTTAAAAAGGGACTCACACACTGAAAGAATATCTTTGATGAAGACAATTCAGGCAAGCAGAATGATTCTTGCAACAGAATTACATGATTAATTGAGATCTTGAAGTGGGTCCGGTGAATCCTGGCCACCTAACTTATCATGATTTGGGGGAGTTTCACGAGAATCCAGTTTTGATAAAACAATTGTTTTTTTCCTCCCCAAGTGACTATACATTTAAATAGCTAAAACATCTGTTCAGCAACATAGTAAAACATATATACTCGGAACGCTTGAGAGAAGAGCCTGCCAAACAGGGACTTTGCTGAGGGAGAGCACCAAGATAAAGCAACACTGTTTGTTTTGTCTAGTCAGGGGGAAAGCCAAGGCAACCAATATTTTGGTTTTTATAATTTTCATTTGTGAAGAATTATTTGAGAAAGGGTGGCGAGGGGAGATTTCCTGACGGCAGTTTCTTAAGCTGTCCATTAGTAGAAGAGCAAGAAAGCCTTGGATGTCAACGCCTCGCTCTTGAGACCAGCCACCAAACCACGAAAAGTGACTTTCTTCTCGTGTGCTCTCTACGGCCCTTCTGATGGAAGCAGAAACAGGGAGCAGCGTGGAGACTGGAAAGAAGGCCAACAGAGGCACTCGAATTGCCCTGGTCGTGTTTGTCGGTGGCACCCTAGTTCTGGGCACGATCCTCTTTCTAGGTAAGTGGAGTGCAGGAGGCCGGGGGAACTGGGTGTGTGTCGAGAAGTTTCCTTGTGCTTTATTGTAGCAAAACTTGTCATAACACAGGTATAGGGCTGTTTGCCTGCGTTCATAGGTGGTGTATCTTTAGTTTCTATCAAATATGCAAATGATAAAGAAGGCTTTTTTAAGGAGCCTAAATAAATAAATACACCCAAGTACCAAATGTATAGTCCAGAAGGCAAAGTGGGTGTAAGTGGCTTCGAGTGGCTGGCTGATTCTGTTGCATTGGGTGGAAAATTTTTTATGTGGTACATTTAGCAAAATGAGTGTTTGTGAATTCATAGTCACATAGTTTCATTTATATTTTGAGGAAAGACTTTACATTGTGATGAAAACCATGCTGGAGTGTCTTTCCATTTGACTTTTATTAATGTTTGCTTGAACGAATCATGAAATTTAATTCACAAAACACAAATCAGTCCTTTAAAGTGTGCTTTTAATGATATTCTTCAATTCCTTTCTTATCCAGTGACTCTGGTGAGATGCAATTTGATTTACAAATTAATATGAAGGAAAACAGAGGTTTTCCCCCAAGATTTGAAAGATATTGTGATTCAGTTATTTTAATGACTGTTGGTGAGAATGATGTACCCAGAGAGTATATAGGATGATAGAAGTGTATTCCCATGAAAAAGAATCAAATATCTTGGAAAGGAGTGAGGGATTTTCTAAAATTCTAGGCTTTCTGAACCCTTGACTATTACCGTTTTAATTTTTCTCATACAACCCATAATACTTCATTAACTTGAACGTTACATAGGAACGAGGAGATTCTAGGTGCAGTTTGAAATGTAGCAAACCTGCAGGAGGCCATGTTTATTTTGGCAGGGGTAAACCAGTAATTAAACTTTAAAAGAGTTAGGGTTGTGTGGTTGAAAACTGCTAAAATGAGCAAACCATCTTTCCACGCTTTCTGTGGCTGAAGATTTAGGAAATTAGATGGGTTTATTGCTTTCTGATAAAGCGAAATCTCCTACTCCTGCAACTGAATCTGTGGCTCTTGAAAACTCTTGTAAGATTTCTCAGCACTTAGGGTTTAAACAAGGGTCCTCTGCTGAAATTCCAAACAAGAGGAAAAATTCTATGGGCATGCCAAAAGACTACAGGCTACGTGCAACGTGACTGCAAGGTTAGGTTTTGCAAATGCTCCCAAACTTAAAAATCCCAATAATTATTGTTTATGTAAAAATATGTACTCTTTTTAACGATATTACCACTGCACGAAACTTTTACAAAACTCTACTTTTATGATTACCTCCTGAGGCCGTGGCATATCGGTTGAAAGATTCTCCGCGGCAGCAAATCTTTGTTCTTTCAGAGAAAATTATTCTCAGGAAATAGTGCCGATGTTTTTAGAGCAAAGTAAAATTCATCAAGCCAGACGCTACTATTATGGATAAGGAGGCCTGCATAAAATATGAAAGAGAACTTTCCAGCGTGCCCAATAACCTGGCTCTCACCTTGACTCTCTAAGAGGAGCTCAAATGATGTTAGAGAATAAGGGCAAACTGAGGCTGTGGCCTCTACAACTTTGCTTCTCAAAATGGGGTCTGTGGACCAGCAGCATTAGCATCACTGGGGAGCTTGAGCTCCACCCCAGACCCGCTGATTCACAATCTGCATTTTCACAAGACCCCCAGGGGACTGTTTGCAAATGCAGGTTTGAGAAGCATTGCTTCAGGTGACCATATCTATTTGGATGTATACATTCAGGGACACTTCTTTTTGTCAAATATTTCTGCACTATTTTAGAATCACCCCCTTACCCCCTCTCCCCGTCCCTCTCCTCAACTCTGCCACCCACCTCCACTCTGCACCCAGGCAAAGTGCTTGTCTGAAAAGCTCCAGGGACCTGCCTGGCAATGCTCTTCATGACAATATTCTAGTTAGGGTCGTCGTCTCTTCAAGGGGCTTCCTGCTTGACTTTGTGGTATATTTCTCTGCCTGTCCACATTCACTTACATGCCTGCAATTTCTAGCATCCCTTCGTACCTCATCTTTGTATCTGAGGCTCTGGGATAATCTCTCCTCGCAACCTTAGTGCTTCTACAGTAAGAGTGATTGCCAGTGGTCTTGCAGTGGCTTCTGAGAAGCTACAGAGCACCAGAATGGAAAACCTTTCTTCTTCTCCTTCCCCTCTCTTTCCTCCCCACAATCTGTTTCTCAGATGCACTGGCTGGCAAACTTTTTCTGCCAAGAGCCAGATAGATAGTGAATATATTTGGCTCTGTGGGCCATACGGCCTCTTGCAACTACTCAATTCTGCTGTTGTTGCACAAAAGCATCCATAGACAATATGTACACAAATGGGCATGGCTGTGTGCCAAGAAAATCTGATTTCTAGACACTGAAATTGGAATGTTATATACTTTTCATATGTCATGAAATATTATTTTCCTTTTTATTTTTCCTGACCATGAAAAAAATGTAAAAGCCATTCATAGCTCATGGGCTGTACAGAAACAGGCAATGGATTTGACCTACAGGCCATAGTTTGCTGACCCCTGCTTTCTGGCCATTCTTATGCTCTTGATCTGTGGATGACTCCACTGCATCCTAAGGGCATTTCCTCTGGTTATAGAGAAATCTACAATGAGAAACCAAACTGCTATTTACATGTATTTTTTAAAGCTCCTAACCATTCAAAAGTAACATCTTAATTTTTATATTAAAAATATTTTCTTTATTGTCTCTATTTCATTCACTTACACCTTCACATTATCTGGGCTTATTGATCCTCATTTATTTGGAGAATTTTAAAATAACCCCATCCATGGAGATAATGCTCTTCCTTGAGGGGTTGGGTCTGTCAGTGTCCCAATTAATTAATTATACACACACACACACACACACACACACACACACGTACATATATATATATATATATATTTTTTTTTTTTTTTTTTTTTTTGAGACGGAGTCTCACTCTGTCACCCAGGCTGGAGTGCAGTGGTGCGATCTTGGCTCGCTACAACCTCCGCCTCCTGGGTTCAAGCAATTATCCTGCCTCAGCCTCCTGAGTAGCTGGGATTACAGGCGTGCACCACCACGCCCAGCTAAGATTTGTATTTTTAGTAGAGATGGGGTTTCACCATGTTGGCCAGGCTGGTCTCGAACTCCTGACCTCAGGTGATCCGCCCACCTCGGCCACCCAAAGTGCTGGGATTGCAGGCCTGAGCCACCGTGCCTGGCCTAATTAGTTATATTTAAAACCTTCCTTCTGCTCATCGTTAGATAAAGATACCTGATTTTACTTCTTCCTTTGAGGTTTTGGGTCAAGAATTATCTCTCATGAAAGGAATAAGTCTTTAACGATTTTATTAGCTATTTTGTTTTTTAAAATAAGGCTAGGATCAAGAAGGTATTGTCCAGAATTATAAAAATATTATTTACAATAAAGCTTATTTTTGCATTATATAAAAGAACACATGCTCACTAAAGAACATTAGGTCAACATATAAAAATTGACTGATGGGGAAAATTCCCCCTGAGGTTCTGCCACCCAGGCATATTGGAATATTGCACACTAATCTTTATGCTGCCCATATATATTTTTTTACATAACTTTTTTTTTTTTTTTGCTTTATACAGAAATCAAAACACACCTTTTTGCTAAGAAACTTATTTTCTTAAAAACAGGACTGAGATGGGCCAGGCGCAGTGGCTCACACCTGTAATCCCAGCACTTTGGGAGGTCGAGGCGGGCGGATCATGAGGTTAGGAGATCGAGACCATCCTGGCTAACACGGTGAAACCCCATCTCCACTAAAAAATACAAAAAAATTAGCCGGGCGTGGTGGCGGGTGCCTGTAGTCCCAGCTACTCGGGAGGCTGAGGCAGGAGAATGGCGTGAACCCGGGAGGCAGAGCTTGCAGTGAGCCAAGATCACCCCACTGCACTCCAGCCTGGGTGACAGAGTGAGACTCTTGTCTCGAAAAAAAAAAAAAAAATAGGACTGAGATGTTTCATCGGCAGTTTTCTTGAATCTCTAATGTAACACAATGCAATGCAAAGAGGCTGTTTGGAGGATGGCAGCAGAGAAAAAGAACAAAGGAAAAGCAGGCTCCATTTAGAGAGTGGGTTAATAAATAATAAAAACTCGCCACACTGGGTAGTAATCTACAGGTCTTCCATCTCTAGCAGAAATATAGGTACTGCCGAGCTTTCTGCCACAGAGGGCCTTGGTCCCCATTCACCTCCCACCATCCCTCTCCCCATGGCCACATCTCCAAATGATTCATTGTTTCTGCTCACAGAGCACAGCAAGAATGAATTCCCCAGAATTTCCTCAGCTACTACAAATACTTTTGAAATCTTAAACTAACATCTGCTAATGCCCAGGTGCTACCTGGGGTTGACAAATTGGGCACCCTTCTGTACTTCTGCAGACACCTATTTAGATAATGTTGCCAGGCAGATGGAGATATTAAGCCATTGGTGAAAAGCTATTTCAATTTTAGACTTTTTTTTTTTTGGAGTGGGGGAAGGGAGGAAATAGCTGGAAGCTTGGTCCACAAAGTTGCAAATGTCTGGTAGCTAAGCTGGGCCTGGTGGGCGGAGAGTTTGTGGGGTTCAGGGCAGGCGGACAATGACTGTTGCTATCAATAGGTGATTGAGATATGTTCAGTATATTCTTTACCCCTACCCCTTTTTTGGTCCGTATCTGTATGGATGGTTTAGATAAGATCCAGAACTCTAAAAGCCAAACATGCTAGCTTTCTATTTCCACTCTGATTGGCTCCAAATGACATAGTTTAAAAGTTTCAATTTTCCCATCTTGAACATGGGCATGGAGTTATAAACCAATAGAGTGAAAGTATGAGACTTAAACCACTGATAATTGGAGGCTGAAGCGACTTTAGAGAGTGTCTCGCCCAGTGGTGCTCATATTTGAGCATGTATCGGAATCACCTGGGGGGCTTGTTAAACCGCAGATGGCTGGGCCCCACCCCCAGGGTTTCTGAGTCAAGATCTTGGAGTGGCTTTCTAACAAGCTTCCAGGTGCAGCAGCAGCAGCTGCTGCTGCTCTAGAGACCACACTCTTAGGAGCTCTGGTCTAGTTATACTCACTTATCTTACGTACGAGAGAACTGAGTTTCAAAGCAACCAAGAGTCTTACCAAGGTTATTTAGCTAGCAGCTAGAGTCTGGTTTCGTGACATTGAACCAACTGGGTTTTGGAATACCGTGTCAACACTGAGAAGGATGAACTGATATCAAATATCTTGCGTATGTTTCCGAGGGTGGTTTACCGGATGGTGGTCTGCTACAACTCAGCCATTTATTGTGGTCTGTTTTTTCAGTGAGTCAAGGTCTCTTAAGTCTCCAAGCTAAACAGGAGTACTGCCTGAAGCCAGAATGCATCGAAGCGGGTAAGTCACAGTTTTCCATCCTGTGTCAAGTTATAATTATGGTACCTTGGGAAGTGGAAGAGAAGACAGGTGGTATTTTTAGTATTCTGTTTGCTTGAGGTTTACCAAGTACGAAATGCAATTTTGAAGAAATTTTAAGTTTATTTTCAAGTTTTGGTGTGAAACAGTGGAGCTTAGGTTTCCTGTTTTCTTTTTCCTTGCAAAAACTGTGGTATTCTAAGCGTTGTTACAAGGAAATCAGGAAGGGGCTTGGAAGGCTGAATGGCCTCTCTTAAGACCCACAGGCAGAGAACATTGGTCTTCCTATGGCTCCGCTGGCTATGAATTCCTCTTTACCTTAAGCAGTTGCCTATCTTCTGGTCTGTGGGTCTGACTTGCCTGCCTCTAAGCAAGGCTCCTTTGCAAATAAATCCACGCTTCCATTGTCAGTGGGAGTCCCTTTTCTCTTTTTTAAAAATTGAGACGGAGTCTTGCTCTGTCGCCCAGGCTGGCACGATCTCAGCTCACTGCATCCTCCACCTCCTGGGCTCAAGTGATTCTCCTGCCTCAGCCTCCCTAGTAGCTGGGATTACAAGTGCCCACCACCACGCCCGGCTGATTTTTGTATTTCTAGTAGAGACGGAGTTTCACCTTGTTGGCCACACTGATCTCGAACTCCTGACCTCAAGTGATCCACCCGCCTTGGCCTCCCAAAGTGCTGGGATTACAGGCAAGAGCCACTGTGCCCGGCTGGGAATCTCTTTTTTCTGTCACACGTTGCAAGTCAAACTTCTCTTGAGGTGACCAGGCTGTGTATCAGTGGATATCCCAGGGTGAAGATGAGTGTTTAAAGTGGCCGCAGTTTTGCCACAGTGTCTTATCCCATCAAACTCATGGCTGGAGTTGCCCCAAAAGCAGCAACAGGGAAATTCCCATGAGGGAATATCCCATCCCGAGATGGGGCCAGTTGGGATTCCAAAGAAAGAAGCACTAAATAAATGCCAGGGCGGCCGGTCAGTCCAAAGCATTTATTAGTGCAACTTATGTTGAAAGTGCTGCAGTGTATCCTCAAGACAGTGAGAGAAAAGGGGTGTTCTACTTAGGGCATTAGGGTGTGGAGACTATATGCGGGTTTAAGGAATTTGGCTCAGAGCCGGTACTAGTTTCTTTCAGTGTTTTGTGCATCAACCTAGATACCTTTATCAGTGCCTGGGAATGTTCAAGGGTCCAGTCTGGACCTAAGCCTGCTGGGAAAAACCAGCAGCTGGAATTAGCCGGGCATGGTGGCTCATGCCTGTAATCTCAGTTACTCGGGAGGCTGAGGCATGAGAATTGCTTGAGCCCAGGAGGCGGAGGCTGCAGTGAGCTGAGATTGCACCATTGCACTCCAGCCTCGGTGACAGAGGGAACTTCTGTCTCAAAAAAAACAAAACAAAACAAACCTGCAGGTGGCTGGGTCACAGAGTGGTCAGGGGATTGTGTAATTTTTGGTTAGGACACCGAAAGCGGCGGTGGGGAGGTGAGGGGAAACCTGGGGGTCCCACACACAGCTATTAGATTTCCCTCCTAAATCAGTGTTAGGGCCTAGATTTCAGGGAGCCAGATTCTAGCCCTCACCCTCATTCTTTAAGTGGGCAGGGACACTTTTTTCCTTTTTCCAAAAGGAAAGTCATCAAACAAGCATGTGGCCCTTTCACTTTCCTCTTGGCCTTAAAAGGTTAATGAACAAATTCACCAAATATTTGTTGCACATGAGGTACTGAGTTAGGTTTTGGAAATAGAGCAGTGAACCAGGTATGGGAAGAAAGACAATAAGGCAATTAATACAATGAGAAAATTATGAAACTGGGTGTGGTGACACGTGCCTTTAGTTCCAGCCACATGGGAGGCTGAGGCTTGAGCCCTGGAGTTGGAGGCCAGCCTGGGCAAATTAGTGAGACCCCATCTCTGAAAGAAAGAAAGAGGAATATCAGTCAGTGGAAAATGTTATAGAGAAAATTAAAAAAAAGATAGAACAATGTGATAGCAAGTGACAGGATGGCTAGATTGAAAAGCCGGAGGACATGACCTTGGAGGTGACCTTTGAATGATGAGGAGGGAACTGCTGTGTGAAGACTGAGGCAAGGGCTTTCCAGGTGGGGGGAACAGATGGGGCAAAGGGTGCATAGAAGCATGAACTTGGTGGACTTGAGGAACGGGAGGAGCTTGCTAGGTGAGGTGCAAGTGATGAGGAGTCAATGGGGGACCCAAGTGCCAGTGAGTTTGGGCTTTCCTTAAGTGTGCTCGAAAGCCTCTGGAGGCTTTTATGAAAGAGAATACATCTTAGGAGCATTTCAAAAGATGTCTCGGTGGAGGGCTCAGTTAGAGGGAGTCTTTCTTGATGGAGAAGAGACCATAGGGAGCAAGAATAGAAGAAGGTGACTCAAGTAGGTTTATTTCTGTACGCCAGGTGACAGACGATGCTGTCTTGAATTCAAGAGATGGAGAGGGAGAATGGGGGAAGGTTTAGGAGGTAGAGGGCCTATTGAAGGATTCGATGCAGGCTGTGAACAAAAGCAGACAATTGTGGGTGACGCTTAGATTTTTGGTGATGGTTGGGCAGTGGTGTTTATTGAGATGGGAAACACTTAGGTGAAAGAGCTTGTAAATTCGGAGACCTTATACAAAGGTAGTGGCTTAGATAATTATGTTAGTAGAGTTCTTTTTTTGTTCCATTCTTAAGTGATCTCTCTCTCTCTCTCTCTCTCTCTATATATATATATATATATATATATATATATATATATTTTAACCAGGCTGTGTGTTGAGTGCCTTACAGGCACCATCTCATAAAACCTTCATAAGACCCCTATGAAGTCAGTGCTATCACCAGCCTCACTGACAGATGAGGAAATGGAGGCTTCTGGAGGCTAAATAACTGCCCAGGGTCTCATCCTGAGTTAGTAGCAGAGCTGGACTTCGTGTCCATGTCTGGCTCCTTTCCGTCTTTTCCTTGGTGATATGGGGCCATGCCAGGCAACTCTTTTTGGCCCTGGAACTATCTGAGAACTCCCAGGCCCTTTCCTGCTCCAGGCTTGAGTAGTTGACCTGAGGTTTTCTCCAGTGGTGAGAGATTGTCATGGAGTGGGGTGAGAGAGCAGGCGGAACTATCAGGACAGGTTTTAGAGTTTATGTCACCTGGTGCTTTGGCTGTGGTGGGGTTCTTGCAGATGTGTGAAATGGGAATTTTTGAGCTCATAAATTTTCAACTTGAGTTTAGAACACTTTTTTGTATGGAAGGCCACTTATTTCATGAGTTTTAGTTCTGTATTATGAATCATAATAATGCAAGACTAAAACTTACAGACTGACATTCAAAGATGTTGCCTTCTGCCAGCTAGTGTGTTCTGCCTTGCTGTCCTGTTTTTAATTTTCACATTGGCGAATGGCTTTCTAATGTTGAAAAAAAATATTGATTTTGCTGTTTCTGGAGTGAAAGGCTCACCAAAGACCCAGTTCTCTTTAGTGTAACGTGAGCCTCAGTGTGCCCAGGGGTCTGCAGAACAGCTGTGAGTACACATGGCAGGAGAATTACGGCCAAGCCAGGGCCTTAAACAAGAGGCTGTGCGTGCGTGGGCGTGCATGCTGAAAGTTCAGAAGACTAGAGTGTTTGATCGCCTTCTGGACCATTTCTGAGCAGGTGCCAACCACTTCTGAGATGCTTCCTCTCCATAACTCTCCTCTTCTCTGTGTCCTCTTATTTTAATCCCTCTTTCAAAATAAGAGCTGTGCAAAGAATGCAAAGAAACAAGGAAAGGGCATGCATGCTCATGATCACAGATAAGGGCAGACAGGCTGACTGGGTTTGAAGCATGATTTAGCTATTTACAAGCCACATGATCCTGGGCTAAATATATAGCCACGCTAAGCCTCAGTCTCACCAAGTGTGAAATGGGAATAACAGGTTTTACTTATACTAGTCGTGAGAATAAAAGAAAATAATAATGGACTGGGCACGGTGGCTCTCGCCTGCCACCCCAGCACTTTGGGACGCTGAGGCGGACAGATCACTTCAGGCCAGGAGTTCAAGACCAGTCTGGCCAACATGGTGAAACTCCATGTCTACTAAAAATACAAAAATTAGCCAGGCGTGGTGGCGCAAGTCTGTAATCCCAGCTACCTGGGAGGCCGAGGCAGGACAATCACTTGAACCTGGGAGGTGGAGGTTGCAGTGAGCCGAGATTGCAGGTTGAATCTGCACTTCAACCCCAAGGGGGAGGTTGCAGTTCAGCCTGGGCAACATAGTGAGACTCCGCCTCAAAAAAAAAAAATTAGAAAAAGAAAATAATAATGGTAGTAGCAGTAATTTAGGTTCACAATGCTGATTCTTAACCCCAAACCCAGAAAACGATGTAACTCTCAGTTGGCAAGATGGGGGCCTGATCTCAATTCCTTTGATGGCAAAATTGGATCTTAACTCATGTGAGGCTGCTTCAGATTTCATTTATCCTACTTACAAGAATATGCATATGTTTCCCTATAGAAACATTAATGCACTTGCTTCAGGCCTGCCACTCCAGCCATTGCTGAAGTATTACATGATCTGTGGTTATATGCAATGTATTTATTTTCTAAAATCTGAAAAATCTATGAGCTCTGAAACATATCTAACCTCAAGAGTTTCAGATAAGTGATTGTGGAATTACAGTTCCCAGATTTAGCTAACTACATACATACGTACATACAGGATGCTTAGTGAAATTTGATTGCAGATACACAATGACTACTTTTTCTGGTGTATGTCTCATGGACTATTTGGTACCTACTTATTCTAAAAGGTGGTTGTTTATCAGAAATTCAGACTTCACTGGGCATCATGCATTTATATGGTAATGTGCCCAACACTATTCTAAGCACTTTACATATATTTAATTTGCATAATGATTCCATGGGGTGCTATTATTATCCCCATTTTCAGGTGAGGAAACTAAGACACAGGTTAAATCACCTGCCTAAGGTGTCTTAGCTGCTGCATGGTGTTTCTCTCATTCAAACACAAGTGGTCTGACTAGAGTTTGTGACGATACCATATTGCTAAAAAAGGGCTTAGCGTAGGTCCTGGCAAAAAGGAAATACTCAATATTGGTGATTTTATTATTGTTAATTATTATTATTACTACTCTCTCCCTTCATCCTTGATTAAATCTAAAAACAGAGGCTGGTATTTAGGGAGGATGCCTCCACCTCTACCACACAAACAGCAACTGGTGACTGTGTGACAATTAACCTTATATATAGTGACTTGGAAGAGTACACAGCCTGAGCTTTCACAGATTTCCTTCATCATCATATTTCTTTTATTAAAACAAGACTCTGGGTTTTCTCCATGGAGCTGAGTAGGGGGAAAGGCGTTTTGGTGTCTTGACAACTATGGTCCCTTGCAATTTGAAGTCACAGTTCCCCTGCAGAAAGTGCAGCCCTGTGCCCCGCTGTGAATTGTGAATGATGAATTGGGAGGCTGCAACTAGAGTTTTCTCACTCAGCAGGCTTCTTTCCAAATTCAATGTGAGTGATGTATTTCCCAACTTTTGTATCAGGGCCAAGGTCAGAGCTGACCTTGCAGTTTTTCTAGGTACCTGCAAGAATACTGGCGAGATGGAGAGGATACATTTGAGGGTTGGGGGCAGGGAAAGTTTGAGAAGGAGGCTGGAAAACAGTGTACTCATGTGGGTAAAAATGCGTGTGAGGGCTCCCCTGTGTGACTGTAAATGTTGTGTGGGACTGAGACGTGTGATCCATGTCTCTGAGGTGTCACATAGCAGATTCATTCTGTGGCTGCATACAGTAACTATAAATACCAACCAAAAGAAAGATTTTGTTATGTCCTAGCACATTTGCACATTAAATATTAATGATAAAATAGTAGCAGTAAGTGGCCGGGCACGGTGGCTCACGCCTGTAATCCCAGCACTTTGGGAGGCCAAGGTGGGTGGATCATGAGATCAGGAGATCGAGACCATCCTGGCTAATGTGGTGAAACCTGTCTCTACTAAAAATACAAAAAAAAATTAGCCGGGCGTGGTGGCGGGTGCCTGTAGTCCCAGCTACTTGGGAGGCAGAGGCAGCAGAATGGTGTGAACCTGGGAGGCAGAATTTGCAGTGAGCTGAGATCACGCCACTGCACTCCAGCCTGGGCGACAGAGCAAGACTCTGTCTCAAAAAATAAATAAATAAATAAATAAATAATAAAAAATAAAAAAGTAGCAGTAATTAAAAATGTAATTAGAGACAACTGATGCTAGTTCTGAAGCACGAAAATGTTAAGCCAATTTGAAATTTATCAAACTTCTAAGTCTTTATTTTTATTTATTTTTTTATTTTTTTAAGAGACGGGGTTTTGCCATGTTGCCCAGGCTGGTCTCGAACTCCTAGGCTCAAGTGATCTGCCCACCTCAGACTCCCAAAATGCTGGGATTACAGGCATGAGCCACAGTGTTTGGCTTCTAAACCAATTTTTTGCTAGTGTTTTTTTTTTGTGTGTGTGTGTGTGTTGTTGGGGGAGGTTTGAAAATGGTGGGGATTTTGAGGCCCTATAGAAATTAGAATGTTTTTATATTATTCACTTCATTGAAGACAAAAGGCTGTTTGAAATTTTTGTAGAAAGTCTAGGCTGGAGAAATATCTAGCCTTATTTTTAAACCTGGAGGAACCACACATGTAACCAAACTGTAAGATATGTATCTAAATTGACACAGATTGTACTTTTTTGGGGCAGTTCATTCATATTTAGCTGAAATCTCTTTGGGTTTTCATTACTTCAAACAAAAATATATTCTGGCATTATTTAAAGTATGAAAATTGCCCAGAATGTCATCTTTTCAATGTCATTAAAATATTGTCTGGTTTTTTAAAAAAATCAATTGGTACATAACTTTGTGCTAGAATGGTAGCCAGCAATTGCATGGCAGCTGGAAGAGCATTGGAGTTCAATATTGGGAATTCTCATTTTGTAATGAAGGGTTTTCTTTTAAAGTTCATGGTTACATATTTATGCACACATCTCCTACCTGTGGGTTATCTTCTATATGTAATTGTGTATGGGCTTATGAAAGAGGAAAAAAATGGTAGATCAGTCTATTGTGTCTTTCTGTTAACTTATACACATACTCAGTTCTACTGCTAGACCTGGGTCCCTCATTTAGAACACCCTACTTTGGCCCTCCTCTGGCCATGCCTCTCCTTCAGCCAAGGCGTCTGTGGAGCCAAGTAGGCAGCCCTCTCCTTCTACACCCCAGAATTCCCTGCCTGATGGCCCCAAGCTCCCTTCCAGGATCTCTGTGAGTCTCTTCTGGGGCTTCATTTCTCTGAGAGTTACACTGAATATCAAGGAGCTCAAGAATTTGAAAGTATTTTGTAAATATAACTTTTAAATATTTAGATAGATGACATATGAACTTCTGTTTCCATTAGCCTTCACTGTGAGGCAAACCACCCAAACCATAGAGGCCTGGAACAAAAATGATTGGATATTTCTCATGATTTTGTGGATTTGGTGGATGGTTTCTCTGCCGATTTTTGCCTAGGCTCATTTGTGCCACTGCATTCAGCTAGATGGGCGCCTGGACTGGAAGGCGAATGATGGCCTCAGTCAATGCCTGGCAGTTGTGCTGGCTTGGTTCTTCTCTATGTGTCCTCTTGTCCTCCAGGAGGCTGCTTCAAAGGGCAGCTAAAGGGCTCCATTCAAAGGGAGTTAATATGGAAGGTGCAAGGCCTCTTAAGGCTTAGCTTTGAAACTCACAGAAAGTTACTTCTGCCAATTCTGTTGGTCAAAGCAAGTGACAAGGTCAGTCCAAATTCCAGGCAGGGGAAATAGACTCTACCACTTGATGGGAAGAGCAGCAAGGTCACTTTGCAGAAGGACAAGCAGGATAGAAGAAATAGTCACAGTTATCTTTGCAAACAATTGACCACACGCTCTATTTGTATTCTTGTCCCATACCCCACAGATGTTAGGGATGGCCCTGCAAAAACCAGTGATGATAATACCACCAAACTTTTATCCATTCCCTTTTTTTTTTTTTTTTTTTTTGAGAGACAGGTTCACTCTGTCACCCCAGGCTGGACTGCAGTGGTGCGATCTCAGCTCACTGCAACCTCTGCCTCCTAGGTTTAAGTAATTCTCCTGCCTCAGCCTCTGAGTAGCTGGGATTACAGGCATGCATCACCATATCTGGCTAATTTTTGTATTTTTAGTAGAGATGGGTTTTCACCATGTTGGCCAGACTGGTCTCAAACTCCTGACCTGAGGTGGTCCACCTGCCTCGGCCTCCTAAAGTGCTGGGATTACAGGCATGAGCCCTTGCACCCGGCCTATCCATTCACTTTGAATGTAGTCATTTCATATAGTGAGGTAGATTCAGAGAGTTTATTTAAGGGGAAATATAAATGCCAAGGCTTGGAAACTGGTTGATATGGAATTGTTGTTTAATTTGGAAAAGAACAGTATACAACATTCAGTGCTTGTCATTAATCCTATGATTTTCTTTCTAAATAGCTGCTGCCATCTTAAGTAAAGTAAATCTGTCTGTGGATCCTTGTGATAATTTCTTCCGGTTCGCTTGTGATGGCTGGATAAGCAATAATCCAATTCCCGAAGATATGCCAAGCTATGGGGTTTATCCTTGGCTGAGACATAATGTTGACCTCAAGTTGAAGGGTAAGTTTCTACTGGGGTTTGGTGATACACTTTATAGAGAGCAATATTTGACAGGAAAAACATAGTTTGGGATTTGAAGCATGACTTCTCACTTTTTAACTACCATGCTAAATTCATTTCCAAGAATTTTTAAAATGAAAGATTGAAAGGAAAGTTTGCAGAATTCTGGACTCCCAGATCTCAACATAAGACTAATGTAGGTTGTTATGTTCATGTTTGGTAATAGTAAATTCTACTGCCAAAGGATAAAGAGCATTTGATTGAGATTGGAAGCAAAGGAATAGTTAATGAAAATTATATCAATATACTCATTTGTTGTATTCAGAGTAAACTTCATTTCTTGCTCATTGTGTCCTGGATTTTCATGGCTTACAAAATGTACTTAACACCTCATCATCTTTTGACATCACTTTTGAGAACTCTGGATGACCTTGTGGTTGTCATATTGTTCTTGTTAACTTCTAAGTTGGCTCTAGGGAGATTCACTTTTCTCCCATGGCCACTCTAGCAATGACAAGCTCACACACACATACTCACACGTGGATGCATAGAAACATACATATGTTCTCAAATACATTCCCCTGCCCCCCGCCAAAGTTGGAAATGTCTGTTATTGGAGGATATTCTGTTAGCATTGGATCTAATTTTTATGCTAAGCTATTGGAGAAGGCCACCTCAGGAGGGAAGTAGGAAGATTTCAAAGCCAGATAAGGTAATTATTTTGAGAAGGCAAAAATAGTATGGTTTTTTTTTTTGGCTCTTTTTGACAACTGTGAGTTACACCATGTAACTTGCATTCAGTAACACCTACAAAGAACTCCTGAGAAATTATAAAAATCATTTTCCCTTCCCATTTACATTTTCCCAAGATTTTAAATACATGAAAATTAAATATGTATCATTTTACAATAAGTAAAACTCTTGGCAAAATAAATAATTAGATACCTATTGTCAATTGTAAGGAAAAATGTACTTAAATTTCACAACTAGATATAAATCACATGGACTTATATTTTCTATTAGGAGACCCAAATTTAGTCTTGGAAAATTATAAATGGGAATTTACAAGGATGTCAGGGTTTTCTCCTAACCCAAAAGGAAAATTCTCATACTATAAAATCATAAATAAGACCTTGAGGAGTGAGTTTACTAATACTTTTTTCCCTGTAGAACATTAATTCATGTTGGTCTTTGATTTACCATTCTTGTCCATTTCCTATTTCCCTTCTCTGGCTTTTCTTAATAGACAGATGTGTACACACACA
This sequence comes from Homo sapiens, assembly GCF_000001405.40. NCBI lineage: Eukaryota > Metazoa > Chordata > Mammalia > Primates > Hominidae > Homo > Homo sapiens. Next base: position 22,048,477 of record NC_000023.11, read on the forward strand.
TGTGCACACACACACACACGCGCGCACAGTCATGCATACAGAAACATTACTGAAAGATAAGAAAACTACAAGATTTCCAGGCATATGCTCCTTTTGCATTTGTTATAACCCAAAGATTTCTATATTCAGGACATGAAGTGGTTAACGATAACTTAAATAACTTTCCAGGGGTGTCTGGAATTTTAACATAAAAGTTAAAATCAGTGTCAATATGCTTTGTTTGAGGAGGGTACTGTCTACAGGCTCCTTCAAAATCAATAGAAATGCAAGTAAATTGTTAAGCACAGGGTTTTTGTATTTGCTAGCTTCCTTTTAAAAATCAAAAATTTTATTTCTCAGCTCCATTGAAGAAATAAAAAAAGAGCAAAAATTAGAAGAAAGGTCGCTCATAAATCCGTCACAAGAAATAACTGCTAATAAAGCAACTGGGGATATTTCTTTCCAGGTTTTGTTGCATGTGTGTGTCCATATGCATAACTTCATATGCACACCTATATATTGTAAAAATTAGCTGATATTATACATACTACTCTAACTTAATTTTTAAAATTAGTTGGTATTATACATACTACTCTGTAACTTAAAACTATGCATTCCTCATAGACATAGATTATGTCAGTAGATAACTTTTCTTTTCTTTCCTTTTCTCTTTTCTTTTCTTTCCTCTTGTCACCCAGGCTGGAGTGCAATGGCACGATCTCGGCTCACTGCAACCTCCGCCTCCTGGGTTCAAACGAGCGATTCTCCTGCCTCAGCCTCCCGAGTAGCTGGGATTACAGGCACTTGCCACCACGCCTGGCTAATTTTTGTATTTTTTAGTAGAGATGGGGTTTCACCATGTTGGTCAGGCTAGTCTCGAACTCCTGACCTCAAGTGATTGGCCTGCCTCAGCCTCCCAAAGTGCTGGGGTTACAGGCATGAGCCACCGCGCCTGGCCAACTTTTCTTATTATAAATAACACTGTAATAAACATCCTTGTGTACACATCTTTATGTCCTTATCTAAATGTATCCTTAGGATAAATTTCCAGAAATGGAATTATTGGGTTGAAAGAGTACTCTAAATTTCATTTTTGATGCATATAGCCAAATTGCCTTTTAGAAAGTTTATTTCAGCTGGGTACGGTGGCTCATGCCTGTAATTCCAGCACTTTGGGAGGCCGAGGCAGGTGGATTATCTGAGGTCACGAGTTCAAGACCAGCCTAACATAGCGAAACCCCGGCTCTACTAAAAATAAAAAAATTAGCCAGGCATGGTGGCACCTGTAATCCCAGCTACTCAGAAGGCTGAGGCAGGTGAATCACTTGAACCAGGAGGGAGAGATTGCAGTGAGCCAAGATCATGCCATTGCACTCCAGCCGGGGCAACAAGAATGAAACTCTGTCTCAAAAAAAAAAAAAGTTTGTTTCTAGGTCTTTATATTTTTTTGATGTTTTAAAGGATAACTTTTTCCCATCAACTGCTTTCTGTGGTATAAAGTAGAAGTCATCAAACCATTGCCAGTAGGCAAAATCCAGTCCACTGCCTGGAAGTTTTATTGGAACACAGCCACATCCATTCGCTTATGCATTATTAATGGCTGCTTTTGCACTCCAATGGTACAGTCGAATAGTTGCAATGGAAACTGGATGGCCCAAAAAGCCTAAAATATTTACTCTTTGACCTTTATAGACAGTTTGCCAATCCCTGATGCCTAGTATAAAGTAAAGCTTTGAATGTATGTATTGGATTCAATTAGAACTGTCTTATTAGTTGATAGCTCCTTGGTAGCTTCTTTGAATTTCTTAGATAGTTAATAAAGTTAAGAAATACCAGAACAGGCTGAGCGTGGTGGCTAACACCTGTAATCCCAGCACTTTGGAAGAACAAGGCGGGTGGATCACCTTCAGGTCAGAATTTGAGACCAGCCTGGCCAACATGGTGAAACCTCGTCTCTACCAAAAATACAAAAAAAATTAGCCACGCATGGTGGAAATCCCAGCTCCTCAGGAGGCTGAGGCAGGAGAACTGCTTGAACCCAGGAGGCGGAGGTTGCAGTGAGCTGAGATTGCACCACTGCACTCCAGTCTGGGCGACAGAGTGAGACTTCATCTCAGGAAAAAAAAAAAAAAAAAAAACAGAACGGTGTTGAAATAATAGCAATGATAATGGGTGTAATTTTCTTATGCCTTGCTTGGGTGGTAATGCCTCCAGTATTTCCCCTGAAAACGTACACTTTTTTTGTTTGTTTGTTTTAGATAGTTATTCTTTTTTGTGTTCTGTTGTTCCTAGTTTGCAAAAAGCTGCTGCTCAAGAAAAATGCCTCTTTGCCATTTATCAAGAGACTCAGATGGAGTATCTCTTTTAACTTATCTTGATTTACCCATGCTGAACTAAACTTATAATTTTGAAATAAATCCTGCCTATTAATGGTTTGTATTTTTTAAGACATTACCAGAATTGAAGAAGCTAGCATTTTGTTTCACACATTTGTCTCTATATTTATGATTCATATTGGTTTGTGATTGTTTTGTGTGCTAGGTTTGTCGAATTCTGTTATTAAGATTGTGCTGGCCTTGTCAAACAAAGTGGGAGGCTTCCTATATGTGTTTCTATGCTCTGGGAAAGACATAATTCAATAAATCCCAAGTTACTCTATGACAAGCACTGTAAAGGCCAAATTCACAAACTGACATTAGGGTTCTTGCTTCATATGTCAAGAAGGAGAGCAAATGGTGGAAAAGGATCTCTTAAAATTAGTATTTTTTAACAAAAATAGGTAAAATATAAAATAGCTGGACGCAGTGGCTCTTGCCTGTAATCCCACCACTTTGGGAGGCTGAGGCAGGTGGATTGCTTGAGGTCAGGAGTTCAAGACCAGCCTGGCCAATGTGGCGAAACCCTGTTTTTCCTAAAAATACAAAAATCAGCTGGGTGTGGTGGCAGGTGCCTGTAATCCCAGCTACTTAGGAGGCTGAGGCAGGAGAATCGCTTGAACCCAAGAGGCGGAGGTTGCATTGAGCCAAGATGGTGCCAGTGCACTCCAGTCTGAGTGACAGAGTAAAATTCTATCTCAAAAAAAACAAAAAACAACCGCATAAAATATCTATTAGATTTAAAAACTTTTTATTTTGAGATAATTCAAACTTTGATAAGTTGAACAAATAGCACAAGGAACTTCTATGTACCCTTTACCCAGATTCCCTGATTATTACCATTTACTACATTTGTTCTATTATATATATACTTTCATTTTCCATCTGTAAATATATATATAGTGTATCATCCTCTACATATATACTTATATACTTTTATACACATGGGCAGATAGTATATGATAAAATAATATATCTATAAATGTAGAGATAAATATCGATATAAATACAGATACATAGATTTTTTTCTGAACTCTGCAAGTATGTTACAGATGATTAGATATTCTTAAAGTGTATAGAGGTTTTCAAATGTCAAATGTGCTAAAAATCTTATTTCTTTTCCTGAAACACTGAATCTTTAAATTCTATCTATATCTTTTAATATATTCTATATCTATCTATTTATGTGTCTGTCAGTCTAGCTACCTAGTCATCCAACTATCTATTCATTTATCATTCTATCCAGGTAATACAGGCTCATCGTAGACCAACCACAAATAAACAGCAAAAGAAGCATACTTCACCACCCAGCAATAACAACTTTTTAAATGCAAATATAGGTATAAAATTATACATATCTTCTAAGGGATCATATAATACATTCTATTTAATTAATTTATTTACTTATTTATTTATGACAGAGCCTTGCCCTGTTGCCCAGGCTGGAAGTGCAGTAGCACGATTTCAGCTCACTGCAACCTCTGCCTTTTGGGTTCAAGTGTTTCTCATGCCTCAGCCTCCCAAGTAGCTGGGATTACACGCATGCGCCACCATGGCCAGATCATTTTTATATTTTTAATAGAGACAGGGTTTCGCCATGTTTGCCAGGCTAGTCTCAAATTCCTGGTCACAGGTGATCCGCCTGCCTCAGCCTCCCCAAGTGCTGGGATTACAGGTGTGAGCTACCGTACTCAGCCGGATATACTATAATTTACTTAATCAATGCCTGTGTTATTTAGGTTATTTTTTATGTTTTCTTCATTGTAAGCCACTTGGAACATGAGTTTAGAAACATCAAGAGCTGGATTTGAATCCTGATTCCCTTTCATTTACCCTCTATATCACTTTGGGCCAATTACTGATCTCACCTAGTTCAGTTTTCTTATCTTTAAAATGGAGATAAGAATATACATATCAGAGTATGCAAAGGCATACAGAGTGGTGTAATAGACCTTGGACTCAAAGGGGGGAGGGTGGGAGAAGGGTGAGGAATAAAAGAACTACAGGTTGTGTACAAAATACACTACTTGGTGACAGGTACACTAAAATCTCAGACCTCACCATTATCCAGTTAACCTACATAACCAAAAACTACTTGTACCCTAAAAGCTATTGAAATAAAAAATATATATATTTTGAAAAAAGGGGAAAAAAAGGAATACCCATATCATAGGGATTTTGTGAAGATTAAAGGAGATGATTTATATAAATTACCCAGTCCAGTTCCTGGCACATAGCAGGCCTTCCGTAAATATTTGTCCTTTGTTCCTCGCTTTGTTTCAAAGATAGTTCTAAGATTCATGAAGTAATGTCTATCAAATGCTTTAAGTTTTATTCTGGTATTATCCTTTGTGTAAATATCATGTGCTTTCAAAAATATTGAATACTGTCAAGATATTTTTGCTCACTCTTGATAAAAAGAGAGAACATCCCAAAATAAAACCCAATACTACCAATCGAAAGAATACCATTTTCTTAAGGCTGATAGAAAACACACAGATACGGCTGTCCAATTTGTGAAATAAAATGGACTTGACAGACCTGGCTGATGAAAAATTGCCCTCTACTGAAGTGAGCAACCTGGCTTTGTGAATTTTTTTCTTTAAATGGCATATAAGACTCAGATTCCGACTTGGGAAATAAAATTACTTCCTATTCTCTCCAAGAAGTGAGATTTTTTAAAAAGCCGAATATAATCATATGTTTGTCTTAAGATCCACATTCTATAAACCCCCCAAATTTGTCTTCATGTGACCATGAAGAAGACACAGCATGCATTGCTTATGAATGAGCAGATGGAAATTTAGCAAATGAGCACTTATGAAACATGAGGCAATGAATGAGATAGAACACTTATGTCACACAGAAGACAGATGACTCAAGGTACGGCCAGATCATCTCTATTACGGAATAGCTATCTTTGCCAATATTTTGTGAAGAAATGCAATATATTATTTTCAAGCCCAGCTTCAGCAGAACAATAAGATGAAGTAGGGACTCTGCATTAATGAACAGAAAGAGATGATTGTGATTCATAGACCATTTATTTGTAAATACCTTCTGGCTGAGATTCAAATAGTTCTCGTAATTAAACACCACCCCCTCCCCAAATAATCTTTTTTTCTGTAAATGATCCTAGCCAAATCATCTTTTGCAGACAATGGAAATCTGAAAACTTCAGTTCCTATAAAGTCATTTAGTGATTAGGAAGTTCAGATTATTGAAAACAGTGAATTGTCATTTTCCTCATGTTGTATGTATAGTAGAGCTTTGACTTCATAAAGTTCTTAATTTTTTAAAATTATTTTATTATTATTTTTTGAGATGGAGTTTCACTCTTGTTGCCCAGGCTGGAGTACAGTGGCACCATCTCACCTCACTGCAACCTCCACTTCCCAGGTTCAGGTGATTCTCCTGCCTTGGCCTCCCTAGTAGCTGGGATTACAGGCGCCTGCCACCATGCCCAGCTAATTTTTGTATTTTTAGTAGAGACAGAGTTTCCTCATGTCGGCCAGGCTGGTCTTGAACTCTTGACCTCAGGTGATCCGCCCACCTCAGCCTCCCAAAGTGCTGGGATTACAGGTGTGAGCCACCGCACCCGGCCACTTCATGAAGTTCTTTGAAACAAGTAATATCAGACTAGCAAATGTGGGGATGCAGTGGGGAAGTGCTAAGGACCAAGCATCCATTGTGGTGGGCTTTTTATTACTAGTGAAAACTCAGCTTCTGTAATTTTGTGTGAGTCTCCTATGTAAACTGGGTGCACCCCTTCAGAGAAGATTCCCATTTTTCTCAGATCATGCTGGCTCTTTTTCACGTGGCCACATAGAAAGCAACAAATTGCCAAGTTACAAATATATCACCACAGTCCTATATGTGCAAAGGGGTGCTGCATGAAGATTTGGGCCTGTATTGAAGACTTTTGGAATGTGAGATTAAATAATTTTACTTGAAAAGTTTGTTGTTATTCATAGTTTTCCTGCTCTGATATACCGTTTGAGTATTGGTAGGTGTGCGTGCTGCATGGAGTGTGGGGAGAAGGTAAGAAGTTGTCAGATTAGGGCTGGGCGTGGTGACTCACACCTGTAGTCCCAGCACTTTGGGAAGCCGAGGCGGTTGGGTCACTTGAGATCAGGAGTTCAAGACCAGCCTGGCCAACATGGTGAAACCCCATCTCTACTAAAAACAGAAAAAATTAGCTGTGCATGGTGGCGGGCGCCTGTAATCCCAGCTACCTCAGAGGCTGAGGCAGGAGAATTGCATGAACCTGGGAGGCAGAGGTTGCAGTGAGCCAAGATAGCACCACTGCACTCCAGTCCGGGCAACAGAGAGAGACTCCAGCTCAAAAAAAAAAAAAAAAAAAAAAAAAAAAAAAAAAAAAAAAACAGACCTAGTGCTAGATATGAAATATTCCCAACACACAAAATAATGATAAATGTTTGAAGCAATGGATATCCCAATTACCCAGATTTGATCATTACACATTGTATTCTTGTATCAGATAATCACATGTACCACATAAATATGTAAACTATAATGTATCCATAATCATTGAAAATTGGAAAACTGGACAAATATAGAAATTTTTTTTTCTGAAGGCTCTGTGGAAGATGTGAATGTATCTCTAGGATATGTTCTCTTTCTAAATAGCTAAATGAACTAAAGAGGCCATCAGAGTGACTACTGTGTGTAAAAGCTTGTGTTTTGGTAGTTCTGACAGTCAGCCTGTCAGGTTTTCTTTTTTTTTTTGAGGCGGAGTCTCGCTCTGTCACCCAGGCTAGAGTGCACTGGCACGATCTCGGCTCACCGCAACCTCTGCCTCCCGGGTTCAAGCAATTCTCCTGCCTCAGCTTCCTGAGTAGCTGGGATTATAGGCATGTGCCACATGCCCAGCTAATTTTTGTATTTTTAGTAGAGACGGTGTTTTGCCGTGTTGGCCAGGCTGGTCTTAAACTCCGATCTCAGTTGATCCACCTGCCTCTGCCTCCCAAAGTGCTGGGATTACAGGTGTGAGCCACCGCTCCCAGACAGGTTTTCTTCTTATGTGTGCTTTTCCACCCTCAGTGCATGTCCTTGTCTTACTTTTTGACTCTTGTCTGCTCTAAGCCTTCCATTTTAAGATCTGATCTCTTCCCCTATTGCTTTAATGTAGCTCCTCTGTCATTAGCGGTTTCTACTACAAATAAGTTGGGTATGCTTGGTAAGAACCAGCTCTGTTCATTCCATTCATTCTAAGTTGTATGATATTCAGCTGGCGGGAAGTTCACCACTTCAAATAGATTGAAATGCACAACATTTTGATTGTACTACTCTGTGAAAATAGTCTTATTTACCAAGCATTTACTTTTATTCCTGGCACTAATTGCTTTCAATCGTAAGTAACAGACAGCCCAACTCAAACTGGCTTAAACAATAAAATATGCTGATTCATGTAACCAAAAAGCCTAGTAATTATGTAGACTTCAGGTAAGGGCTGATCCAGCAACTGAACCATGTCATTAAGGATCACATTTTTTTTTTCTTTCTCTCTCTACTCTGACATCCACCATGTCGTATTTCCTTCTAAGTCTGTTTGGTCATGAGATTGTTGCTAATAACCAGAATTTATACTTCCTCATTCATATCTAGCAAGAGGCATTGTGTTAGACACAAGGGATACAGAAGTACAAAGATTAATAAGGTCCCCTAGGCTGGGCGGGGTGGCTCATGCCTGTAATGCTAGCACTTTGGGAGCCTGAGGTGGGTGGATCACCTGAGGTCAGGAGCTCAAGACCAGCCTGGACAATATGGTGAAACCCTGTCTCTACTAAAAATACAAAAGTTAGTCTGGCGTGGTGGCGGGAGCCTGTAATCCCAGCTACTGGGAGGTTGCAGTGAGCCGAAATCGCTCCACTGCACTCCAGCCTGCGTGACAGAGCGAGACTCTGTCTCAAAATAATAATAATAATAATAATAATAATAATAATAATAATAATGTCCCCTAGACTATCCTCATGGAAATTACAATCTGCATCTTATGAGTGTTCCCATAGGTATTGTAATCAATACTCTAGAACTGTCCTGCTCAGCATGGTAGCCGCTAGCCACTGTGGCTTTTGGGTACCTGAAAATATGGCTAGGTGGAATTGAGGTGTGATGTAAGTGTAAAATATACACCAAATTTTAAATACTTCATTTTAAAAAATGAAAGCACTCTCATTAATTGATAGTTTCATTTATAATCAGTAATTGCATGTAGAAATAATATTTTGAGTTATATTAAGGCAAATAGGATATACCATTAAACATCTCACCTGTTTCTTTTTACTTATTTAAATTTAGCTACAAGAAAATTAAAAATTACGTATGTGGTTTGGGTAATATTTCTACCAGACAGCATTGCTCTAGAGCCCTGAACAGGCTATTAGCAAGGTGAAATATCTGGGAATAACTCAAATGGATTTCAGTGCTAGAGAAAGCTCAGAGAACACCTTTATTTAAAATAGTCCTCTGGCTGGGTGCCGTGGCTCACGGCTGTAATCCTAGCACTTTGAGAGGTCAAGGTGGGCAGATCACTTGAAGCCAGGAGTTTGAGACCAGCCTGGCCAACAGAATAAAAAACAACAACAAAAATTAGCCAGACCTGGTGGCATGTATCTGTAGTCCCAGCTACTCAGGAGCTGAGGTGGGAGGATCACTTGAGCTGGGGAGGCCAAGGTTGCAGTGAGCCAAGACTGCACAACTGCACTTCATCCAGGGCAACAGAGCGAGACTCGATCTCAAAGAAAAAAAAAAGAAAGTCCCCTACCCAATCTCCAATCCCTTTGTATTTGTGTCCTTTGTGGTCCTTATAACCATCTGAAATGATGTCATTTGTGTACATGCTTGCTGTTCTTCTCACTTACACCCATCCCCGCTCCTGTAGATGTTAAACTCCATGAGAACCAGCCCCTTGTCCATTTTGGGTGTCACTGTGACCGCAGCACCAAGCATAGTGCCTGCCATAGGAGGTGCTCAGTAAATACTTCCTAAAGAAAGGAAGAAAAGAATGTGCCCTCTGTGGTTGGCTGAGTGCAGTTGTGGGGGCAGCTGACTGGGTAGGGAGGAGTGGCTTTTTCTTCTCCGTTTCACTCCATCTCCTCCTGTGCCCACAGTCCCAGAAGACTCTTGAGATGCAACTGGGGCTTGCCCCTGAAAGGAGGGGAAGCAAAATCATCAGTCATTTTCCATTTGTGTTCTGGGCCTCAGGAAGGCAGGACAGGGACGTGGGCAATGAGACAGGCCTGGGCCCTTCTAAGACTCCCTGTTGGTGGGATCTGATGCAAGTTACAGACAAGAAAAATAACTTGCAGGTGGTTCAAGTTTGGGTTCTGAGAAAAGAAAAAAAAAAAGGGATTCTGCCACTTATCAGCTGTGTGGCCATGGGCAAACTACTTCTTTCTGAGCCTCCGTTTCTTATCTGGTGATACTGTTGGACAAATCCAATGAGATGCGTAGAAAGTCTTCTACACATGGTTCAATAAATGGAATCCGTTGCTACTGTTAATTTCACAAGGATTAATGTTTTAAAAGCACTTGGCACATAGTAGATGCTTAAGAAATGTTCTGCAGCCAAATAAAAATAACTTAGAAGAAGACCTTGACATCACTATTAAAATAAAATATTGTGATCTAGTTTTTTTTCTCAAACTCCCCACATGCCTGTAAATAAGGAAGCTGGTTCTGAAAGAGGCAAGGCTGGAGATAAAAAACAGCAGATGAGGACATTTGTACGTATTCCCAACTTGCATTGCCAGACCTTGGTCATGACCCTAAACCCTGGACGGTTTTGATAATCTAATTGTCAGATAACACATTCATTGGAGGCCATGTGATTTTTAAATCACTCCCACAGGAAGAGAAAGAAGAGGAAAAGGGAATTGGTAAAAATAAGAATAACTATCCTCTTACGCCGCTCTAGAGCTTCTCTGGATGCCACTTAAAAAAATTCTACCAATTTCCCTTCTTTTTTCGGACATGGAGTCTCACTCTGTCGCCGAGGCTGGAGTGCAGCAGCACGATCTCGGCTCACTGCAACCTCTGCCTCCCCGATTCAAATGATTCTCCTGCCTCAGCCTCCCGAGTAGCTGGGATTACAGGCGCCTGCCACCACGCCTGGCTAATTTTTATATTTTTAGTAGAGACAGGGTTTCAACATGTTGGCCAGGCTGGTCTTGAACACCTGACCTCAGGTTTTCCACCTGCCTCGGCTTCCCAAAGTGTTGGGATTACAGGTGTGAGCCAGCGTGCACAGCCCTCATTTCCCTTTGTTCTCTCTTCTTTCTTATCCCTAGGGGATCCTTAACTTGAGTCCACAGTCTTCCCACAAGAGGGCTGTCAATACAATTCAGGTACTTGGATGGGAAAAAATTGCACCTTTGTTTTCACTAACCTCTCACAGAATTTTAGCATTTTCTTTAATTATGAATGTAGGCAACAAACCCTGGTACTATTAGCAGTGCCTGTGACTTTGTTACCAACAGCAATCATGATTATTTTTCTACCTTATTGCAGATGTTGCAGGTATCTTGAAATGTTATGTACACGTATCACTACTTCAAAATTATAGTAGTTGTCAGACTCAAAGTTAGGGCTTGGTATTTAATGAATTAATCAAATAGCACATATATATATTTCACACAGTAAAAAAAGTTGTGCTGTGTTTTGAAATACCTGTTTTTCTTTGTAAGCCTATGTTTCTTATTTTATGTACTTATAAACATTATTCTCAGAATGGTCCATAGGTTTCAACAGACTGCTCAAGAGATGTAGGCAGAAAAAACCATTAAGAACCCCAGTGTATGTAAGGATTGCTAGAGCAAGATTCAAGAAGGCAGTTTTATTTAGCTCCAGCCTCTTGATCCATCTTAATTCAGGTGCTTGGAGTGGCATTGACTATTACGTGGCCTCATGGGTCCACTCATGCCCAAATCTTTGAGTACTTCACTGTCTAGACTCCCGGGGTAATGAGCATGTTACTGACAGTTAATATGTGTTTATGAGGATATTAGATGAAACTGGAGTTTGTACCAGTACCAACCCTTGAACTGATTAAATGCAGTCTTTATGATTGTCTATGCCTTGGAACCTGTATATTTTCAGGTGAAATTACTAAGGCTTGCCATGTGCTTATCATGAAAGCAGGGCATTAAAGGTCAATTCTGGGCCTGGCAGTGTACATCTGTAGTCCCAGCTACTCAGGAAGTTGGAGAGGGAAGAATGCTTGAGCCCAGGAATTCAAGGCTGTAGTAAGCTAAGATTGTGCCACTGCACTCCAGCCTGGGTGAGAGAGCAAAGCCCTGTCTCAAAAAAAAAAAAAAAAAAGTCAATTCTTATTCGAAGTGATATAGCTTTTATGAACAGTGCAAATGATTGGAAATAGTAATACACCAAGTAGAGTGTTTATCCATAAGCAGATACTACATGGTGTACAACAGAGCTAGCTTGTTATTCAATGTTGAAGACAGGGGCTGTTGATTGAACTTAGAAGGGTGGGGAGTAAGGGAGTAGGGGAACTGCAAACCTGGAGGTGCTGGGAGCTAAGTCCTAAGGGTCAGATCCAATATATATAGCTTGGCTTTGTTGGAAGGAAGGAATGAACAGGGCCTTTGGTGAGAGATGACAGGAGATAAGAGATGTTGAAATCCATTGGTGAGATTTTTGACTTGCAGCAGGGAATGCTAAGGTTTCTGAGAAGTGGAGCAATAGCCTGCAAAATGCTATGCATGGGAATATTGGCTGAAAAAAATGAATGGGAAAGCAGACAAGGGGGCATTTTTGTAGCATAAATATTGCCACACATTATGAAAAGTTTCCTGTGAGTTAGCTTGAATGTTGTAGGAGGAAAGAAACATTTCACTTTAGAAGATTGTGGGCTAAATTTAGGTTCCTTTGACTAAATATAAGTTCCTCAGCATGACTAATAACACAGGATATGTGCATCCTGAGAAAGACGTATACACCCACAATGACACTTTTCCACCTGCCCACACCCAGGTCCTGTTTTACAAGGTTGGTATGTTTAAGTGTATTTTACTTTGCAGTTGTTCAGAAGGATTGCATATTTTTGAAAAACTACTTCCTGAAAGAGGATGACTGTTTGGAAAGGAAAGAAAAATCCTAGCTGGCTTTGGTGGTAACAGTTGGGAGGCATACCCACGTGAGCTTTGGTGGTAACAATTCCTGAAGCTTCTCCAAGGGTCCACGTGTTCCTGCTGTTGGTTGCCAGAAGCCAGAATAATAATGGAGCTGAGAATATGGGATTTTTGTGAGAAATTCCAGGGGCATTCAGATTTCACAGCAGAAGCAGATGACTCAGATGTCCTGCGCCTTAGAGAGATGCGTGAATCCCTTACCTTTACCATACTCTGAATTGGTCAACGGCAGAATGGAAGCCCTACAAAAATTGAAAAGTTGGTTGCATGCTAACATTCATAGTGGAACTGAGTTGAAAATTTTATCCTTGTATTTCCAGACTCTCTGATTAGATTGTTTTAGCTATGCTCTCACCCCCAATTCTGAGAACTTTTCAACTGTGACTGAGGTGTGGATGGGTCAAGCATCTTTACAATGTGACAAAATCCCCATTTCTCCTCTGATTTACTACTAATGGGGAGATAATTCATTACTGTGAAGTGAGCCTTTAATAGATTAAAAAAGTTGTAAGAATATGTCACATAGGGCAGGACCTAACAGGGCTGGGCACTTTATTGAGGTGACCTTATTTAATAATATCATTAGTTATCATTTATTGGACTCTGAACTGAGCTCCCAACACGGAAGATGTAAGATTTATCTGCATTTTACAGATGAGAAGACAGAGGCACCAAGCAGTATAACTAGCCCAAGGTCACACGGCTGATATGCAATGGAGCCAGGATTAGATTTGGGCCATTTGACCTTTACTGCCTGGTAAAAGCCCTGAAAACTAGGAAGGTGATATTATTCCTGTTTTACGATTGGGCAAACTGTGGCTTAGAGAGGTGTATTAGTCTGTTTTCACACTGCTATAAAGAAATACCTGTGACTGGGTAACTTGTAAAGGAAAGAGGTTTAATTGACTCACAGTTCTGCATGGCTAGGGAGGCCTCAGGAAACTGAAAATCATGGCGGAAGGGGAAGGAGGCATGTCTTACATGGCAGCAGGTGAGAGAGAGTGAGCAAGAGCAGGGCAAACTGCCTTATAAAACCATCAAATCTCTTGAGAACTCATTCACTATCACGAGAACAGCATGGGGGAAGAATGCCCCCATGATCTAATCACCTCCCATGACGTTCTTCCCTCAACACGTGGGGATTATGGGGATTACAATTTGAGAATTCTGCCACTGAACCACCCATGCGGGGATTAGAATTTGAGATGAGATTTGGGTGGAGACAGAGCCAAACCATAACAACAGGTTAAGTAATTTACCCATATTCACACAATTAGAGACCTATAAAGATACCTTCCAGAGTAGTATTGTCCGATAGAAATATAATGTGAGTCACAAATGCAAGTCACATGTGATTTTATGTTTTCTAGGAGCCACACTTTAAAAAGTAAACGTGTCAGCAGTTGGGATGATATATTTTATCTACCCCAATATATCCAAAATACTGTTATTTCTACATGTAATCAATGTAGAAAACTTACCCATGAGGCATTTTCTCTTTTTTCTTTCTTACTAAGTCTTTCAAATGTGGTGCATATCTTAAACTTGCAACCCTTCTCCATTTGGACCAGCCACATTGCAATACCCAGTAGCCTCGTGGGACTACTGAAAAGTACAATTCTAGAGTGGTGGTTCTCAACCCTTGCTGTGCAGTGGAATTACTAGGGAGCTTATAAAACACAGATGCCTGAGGCCCATTCTCAGAGATTCTCATGGAATTGATCTGGGGTGCTGCTTGGGTGTTAGGATTTTTGTTTGTTTGTTTGCTTGTTTTTTGAGACAGAGTCTTGCTCTGTTGCCCAGGCTGTAGTGCAGTGGTGTGATCTCGGCTCACTGCAACCTCTGCCTCCCAGGTTCAAGCGATTCTCGTCCCTCAACCTCCCGAGTAGCTGGGATTACAGGTGTGTGCCACCATGCCTGGCTAATTTTTGTATTTTTAGTAAAGACGGGGTTTCACCATGTTGGACAGGCTGGTCTCGAACCCCTGACCTCAAGTGATCCGCCTACCTTGGCCTCCTAAAGTGCTGGGATTACAGGCGTGAGCCACTGCACCTGGCTAGATGTGAGGATTTTTAACGACCTCCCTCCCGACCAGGCAGTGCCCAAACTAACTGAGTAGAAAACTGTAGCCTTTGTACATTAGAGAAGTTTCTGTGAGTTTTCTGAGATGAGAACCATTCAGAATGACTGCTCTGGCAGTATGCTTTGCTAGTTGACATTAATGAATGCCAAGCAATGCCCAACTAATTTATTAATTTCTCTCCATTTACATTTCCCAACATGTTGACCAAGTCTCCAGAATAATATAAGAAAAGAGATTTTCTTTCTCTTGCTGATTTACACATTGGTCTGGATACATACCAGTGAAAGTAAATTCAGACATAAAATTCTACTCTTTTAATTGAGGTCAAAGGTGTTGGTGTCAGCCTGGAATCTCTGAGCTGTGGAGAAGAGGAAGTTGGGGTTTGAAAGCTGCAGGTGGCTGCCAGAATGAGACAAGTCTAGTGGGGAATGCGTGGGAGGTGCTGGGTGAAGAAAGGAGGCAATTGTGTTTCGCCTGAGGTCTGAAGGCTGCATAGCCCGCTGTGTCTCAGGACGTTCACAAAGCTGCCCTCACCAGAAGCGTCGCGTCCACCTTCCCACTGGACCAAATTTTTGATTCTGCCCCTGAACCCTGGATATGAAACCCAATACTGAAGAATTAAAATGTCTCATCTCACCCGGAGGTTCAGTTGTCCTTAAAATGCTTTTGGATTCATTTGGAATAATTTCTATATTGGCTTCTTTCATTTAAATCCAAATATAGCTTCAGTATTTCTGACATATTTATTACTTTCCAGAATGGAAATACTAGTTCTTCTGAAGTGGTAGCTATTTAGTTATAGTCAATTTTGTTAGTTATGTTTATTTGACTTCAAATTAAGCCAGAGAATATGCAAACACTGCAGTGTCTTCCACAGCCTTACCAAAATGAATACCATATTTCATCAAATCAAAAATATTGTCAACTGTAAGATGCACCATTGTTTCACATGAGCTAAGAAAGAGTAAGCTATTACATGACGCTTTTTTATCACTTGGAATTTTATTTTGTGTTCATTGAAGTTCTTTTAGCCTGACTTAGACATAACTGTTTAAAAATATTTTAACTTTTATTATAGGTTTAGGGGTACCTATGCAGGTTTGTTACGTAGGTAAACTTGTGACTTGGGGGTTTGGTGTACAGATTATTTAGTCACTAGACACTAAGCATAGTACCTGATGTTTGTTTTTTTTCTGAACCTCTCCCCTCTTCCCACCCTCCACCCTCAAGTAGGCCCCAGTATCTGTTGTTCCCCTCTTTCTGTCCATGTGTTCTCTCATTATTTAGCTCGCATTTATAAGTGAGAGCATGCAGTATTTGGTTTTCTGTTCCTGCATTAGTTTGTTGAGAATAATGGCCTCCAGCTCCATCTATGTTCCTGCAAAGGATGATCTCATTCTTTTTTATGGCTGCATAGTATTCCGTGGTATGTGTACCACGTTTTCTTTATGTAGTTCCAGAAAGTTCTCAGGCGATGCCCATGCTGCTGGTTTGGGGACCACACATTCAATAGCTAGGCTTTAGTGTGTCTAAGGACATAGTATGTCACTGAAGAAATTCAGTACCTCTCCAGGGTACATGGATGTTTTAATTTTTCTTCCATTTGTATTATTATTTTGATGAAAATGTATATATTGCAAATTTGTTTGCCTTGCATTGGGTAAATGCAAAGGAAGAAAGCAGGAATTTTGTATGTCTGATCTTATGGTACAGGGAGAGAGATTTTTTTCCCCTTAATTTGTTTCATGAAAGATTTGTTCATTTCCTTTTCCTTTGCTTTCTTTATCCAACTTGGGAAACTTGAATTTATTAGGAAATCTGCATGTAATTGCAGATTAATAACCTACCCATTAATACCACATTAGTTCATCATGATTAATAGCATCTATGTGAATACTTAATGAATTTGTAATGATGGACTATTTGCTTTAAAGCGTCAAGAGAACATTCCATGTAAAAAGGCACTACCCGTAACAGGAAAATTAATTATATGCTGGTTGGATAATAGCTTGTCACAAAGAAGATATGTTTGTTTGGAAAGCCTCATTGGTATTGATATTTGCAGTGAGAGGTACTTTTTTTAAAACATTCATGAACCTTTTAATTTGTAAAATGAGAAGGAAATTTTATTTTCATGAACAGTTAAAATAGGTGTAGGGACTGATATTTATGAAAGAGAGCAGCACAAACACAAATATGTGCTAATATACTCATAAGTTTACCTATGTCACTAGGCAGAAAGACTTCCTATAGTGGCCATTTAGATTAAGTTCCGAATTGAACTGCTTCTACTACCCACTGGTCTATCCTAAATTCACAAGTTCACTTCTTTAAGGCTCAAGCATTTTTTTTTTCTTTTGAGACAGAGTCTTGCTCTTTCACCAGGCTGGAGTGCTGTGGCATGATCTCGGCTCACTGCAAGCTCCGACTCCCTGGTTCAAGCGATTCTCCTGCCTCAGCCTCCCAAGTAGCTGGGATTACAGGCATGTGCCACCACGCCCAGATAATTTTTGTATTTTTAGTAGAGATGGGGTTTCACTATGTTGGCCAGGATGGTCTTGAACTCCTGACCTCGTGATCCGCCTGCCTCGGCCTCCCAAATTGCTGGGATTACAGACGTGAGCCACCGCGCCCGGCCGGCCCAAGCATTTCTTGATACTCATTTTATTTCTTCAGAGAATCATTTGTTTTCTCTACTGTCTTCACTCTAATTCTGTGATGTCAGCAGTCATCATTGTTTATTTCTGTCTTTGCCCTATATCTGAGGAAGTGAAGGTCAAGAAGATTATGTGACTTGCCCAAACCAATCCAGCCATATAATTTGTTCGCCACAGATTATGGGTCTCTCATTTCAAATGTCTCCAGTTTTAACCCCGGCGGAAAGAGTTGCAAGCGCAGAGACTCTGTCCAGCTGGTGCCTTTGAGGAAACCCAAGAAGCCCAGTGTGATTGGAGCTCTGAGTTGGAAGGGAAGAGGCATAAATGATAAAACTGAGGAGAAAGGCGGGGGCCAGAGCATACAGGCTTTGTAGGCCGTGTAAAGATTTTAGACTCTATCCTAGGGCAATGGGAAGGCGTTTGTAAATGTCATGTTGAGGGATGTAATGAGCGATATGTTTTGCCAGAGCTTGCTGCTGTCTGTGGAGAGTGGCTTGGAGGAGGTAGCTGACAAATGGCGACCAATTCATGCTTTACAGGCCCCATCATGTTGATCTATTTTCTAGTCTGGTATCCAAACGAAGGTGGAGTTTGACTTCCTTGTTACAGAAAATACCAAGGCATGATTGTTTATCCTTTTCTCTATTTTCTCCTTAGGTCAACATGAAAGATCATTGCTTCTTCTTTGTTGCCCTTGATTTCTTTGAACTTAGGAAGGTATTTTGTCAAGCACCCCCACTCATGGGGCAAAATCTGCCAGGGAAGTCATGGCAGCTACTGGTGGGCATGGTAGTTAGTACTCGTTCTACCAGCACTTTTGCCCCTTTGGGTTCACTGCTTGTGCCAAAGGTGCTGTTGCTTCCCCCCTTTTGGGGGAGAGGATTCTGGATAGAGAAGGAAAGAAAGCCTTACCCCTAATCACTCACTGTCGGAAACCCAGTTCTGGAGGAGCAGTCTCCCTCGACCACACATTGTGGTTTGAACAGCCAGGAATAGAACCCCTCCTTCTCTCACCTCCTCATAGAAGGTGGGAGTGAAAACAGGGGTTAGTTGGGAAGTGGCTTTTTAAACCTATGTTTACAGTGTTTTGATGTCACTTTCATAGACGAGGGAGGAATTGTCTGAAGCTCAGATTTTTTAGGATTTCAGGGATGTGATGTTTATCTCTCTCTTCCTCTCTTGAGGATGTGGTATAAACTGGAATTGAAAATAGATACCCGGCTGGGCGTGGTGGCTCATGCATGTAATCCCAACACGTTGGGAGGTTGAGGTGGGTGGATTGCTTGAGCCCAGGAGTTCAAGACCAGCCTGGGCAGTATGGCGAAACCTCATCTCTACTAAAAATAAAAATTAACCAGGCACTGAGGCACATGCCTGTGGTCCCAGCTACTCAGAAGGCTAAGGCAGGAGAATTGCTTGAGCCCAAGAGGCGGAAGTTGCAGTGAGCCAAGATCGCGCCACTGCACTCCAGCCCAGGCAACAGAGTGAGGCCCTGTCTCGAAAAAAAAAAAAAGAAAGAAATACCCTGTATGGTATTCTTTCTTTCACTTTGAGAGTCTTTCTGGCATAGTGCTAATATTTTTTTCCACTCTTGAATCTGTGAATCAACCCTCACATCAAACCCCTATTGCATTTTATGTTTAAGAAGGGAACTTTTTAAAGCTGAGGTTGGCAGAACTGAGAAACTTAGACCTAAATGGGCCTATGCAAGGAGGGTGTTTCCAAAACAAAACAAAGTGTTTAGTGTCCTCCTTGAAGAATGTTGACACTGAGTTAAAATGGAGCTGCAGAGTGAGGAAATCAGTAAAGACAGGACAAAAGTTCCTTTTTTGATTTGAGGTAGGGTAGGAAAGGCAGAGGTGGGATTCTGGGCTGGTGATGTTTCCAGGGATTGCAGGCATCAAGAAAGACCGGTGAGTGCTGTTGGTTTAAAGTAGTTGTTCTCAAAGTGTATTCCCCCGATCTGCAGCATCAACATTACCTGGCAGTTTGTTAGTAATGCAAAATCCTGGGTCCCACCCCAGACCTACTGAATTAGACACTCAAGTTAAAACACAGCCATTTGTGTTTTAACAAGCTCCCATTTTTTTTTTTTTTTTAAATTTTTGAGACGGAGTTTCACTCTTGTTGCCTAGGCTGGAGTGCAATGGCACGGTCTTGGCTCACTGCAACCTCAACCTTCCAGGTTCAAGTGATTCTCCTGACTCAGCCTCCCGAGTAGCTAGGATTACAGGCATCCACCACCATGCCCAGCTAATTTTTTTTTTGTAATTTTAGTAGAGATGGGGTTTTACCATGTTGGCCAGGCTGGTCTCGAACTCCTGACCTCAGGTGATCCGCCTGCCTCTACCTCCCACAGTGCCGAGATTACAGGCGTGAGCCACCGCGCCTGGCCTAACAAGCTCTCTTTATTATTCCAATGTTCACTCAAGTTTAGAAACCACTGGCTTAGACTAGAGCAAAATGTGAGGTCAAGCCTTGAGGACCAGCCAACTTTGTTCTGTTCTAACCTCACCAGGCCTCCTACCTCTGGTTAGGTGCCCCAGGAGTCTGTGTCCCTGGTCAAAAATAGGGTGACAGGGCAAAGGGAGTAGATGGCTCATCACAAAGACATTGCACCACTGCAAAAAGAAGTTATGATGTAACCAGGGAAGGTCTTTCCTTCAGTTATGGTGGAGAGATCTGTCAGGGAATTCCATGAGGGCATAGCTGCCTCTCATTTAGCCACTGGGGGCCCATTCTCTCACAGGAAAGCAACTTGCAGAATTTTTCTGGGTATCTGATGTTTGAATTAACAGGAGTCAGAGACCTGAGTCCAAATCCTAGCTCTAACCTTTACTAACTGAGTCTCCTTGGACAAGTTCTTATAGTTTTCTTGCCTGCACAATGGAGTTATGATATATGTTTCTTAGGATTGCTGGGCAGGTTAATTGAGGTTATGTATTAATACAATACATCTGGCACAGAGCAGGTGCTTAAAAAATGAACACTGTCGTTACTGGTCCTTGGATGTCTTAGGATTGTTCAGGAACGACCATTGCAGGGAGTATATAAACATACACGGCTTTTTCCTTGTAACGTTAAGATGGATAAAATAGGAGGCAGAGGCCAGGTGTGCTGGCTCACATCTGTAACCCCAGCACTTTGGGAGGCCGAGGCAGGCAGATCACTTGAGGTCAGGAGTTTGAGACCAGCCTGGCCAATGTGGTGAAACCCCGACTCTACTAAAAACATACAAAAAAATTAGCTGGGCGTGGTAGCACGTGCCTGTAATCCCAGCTATTCATGAGGGTGAGGCAAAGAATCGCTTGAACCCGGGAGGCAGAGGTTGCAGTGAGCTGAGATCATGCCACTGCACTCCAGCCTGGGTGACAGAGTGAGACTGTCTCAAATAGGAGGGAGAAAAAATATAAATAATTAGAGTTAGTAGTAAAAATGCTATACGAAAAAACTGAGGATAGATTTATTTTAAACCTCAAGTTTGGCACAGACCTTACATGGAATTATCTGCTAAGATACAAAATATCTAAATAGGAAAGCTATTTATATTGAGTTAAAACATAAGATTGGCAGATTCATTGTAATGCTATGCTATCAAAGAATAATGCTAAAATTGAAATTATTTTGAAGTATAACCTTGATAATAAGTATAATTCTTATAAATTCACTTATAAGTGAACATAATAAAAGAGTTATCTTCTGTTAGAGTTTTGTAGTATCTGGCAATTTTATATAATTAATTTCATTATGGACAAGGAGGTCTTTTGTGTTAACAGGGACATTTTTGTGTTATTTGGTAACCCATGATTTAGAATGATTTAGAGGATTTTAATCCCCTTAAAATCATCTCTGCACCTTTTTCTTAAGCTGATGCTAACCAACAATTATCATTTATAAGATCATAAAAAATGAACAGAGAAAATAATTCTGACAGCTTCTATCCCTATATTTAGGTGGGAGTTTTCTAGAGGAATGAGAAAGATCAGCTCCTATTGGCTTTTCAGTATGTCATACAGATTCAGTTAATCCCATGCTTGACTGGCCGTGAGGCTGAGGAACTGCCAAGCTGAGTGTCACACAATTCGTGTGAAAATATATGAGAGTTACGGGATCCACGGACCATGACTTAGTTAACTTGAATTTTATTTTTTAATGAGAATAACAATAAGCTTTGCAAGCTTATTTAGAGTCTGCAGCTTTAAGTGCATAAGGGTTTAATACCTTTAATACCCATGCAGTGTGAGTTAGAAAAATGAAAATTTTCAGTATAGTAAATAAACTGAGGAGCCTGGAAACCAAATTGAAATCTGTAGCCTAGAAAATCAACAAGAGCTAAAAATAGTAGGATTAGAGGCAGCATTCAACCATAGACCATCCAAAGGTAGTTTTTAAGTACCACCAAAGGAGAAAGCAGGCCATTCTATAATAAGTTTTAAAAAAAATCTAGGTCTAGAGAACATTCTGTTCATTATGTAGATGTGGAAGCTTAAAGTATAGATTTGGTTTTCCAGAGTTTTAATTTTTCATGTTCTTTTTTTCACCAGAATCAGAGGGCACTCCCTCTGATTTCCAAAAGAGAAATGTTACCACAATCTGCATGAAATTGAGAATTTACCTTGCTGACACTGACGTGAAGATTTTAGAATGCAGTTGCTGGCCAGGTGTAGTGGCTCATGCCTGTAATCCCAGCACTATGGGAGGCTGAGTTAGGAGGATCACTTGAGACTAGGAATTGAAGACCAGCCTGGGCAATATAGCGAGACCCCATCTCTACAAAAATAAAAATAAAACAATTAGCCACGGTGTGGTGGTGTGCACCTGTAGTCCTAGCTACTTGGGAGGCTGAGGTGAGAGGATGGCTTGGGCCCAGGAGGTTGAGGATTCAGTGAGCTGTGATTATGCCTCTGTTCTCCAGTCTGGGTGACAGCACAAGACCCTGTCTCTAAAAGTACCCATTAAGCAAATCAAGCAAGTGGCTCCAGGATTCACTGGTCTCTTAGCAAAGAGCCAGAGGCCCCCTTTCAGAATAGGCACATGGAAATATTGCAGGGTCAGGAGAAAGAACCCAAAGGAGGGTGTTTTTAAGTGTTCCTGTGCTCCTGAGCCACTTCATTCAAATGTCAGCTCAATCAAGGTTCTTGGTAGGTTTTTGCTCATAGGCCTAAAACTTTGCATGTGTGGAGTTTTTGAAAAATGTTTTAGGTGGATATGTCTTAGATATTGTAGAAACTTTAAATGATTGGCCTGAGCTGCAGATGGCTGTTATGAACTCTTGACTAAGCATGGTACTGTAAAATCCTCAAGGGCCTCATCCTTCCTTTGGAATTTCCTTTTTGTATTCTAGAGCACTCAATAAATGTCCTGTCTGAGCAGCAGAATTGAATTGAGTGAGGATTGATAGTCCTCTCTCAGCTTCCGAGCAGAACTAAGTATTTTTTTTCTCCCCAGTGTAGAAGAGCAGGGCATTGGGAATGGATGATAAAGCTGAGACAATTGATGAAAATAAAACTTAGGTACCCTTAAAACTGGCGTTCATGAAAACAGATGAATGAAGTCTTGGATTTCATTGTATGATATAGGGACTGAGATGTGAAAAAAAGAGATGGTGTTGTTAGTATGATCAGGGCATTGCTGATTGTAAAAAGAAATAATAAAAGTAGTCAGTCCAGCTTCTCATAGTTCTTTTTCAATTGGATGAAAGTCTCTCTCAGACTTTCCTTGTCAGGAATTCAACTCAGCGAACATTCACTAAGCACCAGCCATGCCAAGCTCTGGGTCCTGGGTGTTCAAAGATGAATGTGACCCAGCCCCTGCCCAAAAGAGTATTCAATCTAATGGAGCATAGCCATTGTTAATGCCAATGTTTTATACCAAAAGTATTTCTTGGTGATATTATTTGAGGCCCAATGACCAAAAATATCTTTATTATTAAAATTCTCACGTTTCATCCCCTTTGAGGCTAGGCTTGGGTTACAAAGGCATGGTTGTCCACACCATGGTCAAAAACAAATTTTAGATGGACTGTAGATCTAAATGTGAAACAATAAAGATTTTAGAAGAAAATGTAAACTGTCACCGGGCGCGGTGGCTCATGCCTGTAATCCCAGCACTTTGGGAGGCCGAGGCGGGTGGATCACCTGAGGTCAGGAGTTCGAGATCAGCCTGACCAACATGGTGAAACCCCGTCTCTACTAAAAATACAGGCTGGGCGCGGTGGCTCATGCCTGTAATCCCAGCACTTTGGGAGGCTGAGGCGGGTGGATCACCTGAAGTCAGGAGTTCGAGACCAGCCTGGCTAACATGGTGAAACCCCACCTCTACTAATAATACAAAAAGTTAGCTGGGCATGGTGGCGCATGCCTGTAGTCTCAGCTACTTGTGAGGATGAGTCAGGAGAATCGCTTGAACCTGGGAGGCGGAGGTTGCAGTGAGCTGAGATCCTGCCACTGCACTCCAGCCTGGCGACAGAGCGAGACTCCATCTCAAAACAAACAAACACACAAAAACAAAAAACAAAAAATAGCTGGGCATGGTGACATGTGTCTGTAATCCCAGCTACTTGAGAGGCTGAGGTAGGAGAATCGCGTGAACCTGGGAGGTGGAGATTGCCGTGAGCCGAGATCAAGCCACTGCACTCCAGCCTGGGCGGTAGAGCAAGACTCCATCTCAAAAAAAAAGAAAAATAAAATAAAATGTAGACTATCTTCATGAGTTTGGGATAGGCAGAGATTTCTTGAACGGGACACTAAATATGGTAACCATGGAGGAGAAAAATGGAGAAGCTGAACTAAAATAATTTCAGTTTATTACAAGATACCATTAAAAATGAAGTCTATGTAATGGGATATTTTATAATATATTCAAAAAGGACTCGTACGTAGAATATAGAAAGCACTTCTACAAATCAATAACAAAAAGGTAGATTGCTCTATAAATATGTGATATAGACTTGAATAAGTATTTTACCATAGAGGATGTTAATTTTCTTGCTTGGGGTTAGTGATTGGAAGGGAGCACAAGGGGCTTTTGGGGTTCCAGTAATAATGCTGGTTACTTGAGCGTGTTAACTTTGTGAACATTCTTCACATTATGATCTGTGTACTTTTCTGTATGTTGTATTATTTGTGTACTTTTCTGTACTTTCATTGGAAAAATTTACATAAAAAAAGAAAATGCTTTGCTGTCCAGGATGAAGAATGTGAGCAGAATATTTTTGGAGGTTAACACTGATTGCAAAATATGTCTTCCCATTTAGAATTGCCTCTACTATAGAAGCAGAGGAAATGTTGAGAGCATGGGGCTTTGCAAGGTGGCTATAGCAGGTGCAGTTTGTGAAATAGTCCTACACACAGCCTGGCAGTGTCTTAGGTTAGCATAAGTCCTTTGGCCAACAATATCCTGAGAAGCAAGCAGGAGAACAAACACAGTTATGGAGGAAGCACTAGAAACAAGCTTGATTACTTGACAGTTTTGTATAGGGCGAATTCTGCCTGTAATCCTGTTTAAGTCACCACTTACTGATCCCCGTTATCATGTGCCCAGGCACCAAGATGGGGGCTTTCTGTGTATTAAAAATTTTAAATCCTCAGCACAATCCTGGGAAGCATGTACTATTATTATTTGACTTTACAGATAAAGAAACTGGGGCTTAGAGGGATTAAATAACTCGCTCGAATTCCAGCTAGCAAGTTGCAGCAAGCTGCAACTGGAACCCATGTCTGTGTGATTCCAAAGCACCCCCTTCCCACATGTCTATTATGTTGCCTTTAAAAAAAAGTTATTTGATGGAGCATAGTGAGAAGAAAAATACTTAATATGTACTTAATGTTCAAATTTGATGATCAGAAGAACTTCTCAAACCACTTTTAAAGTCTGAGGTTTGCTGTGCTATAGTTTTTTTTTTTTTTTTTTTTTTTTTTTGGAAACACACTTTGTCGCCCACGCTGGAGTGTAGTGGCGAGATCTTGGCTCACTGCAACCTCTGCCTCCTGGGTTCAAGCGATTCTCCTGCCTCAGCCTCCCGAGTAGCTGGGACTACAGGTGTGCGCCACCATACCCGGCTAATTTTTGTATTATTAGTAGAGGTGGGGTTTCACCACATTGGCCAGGCTGGTCTCAAACTCCTGACCTTGTGATCTGCCCGCCTCGGCCTCCCAAAGTGCTGGGATTGCAGGCATGAGCCACCGCGCCTGGCCTGCAGTTTTATGAACTGCTATTGTCCTTTGCAGTTGTAAGGTGGTAAGAAATACCTGGGTGGGGTGGAGGTGGGGATTGAGAAATCCTCCAAGAAACAACACAGGCTATGATTGGAATGCCCCTGTATGGGTGACCCATGAGCCTTTCTCAATGCTTTGGGGACATTTTAATAACCTGAGTAATTACCTGTGGTACGCAGGCTTTGTTTTCTACTCATTAATAACTCTCCAGGCTACATTTTATTCTTCTTACTGCTAATTCACATGCAGAGATACATAAAATGGATGCTGTCAACTGATTGCCACATCACTGTCTGCATATCAATGCTCTCCTGTCTGCTTGGGCTCAGAGAGAAGGAAAGAAGAGAAGGAAAAGGGTATGGCAAGGAACTTGTGATAGCCGAATCTGTTTTAAAAGCCAAATTCTGGTACAGAAACCAGAATTTTGACATATACAAATTATTGATATTTGTGCATGGTTAGTGTTTTGGGATTGCCCTATTTAGCATCTGCTGATCCTCTTTTTCCCTCCCTGTGATAGATAGCATGCCTTGGAAGCAGACACAGGTAAATATTTAATGCTTTTAGTTTTTTTTGCTCCTGTGGCTTGTTTGGCCCTTAGGGCATTCATGTTTTTTAGCCTGTGGAGTGCTTATAGCATCAGAACATCATCACAACCCTAAATGAAATTTGGATTATTTACTTCTAAGTATGTTTCCCAAATAGTCTAATGACTGTGTAAGCAATATAGTGGAAGGGTACAGGAGCCGATTTGAATGGAAATATATGTGGATATGGCTTTAGATCTTTCTGCGTATTAAAAAAAAATCTCCTTTAAAAAATCCTTGGGGACCTGGCACGGTGGCAGTGGCTCATGCCTGTAATCCCAGCACTTTGGGAGGCCAAGGCAGGTGGATCACCTGAGGTCAGGCGTTTGAGACCAGCCTGGCCGACATGGTGAAACTCCATCTCTACTAAAAATACAAAAAATTAGCCGAGTGTGGTGGTGTGCACCTGTAATCTCAGCTACTCGGGAGGCTGAGACAGGAGAATTGCTTGAACACGGGAGGCAGAGGCTGCAGTGAGCTGAGATCCTGCCACTGCACTCCAGCTTGGGTGACAGAGTGATACTCTGTTTCAAAAAAAAAAAAAAATCCTTGGGGCTAGTTATCTTGATTTTATTATTATGATGATACACAAGAAAGAAAACACCAAACAAGCTGAAATAATTGAAAATACTCACATCCAACCCAATTTAATTTATTTCACTGGAATCTATCTAGTTATATGGACTTGTTTTAGGTACAGGTACTTATTTTTAAAAAACTAGACAGGAGCTCTGGGTTGCTTTTTTTTTTTTTTTTTTTTTGAACTGTAGAACTTCTGGTTTAGAAGTAAGATTCCTCTTCAGGAGATATACAATTATTTATTAACTTAATTAGTGCCGTACATTTTGTCTTGAAGCTATTCAGAGTATTATAGGAACATCTGTTGTACTGTGATTATGATGGCTGCTAGGCTGTTTCCCCAAATGCCTTGACAAGGCAGTTTGACATAGTTCGGTGAAGGCAGTGCCCTGGTGCTGCAGTCACCATAGGGATTTTTCATCTTGGCTTCATGTTGGTAGATTGATACTCTCAAGTACGTTCAAGGTTCTCTTTTTCGGGAGAGGGTTGTTTTCATTGAGTCCTGGCTTTCCTCTTTCCTTATTTAATGAAATAGTGACAACTATCATTTTCTACCTTCAAACATTATTATTAGTGATTTTATAAATAGAAAATTATTTTCCAGGTGGGCCTATGTCTGTGCTGGCAACCATTGTGTACACACGGACTCTCTTAGATGTTTAGGACTTTGCATGTGTAAACGGGCAAGTTTTCAGGCAATTCGGGTAGGTTTTCCAATCTTGTCTTTCCATTTCCTGTCTAAAGAACTTCTTCCATGTCCACAGCATGTTTATTCAACAATGGATAAAACTTCTAATGGGAAATTTCTTCCGGGTGACCTCCTTGAGAGGCTGGGCTGTGGAGAAATCTTAAGAAACACAACCCTGATGAAATTGGCTCCGTTGAGAATATTACTTGGTCCAGGAACAAGGGACAGAATTCAGTTATTTTTGGTTCTTGAATAAATGAATTCTGTTTCCTTTTGTGTAGGTGGCAGAAGAAATTAACCCCTGTAGAACATCCATTCTCAGTTGGAAATTAAATTTTTGGTTTCTTTTGAGTTAGGAGTACCCTGGATAAGAGAATGTAAAACTGTTTTTATTTGAACCTCATGCAACTTGGAATCTGTTCTGTTGTCTGCATATCTTTGATAGATTTGTCTTTTCCAGGGTTGTCTGTCTTTGTATTTAATTTTCTGGAGGTTGGAATTGTGATTATCAAATGACTTCCAACTTGGCACCATATGTGGGTGGATACTAATGAATCCTTTCTTAACCTTCCCAGAACTTTTGGAGAAATCAATCAGTAGAAGGCGGGACACCGAAGCCATACAGAAAGCCAAAATCCTTTATTCATCCTGCATGAATGAGAGTGAGTGATGAAGAAAACTAAATAAAATATTTACCATCCCTATCCTTTAGAGTTCTATTAATGTTTTAATATATTGTTTGAGGAAGAAGAGAACTACTAAGAATTCTATTAATGTTTAAAGGTGTTAAAGGAATGATTGTGAAAGACTGGATTTTGACTAGTCCCATCTTAGTTAATGTTGTTACTGGCTTGGTGGAGAAAATCTTATTTATATGAGTTGGATTCTTTGGGTATCATTTACTCCCTGAGAAACTTAGACAAAGTCAGCAGGGCAAACTCCACTGTATCTGGTAGAGAATCCAGAAGCCAGGCCAAGTCTGGCTTGAGACAGAGACTGGGAGGGAGTGCACCTACTGGAGCCTAGAGAAATCCAGATTCCCAGGCATGCCAGGTTCCTGTGTCAGCCTAACAGGCATCTTTGTTGGGTCCTTAGCCCTGTCTCAATATCTTGGGTCTGATTGGAATCAGAACAGATACTGGCCACTTGACCTGGTCTGCCTTCTCAAGCCCACCACAGGAAGAAGCCAGTGCCTGTGGGAAGTGTGTCAACTGGTCTAGGATTTGGGGTATCATGTGGTGAGCTAGAAAAGAGCAATAAAAGACAGGAATCTGAAGCATCACTTCTTCTTCATTGGGTAGTGATTGGCTTTATTGAGGCATTCCTTTAGTTAGGGTTGTAACTTAGTCCCACCAAGTATTATTCATTGGCTGGGTTCCATGTAGAGAATCCATGTTTATTGTAGTGAATATCCAGCAGTTTCCCTGGTCAGCTCTCCTGGCAAGAACACTAGGTATAGACAGTCACATTGAAGCGTGGATCGTAGGTAGTTCTGTCTCTGTGATTATGCTCATCCCACCCCACCTCTTTTACCTACTCCCTAACAGCTGAAATTTTAAGTTGGAGCATTATGGGAATTTTGTCTTGAGAAGATGCACTTAAATTCTAGTGTGCTGATCCAGTTTGCAATTCTAACTTTCTCTTCATATCTGCTCCCTTTCAGAAGCGATTGAAAAAGCAGATGCCAAGCCACTGCTACACATCCTACGGCATTCACCTTTCCGCTGGCCCGTGCTTGAATCTAATATTGGCCCTGAAGGGGTTTGGTCAGAGAGAAAGTTCAGCCTTCTGCAGACACTTGCAACGTTTCGTGGTCAATACAGCAATTCTGTGTTCATCCGTTTGTATGTGTCCCCTGATGACAAAGCATCCAATGAACATATCTTGAAGGTATAATGAGGACCCATTCATCTTCTTTGCTCAGTCCTAGATTAGCCTTTTGGGGTGCCATCCTGGGGAAAGAGACTCATGCTGCCTTAGTGAAATAATAACATAAAACACTTTTATTGAATAGTAGAATCCAGAATATTCCCTTCTCCCGGCTTTGCAGAATGTAGACCATTACCATACAAGTTTTGTAAGCCTTTTGGAAAACTAGTGAATTAGTTTCAAGTGATCTGTGATCTGGCCCTCATATGCCTACTCAGAGCAAGCCTAGGGTTCCTAAATTCCAGTGGGAAGGGGACTGCAGGTCTCCTGTTGTTAGCAGAGATTTTCTGAGCCCTGCTCTTGTCCTTGCCTCCTCACTCCCTTGATAGAGGAGAAAACACGTGCCATGATTTTTTGTTCCTCTTTCACTAACATTTTCTTGTGCACACACCTAAATTTTAGTTATCAACTTCACTCTGAATCTCTCCTCCCTCCTTTCCAAAGATACAGCAAAACTTGTTCTGTTCCAAGTGCTTGGTTGCGTTTTCTGTTGGAAGACTAACCATGTCTCCCATAAAGCAATGGGCCACATGGACATACCCTGAGGCATTTCACACTGGTAAAATCAGGAGGCTGTCAGAAAACTACCAACAGCTAAAGACTCACCAATGAAAGAGCTATGCAAGAATTCAAATAACATTCGTCAAATAGTTTTGTGCTTTGATCCTGCTGGGTTTTGTTTTGTTTTGCTTCCACAGTTACTTTGACTAATAATGAAAATGTTATTGCATGACTGATTTTCTCCCCAATTCTGTCCTTAGTCAAATCAGAAAATATTAATGAAATATTGATATTCAAATTGTAGACATGTATTGCCCTCACCTCATGCATTTTAACCTTCTAAAATCCAAATCTTAAAGTTCATCGTTTGATTGAAGCTGGTCATCGTTTGATCAGAGATTGGCACATTTTTTGGGTAAAGGGCCAGATAATACATATTTTAGGGTTTGCAGGCCGTCTGGTCTCTGTTGCAACTACTTAATTCTGCCATTGTGTCTGGGAAAGCAACTGCAGACAACAAAGGTATGGCTGTATGGCGGGCTGGCCCAGTGGCTGTAGTTTTCTCACCTCTAGGTTAGACAATGGAATTCTCAGTAAAAATCTTTGGTCATTGAAAGGACTCCCCTCTACTCAGGAGGAAATTCTGAGTTCCAGAGACAACTGTGTTTCTATGTTTGGTGATGAAATGAGCCATCTTCTAATGCTATCAGGATAAGATGTGCTATGTAAGACACAATGATGATGACGACCCAACTGATCTCTGTACTGTGTTGATATATCACTCATTTTTTGAAACTAGGTTTTAAGACTATCATTATCAGTTCCAGAACTATTATGATGTTCTTTCAAACACCTTAAGTTGGTGTTTTGAAGTAAGCTGAAGGCTGTTTTCCAAACTTAAGTTTAAGTTTATACATTCTATTGAGTGATAGAAGATCTTGATTCACACACAGATGAATAATTGCAAACGGTAGCCATTTTATTATCTTTCTCACCTATTTCTGGATCTATTCAATTGAATTTATTGCTTTAAACTTTTTATTATTAAAATGTGGTACAAAATTAAAGAATAGAAAAATAAACTCCCATGTATCCATCAACCCAGCTTCAACAACTCTCAACCTTCTGATGTTATGTTTCTTTCTGCAGTTATGTTTTAATCTAGAGCCCTCCTTTTTTGGGAGGTGGCTAGAACATTTTATAGCAAATTAAAAATATATCATTGCATAGTAAATACTTCAGTGCTTAGCTAGTGGAAAGGACTATTATCACAACCAAAAAGATAATCATAATTCCATAATTAACATCTAATAACTAGTTAATTTTCAATTTTTCTGATTGTCTTAAACATGTCCTTAAAAAAAAAAACAGTTGGTCTTTGATTCAATCTCCAAATAAAAATCACAGGTGAACTTAGTTGATATGTCTGTTTTACTCCACAAGGGATCCCCCTATTTTTGTTTTTTAAACCACATTTATTTGTTGAAGAAACTGGAGTATTTGTCCTGTAAACTGTCTTACATTCTGAATTTGACTGTTTTCAGGGTAATCTAATAGCTGATGAAAGTTCTTGTTTATAGGAGAATCACAGCTTAAAAATGCAGAAGAAATAATAGGAAGCTATCTATTTAAAAAAAAATCCCTAAGGAAAGGATTGATCTAGGCAATTATCATCAATGGCTGCTAAAACCATTAGGTAAATGGTTGATTGGGAAATTCATGATATCAGACCGATATCACCTGAACCCTAATATCAATGATAGCATTGCTAAAAGTGGGGCAACCAGATATTGTGTGCCTCCTGGTATCAGTAGGAAGTGCACACTATCACCAGTGATGTTGTCGTGCCCCCACAATTGAGCCTCTAGTTTTAAGAGGAGCTTACAGAAAACATGGGGAATAGAGAAACATGGTAACCAATTTTTAATAGCTTGCCTTGTATACTTAATATTCAATTAAACTGATCCTAGAAACACTAAAATGTCAATGATAGAATACTTTCCAAATGTAAGGAGGCACCCATGTACTTATTATTGCTCTCTTTTGTCAAGATGGCAGCTTGTTCCAAACTGGTGTTTGAACATTGTTTGGCATTTGAGTGCGGCAAACGTTTGCTTAAGTTCTGTTCCTGTTTGTACCTTTTTCCATGACTGAATATTCACACATCTGAACTAATTGCCTTCCCTCAGATATAATATAATTATAGTCTTCCTGATGACACATTTACAAGAGTTCGAGCATGTATCTGGAGGTGGTAGGAGAAGTTTTATTCTGAGAGCTGCATGAAACCCATTGAACCTGATAACAAAAATTAGCGTACTGGTGGCTGCCAAAGTTGTAGAATTTGCAAGTGTTGCTTTTTTATTCATTTAAAAATAGTTAAAACTATAAAAGACAAAATCTAATTGGATGAACATTTGAAGCCCCCCCCACTTATAGGTTTTGTGGAACATAGTTTGAAAACTACTGGTATAGTTAAAAAACAAACAAAAAAAATAATAGGCTTTGGTATTTAAAAGATTGAGGTTTGCAGTTTAGCTTTGTGATGTACTCACCGAATATCCTCGTGCAAATTACTTCACCTCGCTGATTTCACTTTTCCCATGTGTACGGAAGGGTGAATTAGAATTTACTTTTAATCGTCATTGACGTTCAAATGAATTGACTTTTGTGACAGTTTTCACTGTAGATACTGGTCCACAGTAGCACACGACACAAGGTTCCGAACCTACTCTTCAAGCATGACCCAGCAACTGGTCAGGACCATTTGGAGAATGTTTTTCTTTGACATGTGGTACCCGATATGCCTCTCAGAGCTCAAACTCAGTAGTGCAAGGAATAGGAATTTTGTTTACTCAACCTAATATTTGACTTTTAGCTCCCACCCAACCTTTTGGTGGGAAACTGAACCTTAGTCTAGGCATTTACCTCCCCTCTTGGTGGCCCCATTTCTCGGTCTTTTCCTAGGGTATTGGGAAACTGCAATAACCAGTTATCTGGTTTCTGAGAAGAAACCCACTATGGAACCATGTAGCCTCTTCAAGTGTGCCCCTCTGATGCTGAGGTCCTGCGACTCCCATTCCTTCTCAGATCCTGCCATGTTTTGGGGTGATCAGTTCCTCTGCTCATGAGAATTCTTGACTTCTTTTGCTGCTTGAAAGATCCTCTTTCTGCTCTGGGAGAAATCCCTCTTACCTGAAACTCTCTTCCCTCAATGTCGTTAGGCTTCCTTTTCCATCGAATTCAATTTTCTTCGGTGTGCTTAGCTTTTCTAATCCCACAAACCCACAGGAATAAGAGAAGGGCCTTTTGGGCAGGCACAGCACTGTGGGCATCCTTTTGGGTGAGCAGATGGTGCCTTTGGGTGAAGAGACAGGCACCCTTTCTAAGGGTTAGATATATCCCCATGCCAAAGACATGCAGTTTGGCCAGCAGGGGTCGCTCTAATCTACACAGCGTACTTCTGCAAAGCTCCCCTGTGGCAAAATGATACAGGGTTTGCTACAGGCTTAAATGAGGTAAAGGAATTCCAAAAATAAAGAAAACAACAGAAGTTAGTGACCAAAAACATTATCTTGCTGCACACGTTTGGATTTATTCTATGTCAGGAGATAGTATGAGGATTTAAGGGACAATAAAAGACGTGAGTATATGTGATCCTGAAAGAGTATTTGGAAGGCCAAGGATGTCCCAGTATGTATTACTAGTTAATGAAGACAACAACTTAAAGTCATCATCTCACAACAGCCTGCATTTTTCTGGCTCTCAGCAAAACTCGTAAAAAATGGCAAGGAGAAACTCCAAGAAAATTTGAAAAGTTTCATTCTCTTTCCTTTTCCTTTTTTTCTCAGGAACTGACAGAACATAGAATTTTATTTTATTATTGTTATTTTTTATTGATACGTAACTACACATTTTCATGGTACATGTGATAATCTGATACATTCATATAATCAAATCATGGTAACTGGGATATATCCAATAATGGGATTGCTGGGTCAAATGGTAGTTCTGTTTTAAGTTTTTTCAGAAATCACCAAACTGCTTTCCACAGTGGCTGGACTAATTTACATTCCCACCAGCAGTGTATAAGAGTTTCTTTTTCCTTATATCCATGCCAACATCTATTATTTATTGACTTTTTGATAATAACCATTCTGACTGGTGTGAGATGGTATCTCATTGTGGCTTTGATTCACATTTCTCTACCGATTAGTGATGGTGAGCTTTTTTTCATATGCTTGTTGGTCACACGTATGTCTTCTTTTGAAAAGTGTCTGTTTATGTCCTTTGTCTACTTTTTAATGGGGTTGTTTGGTTTTTGCTTATAAATTTGTTTATGTTCCTTGTAAATTCTGGATATTAGACCTTTGTCGGATGCACAGTTTCCAAATACTTTCTGCCGTTCTGTGGGTTGTCTGTTTATTCTGTTGATAGCTTCTTTTGCTGTGCAGAAGCTCTTTGGTTTAATTAAGTCCCGTTTGTCATTTTTTGTTTTTGTTGCAATTGTTTTGGGCATCTTCATCATGGAATCTTGCCCAAAGTAATTTACAGATTCAATGCTATTTCTATCAAACTACCAATGACATTGTTCACAGAATTAGAAAAAGGCTATTCTAAAATTCATATGGAATCAAAACAGAGCCCGAATAGCCAAAGCAATCCTAAGCAAAAAGAACAAAGCTGGAGGCATCACATTACCCGATTTCAAACTATAGTATAAGGCTGTAGTAACAAAAACAGTGTGGCCGGTACAACTACGGATACATAGATCAATGGAAGCAGCCCAGAAATAAAGCTGCACACCAACAACCATCTGATCTTTGATAAAGTCTACAAAAACAAGCAATGGGTAAAGGACTGTGGTGCTGGGATAACTGGCTAGCCATATGCAGAAGATTGAAACTGGACCCATCCCTTTTATCATATACAAAAATCAACTCAAGATGGATTAAAGATGTAAATGTAAAACCTAAAACTGTGAAAACCCTTGAAGAAAACCTAGGAAATACCATTCCAGACATAGGCCCTGTACTATATTTTGAAGTCAGGTAATGTGATTCTCCAGCTTTGTTATTTTTGCCCAGGATCGCTTTGGCTATTTGGGGTCTTTCGTGGTTCCATATAAAATTTAGGATTTGTTTTTTCTATTTTGTGAGGAATGTCAATGGTATTTTGATAGAGGTTGTGTTGAATCTGTAAATTGCTTTCAGTGGTATTGTCATTTTAACAATATTCTACTAATTCATAAGCATGGAGTATCCTTCCATTTTTTTGTGTCCTTTTCAACTTCTTTCATCAACATTTTATAGTTTTCTTTACATGAATCTTTTATTTCATGGGTTAAATTGATTCCTAGGTGTTTTATATTGTAAATGATATTGTTTATTGATTTCTTTTTCAGATTATTTGCTTTTGGTGTATACAATGCTGTTGATTTTGTATACTCGAACTTTACTACATTTGTTGATCAGTTCTAATAGTTTTTTGGTAGAGCCTTTAGGTTTATCCAAATATAAGATCATGTTATCTCTGTACAAGGCTAATTTGACTTCTTCCTTTCCAGTTTGGATGCCCTTTATTTATTTCTCTTGCCTAATTGCTCTGGCCAGGACTTCTAGTATTGCGCTGAATAAAAGAGGACAAAACAGGCATCCTTGTCTTGTTCTACATCTTAAAAGAAAGGCTTTTAATTTTTCACCATTCGGTATGATGTTGGTTATGTGTTTGTCAGATATGGCTTTTACTTTTTGAGGTGTGTTCCTTCTGTACCCAGTTTGTTGAGGGTTTTTGTCATAAAGGGATGTTGAATTTTATTGAATGCTTTTACAGAATGTATTAGAATGATTATGTGATTTTTGTTCCTGGTTCTGTTAATGTGATGTGTTTATATTTATGTACTTGAATTTGGATTTTCCATTTAATTTATTTTTTTTGAGATGGGATCTCACTATGCTGCCCAGGCTGGACTTGGGTTCAAGTGATCATCTAGCCTCAGCCTCCTGAGTAGCTGGTACTACAGGTGCATGCCACTGCACCCAGCATATCATGTCTATTGATTTGTGTATGTTGAACTATCCTGGCATCCCTGGATTAATCCCACTCAATCATAGTGAATGATCTTTTTCATGTATTGTTGAATTAGGTTAGCTAGTATTTTGTTGATAATTTTTGCATCTATGTTCCTAAGTCATATTGGCTGGTAGTTTTCTTTTCTCCTTGTGTCCTTGTGCAGTTTTGGTATCGGGGTAATGCTGGACTCATAGAATGAGTTTGGAAGTATTCCCTTCTCTTCAGTTTTTTTTTTTTTTTTTTTGGAAGAGTTTGAATATAATTTGTATTGCTTCTTTAAATGTTTTGTAGAATTTGGTAGTGAAGACATCAAGTCCTGGGCTTTTCTTTGATGGGAGACCTTTTATTATGGCTTCAATCTTGCTACTAGGTATTAGTTTGTTGAGGTTTTCTACTTCTTCATGGTTCAATGTTGGTAGGTTGCATATGTCCAGGAATTTATTCATTTCTTCTAGATGTTCCACTTTGTTGGCATATAGCTGTTCATAATAGTCTTTATAATTCTTTGTATTTCTGTGGTCTCAGTTGTGTCTTCTTTTTCATTTCTGATTTTATTTATTTGTGTCTTCTCTCTTTTATTGTTAGTCTAGCTAAAGATTTGTTGATTTTCAAAAAAAAAGCCAACTTTTTTCATTAATTTTTTTTGGTGTTTTTATAGTCTACATTTCATTTATTTCTATTTTAATCTTTATTATCTCTGTCTACTAATTTGGGGTTTGGTTTGTTCTTATTTTTCTAGTTCCTTGAGTTGTATCATTAGATTGTTTATGAATTGTTATTTGAAGTCTTTCAACCTTTTTGATGTAGGCTTTTATTGCTATAAAATTCCTTTTCAGTACTCCTTTGGCTGTGTTTCATAGATTTTAATATGTTGTAATTTCATTTTCATTTGTTTAAAGAAATTTTTAAATTTCATTTTTATTTTTTTCATTGACCCATTGGTCATTCAGGAGCATATTGTTTAATTTCCACGTGTTTGGCCAGGCATGGTGGCTCATGCCTGTAATCCCAGCACTATGGGAGGTCGAGGCAGGTGGATCACCTGAGGTCAGGGGTTTGAGACCAGCCTGACCAACATGGTGAAACTCTGTCTCTACTAAAAATACAAAAATTAGCCAGGCATGGTGTCGGGTACCTGTAATCCCACCTACTCGGGAGGCTGAGGTGGGAGAATTGCTTGAACCTGGGAGGTGGAGGTTGCAGTGAGCTGAGATCATGCCACTGCACTCCAGCCTGGGCAACAAAGCGAGACTCCATCTCAAAAAAAAAAAAAAAAAGATTCCATGTGTTTGTGTATTTTCCAAGTTTCCTCTTATTATTGATTTTTAGTTCCATTGTGGTCAGAAAAGATAACTGATATGATTTCTGCTTCTTTGAATTTGTGGAGACTTACTTTGTGGCTTAAAATATGATCTATCCTGGAGAATGTTCCACATGGTGATAAAAAGAATATGTATTCTGCAGCAATTGGGTGAAATGTTCTGTAAATGTCAGTTAGGCCTATTTGGCTTAGTGTCTAGTTTAACGCTGATGTTTCTTTGTTGATTGTCTAGATGATCTATCCATTAGAGTGGAGTGTTGAAGTTCCCTATCATTACTGTATTGCAGTCTCCCTCTCCCTTTAGATCTGTTAATATTTGCTTTATATACTTAGGTGCTCCAGTGTTGGGTGCATAGGTATTTATAATTGAGATAGGCAGTATATTGCTATATCTCCACTAGGTCCTTGCCTTTTTTTCTGGCACTAAATGGCACCTTAAGCCTACGTTTGCTTTGACTCTAGCCCAAGATCAGAGCACTCCCAGTCCAGATATAGGGGAGGTCCTAAAGAGGATATCCTGGCAGTGTGGAAAAGCTGGCTGGCGGCTAGTGTACAGGTGACCTTTGGAATGAACCTCCTATAGCATAATGCTGCTGAACAGCCACTCTGATTTGGTGTCTCCTTTGGCCGAGTTACGGAGCAGAGTTTCCAGGGCTGGGTATGGTAGTCCCACCTCCCCTCTTTGTCTCTTGCTGTCTTCAGAAATATATCTCCCTTCAGGCACTCATGATGCCTTCTGTGGGTTAAGGTATGGGCAGGTCTTCTGTCAAAGAACCCAAGATGGTCAGGAAGCTGGTTGTCCACCTTGATCTCACTTTTTCCAGTGTAGAAACTATGAGTCAGGGAAAATTTCTGCAGGCTTGTTGCTGGACAGATTGGTTGGAAGGGCATCATAGAGAAATTTTATTATCCTTTGTCTGCTTGGAGTTTTTTCACTTCTCTGTGGCCTCAGCAACTGATTCATCCTTATATTTGAGTTCTGGGATATTGCTGGTGAGAATCTTAGTGCTGTATATTTGTTTTTAGTTTCCTGTGTATATGTTGGGGTGGGGAGGGAAGCCAGCTTCTGTCTCCACCACCATTTTGAAACCTGAAGTCCAGACTCCATTTCCTACCTCAAAATTTGTAAGCTCTTTCTTCTTGTATTACTACTTTGTCTTCTAACTTGAGGTTTATTATCATTGGAATGCCAGTTGTAATTGGAGAAAACATTTATATTTTCAGTTAAATGTGTTGGATTTCCTAAAAAACATACTTTATTTTCTGCTTACAGTATTTAGATCAGTTGTAAATGCAAGGATTTAAAAAATCTCAACGCAGTGTCCTGATTGCTTCATGAGAAAGTCTTTTGCCTCAAGAGTTTGTATGTTTCTAATGAGATTTATTTGACTGACCTTATTCAATTTGTTGGTTGGTGTGTTTAAAATGTTCCCTAGAAACCATAACAATCTGAAAGTTTATAAAAGGTCTGGTAACCTCACTTGAATTATCTAAACTTTTACAATAAGTGGATTTAACTTTATTTCATGAGAGGGAAACTTTGGCTTTCTTGATAATATCTACACAGTTTCCTTTCCTATGAGACTCAAGCTCAAAAGATTCTTCAAGTGGTCCAAATTTAATTGAAAGCCAAAGTGTCTTAATCATAATATTGTGTTTCATGATCGTGGCTTGCTTAATTTTTGGAAGAAATAGTGGCAGATTGGGAATTGCAGTAGGACGAAGCCAGGAAGGCTTGTGACTTTGTTGTTTCAGGCCAATGAGAGAGGGTTGAACAAAATAATTTGAGGATTTTAGCAGTATACACAGACAAGATGGGTGTTTTGAAAGTGCCTTTTTTCCCCTGAAACAAGAGTTATGTTTTTCCTGGAATTTTTCATAATATCACTAATTCTTAACGTGGCCTTTGTAAAATTTGTTGTATATTAAGGGCAGTTTCATGGAAAACTGTAATCTTATACAAATTTATGTATTTAAGATTATAGTAAGACGAAAAAGAAGCTGGAGGAGATGGGTCAAAACAGTTTAAAGTCATATAAACTAATGGTATGGGCATGTAGGATTCAGTTTTTATTCAGATATTACTAATTTTTAATTTGTTGTTTAGATTTTGTTTCTTATTATTTTGGCTTAATGTTTAATGTGTGAATTAGAGATTTAATTTGGAAAAATCTACTCTTCTTGAGATTCATTTTATTTATCTTTAGTCAGTTGCTGATATTCAAGAAAGAACAAACCACAGATTTAGAGAAGGTGCTGGAAATTTTTTTAAAGTATCTTAAAATTTACATAAATTCATTTTTTGTGATGTACATGTCTAAGTTTTGACAAATGCATAGAGTCATGTAACCACCACTGTAATCAAGAAATAGAATAGTCCCATCATCCACCCCCAAATACCTCATGTTATCCCTTTGCTAAGTCAAGCCCTCTCCTCATGCCCAAACCCTGTTAGCCATCACTTTGTTCCCTGTTCCTGTAAAGTTTGGCTTTTTCAGGATGTAAGTAAAATTCACCCATGTTGTATCAGTTCATTCTCTTTTATTGTTGAGTAGTATTCCATTGTATACCACAGTTTATGCTTTCATGAATTGGAGGACATTTGGGTTGTTTCCAGTTTTGGGTGATATTGAATAAAATTACATACAGGTTTTTGTGTGACTTTAAATTTTTTTCCTGGGTAAATACCTAGAAGTAGGATTGCTGGCTCTTGTGTAAATGTATGTTGAACTTTATAAGAAACTGTAAAATTGGTTTCCTTCCAAAGTGGCTGTGCCATTTTGCATTCTTACCAGTAATACATGAGTGATCCAACTTTTCCACGTCCCCACCAGCAGTTGTCAGATTTTTTTTTCCATTTTAACAGATCTATGGTAGTGTTTTATTGTGGGTTTAATTTACATTTTCCTAATGACTAATGATGTTGGGCATATTTTCGTGTTCTTATTTTCTATCTTCATATGTTCTTTGATGAAGTGTCTGTTAGAATCGTTTGCTCAATTTTAAATTGAGTTGTTTCTTTTCTTATGGTTGAGTTTTGAGGAATCTTTATGTATTCTAGATACACGTCCTTTGTCATATATGTGATTTTCAGATATTTTCCCCATTCTGTGGCTTGTCTTTTTATTCTGTTAAGTTTCTTTCAAGAGCAAATTTGTTCAATGTCGATAAAGTCTAATTTATTTTTTCTTTTAAGGATTGTGATTTTATTGTCATGTCTAAAAACTCTTTGTCTAACCCCTAGTAACAAAAATTTTTCCCAATATTTTTTCCAGAAGTTTTATAGTTTTAGGTTTTACATTTAGGGCTATGATTCATTTTCAGTTAATTTTTGACTAAGGTGTGAGGTATGTGTAAAGGTTTATTTTCTTTTTGCTTATGGATGCCCAGTTTTTCTTTTCTTTGAGATGGAGTCACACTCTGTCACCCAGGCTGGAGTGCAGTGGCGCCATCCCAGCTTGCTGCAACCTCCGCCTCCTGGGTTCAAGTGATTCTCCTGCCTCAGCTTCCCAAGTAGCTAGAATTACAGGTGCGTGCCGCCACACCTGGCTCATTTTTGTATTTTTAGTAGAGACTGGGTTTTACCGTGTTGGCCAGGCTGGCCTTGAATTCCTGACCTCAAGTGATCTGCCTGCCTTGGCCTCCCAAAGTGCTGGGATTACAGGCATGAGCCACCACACAAGGCCTGGATGTCCAGTTTTTCTAACACGCTCTTTGAAAAGACTGTCTTCTTTCTTTTGTTTACCTTTAAGGTGCTGAAAGTTTTTTTTGTTTTTTTTTTGTTTTTTTTGTTTTTTTTTCCTGAGACAGAGTTTTGCTCTGTTGCCCAGGCTGGAGTGTAGTGGCGTGATCTCTGCTCACTGCAGCCTCCATCTCCCAGGTTCAAGCAATTCTCCTGCCTCAGCCTCCTGAGTAGCTGGGATTACAGCCACACGCTACCATACCTGGCTAATTTTTATATTCTTAGTAGAGACGGGGTTTCACCACGTTGGCCAGCCTGGTCTCAAACTCCTGACCTCAAGTGACCCACCCACCTTGGCCTCCCAAAGTGCTGGGATTACAGGTGTGAGCCACCACACCAGCCTAAGGTGCTGAAAGTTTTAATTCAAGAATTTATACTATACTTTTCTATCACTGTAATTCTACTTATTTAGTTGTCTGGTTATTATTTGTGTTTTTATCACTTATCCTAAACCTTCCAGAGAGGGTTCTAACATTTGCGAAGGTTTCTCAAAACAAAATTATTATTTGATTCCATTCAAATAAAAAAAAATCAATGCCATATGTTATTTTAGAGATAAGGAGTTGGAAACGTCTGATTAATCAACTCTATACAGATTGGCATTTTGCAAAACACTGCAATGAGAAAAATACTGGAACTGGTGATAGGAGACAACGATTTTAGTCTGAGCTCTGCCCAATCATGTTACCTTGGGAAAGTCACAACAATTATCTGGCTTTTGTTTCTCCTCCCATTGAATAAGGGAGAATAGCTAATAATCTCTAAGATCTATTCCAACTGAAATAGCCTTGTTGTTATTCAGTGTTGATAGGACCTCAAAAGGTTTAGAAAACATAAATTAGAAAAGCAGGGGCAGGTCTCTGATAGTTTATTATATCTGTCATTGCCAAAGTGCCTATTTGCATGTAATTCTGAGTGTACTGAATTGTTTTTGTAATGGTGACATGAGCTCAAAATATGGCTGGGATGCAGACGATTTCATCACTCTTGTTAACATGGTACGTAAGAATTTACAGTGCTAGCAGAATGCTTTCTGTTTTTGTTTTTACAGCTGGACCAAGCAACACTCTCCCTGGCCGTGAGGGAAGACTACCTTGATAACAGTACAGAAGCCAAGTCTGTAAGTTTTACTCATATTCAACTATGTGCCTTACCAGGCTGCTGTCAGGCCCATTAGTTCTAAGGCCGCTGCTTCTTTATTGGAAATGAGCAGTGTGGCTATTCAATGACCATATTCCCAATGCAGGAAGACTTTTATTCAGGCAGATAAATTCCACTCCCTGTCTTTCTAGAAGTCTGCTCATCAAGGCTGTACAAGTCTCAGTACTCAATGCCCTTATCTAGCTTGGGAGACAGCACTCCCAAATGAAGTAACAAAGAAATGAGCTTGCAGTCATTCATTCCTCAGAAGTGCAGAGAGCTCACTATCAATTGCAGAAATAAAGCGTCAGAAGAGATACCCAGGAGACAGATGGTTCCCAAATTGTACTGCTTTAGAATCACTTGGGAGGCTTTCATTAAATGTTGCTTCTTGGGTCACAGCCCTGGAGAGTCTGACTTAGACTTGAGGTAGGGTCTGAGAATCTATATTTTTAACAGGTGTTCCAGGTTAATGGAGGTTTAATAAGAATCAGAAAGGATCAATCAAGTTAGACTTCTTGGATTGGCTTAGAAATCTAGCAGTCTCCTGGATATTGGAAAGAGCTGGTTCATTTCTGACACTTTCAATTTATTTTGGAAACTTTATTGAACTTCCAAAGGAGCCTCAGACCTAGGTCCCCTGGGTCTATGCCGATACTAACTTCTATACATAGAAGGCTCTGGAGGGAAGCTAACTAAGATGCTGGGCAGCTTTCTTGCTGAGGACACTCACCAAAGAGGGTTGGCAAGTTTTCCTTCCTAAAAGTGGACAGAATGAACATTTGCCAATGTGGGGGGAGGGTGTACCCCTGGTATTGATGGAGTCTCAGCAACCAGGCTCAAAATCGTCTCCCCCTATAACCTATCTGTCAAGTCCTAATGATTCTACCTTCAAAATATCTCTTCCATCCACTTGGTCCCTCTTTTCTATCCTGACTGCTATAGGTCAGATTCTTGTTAACTCTTGCCTTGACTACAGCAAGTAGCCTTTTAACTGTTACTGCTTCTCCTTCATCACATTGCCTCCTTAGCACCAGTTGACAAGTTCTGTTCTCAAAGCACTGCTCCTAGCATGCCTTCGCTCCCAAGACAGGGTCTAAATTCTTTAGAGGGCTTTCAAGGCTGCCTCATGACTTTATCCCAAGTCATCTTTCCTATCTCATCTGGATTTGTTCTTCCCCCAACAAAAGCAGCTTGCCCACTGTATTAGTCCATTCTTTTTCTCCTAATAAAGACATACCTGAGACTTGGTGATTTATAAAGGAAAGAGGTTTAATGGACTCACAGTTCCATGTGGCTGGGGAGGCCTCACAATCGTGGCAGAAGGTGAATGAGGAGCAAAGTCACGTCTTACATGGTGTCAGGCAAGAGAGCTTGTGCAGGGGAACTCCCATTTATAAAGCCATCAGATCTCATGAGACTTACTCACTACCATGAGAATATGTGGGGGAAACCACCCCCATGATTCAATTATATCCACCTGGCCCTACCCTTGACATGTGGGGATTATTACAATTCAAGGTGAGATTTGGGTGGGGACACAGCCAAACCATATCACCCACCTCACAGGACCCTTCACTGCGTTGGAACCAGTCTCCCTCAAATGCTATGTCCCCAGTTTCTCCGGGCTAGATTTTTCTCTCAGATCTTCAGTTTCCAAGCGTGTAGCAGCTTTATTAAGGAAGTTATTTTGATGTCTTTAATGTTACAGTTCATAATTACATGTTTATCTCCCTCACTGTTTGGGAACCAGACACAGCATTATTATTTTTTTTCTGT
Source organism: Homo sapiens (assembly GCF_000001405.40). Lineage (NCBI taxonomy): Eukaryota > Metazoa > Chordata > Mammalia > Primates > Hominidae > Homo > Homo sapiens. The sequence goes on from NC_000023.11 coordinate 22,092,297, forward strand.
ACCACCCTCTCCTAACATATGCACAGAGGGCCTACCAAGCCACCTTGTACATTTGAGTAGGTACTCAATAAATATGTTTTTTGGTTTTTCTTTTTAGATAGAGTCTCACTGTGTTGCCCCTGCTGAAGTGCGGTGGCACAATCTCGACTCATTGCAACCTCTGCCTCCTGGATTCAAGTGATTCTCCCACCTCAGCCTCCCGAGTAGCTGGGATTATGGGCATGCACCACCATGCCGGGCTAATTTTTGTATTTTTAGTAGAGACAGGGTTTCACCATGTTGGCCAGGCTGGTCCCAAACTCCTGGCCTCAAGTGATCTGCCCACCTCGGCCTCCCAAAATGTTGGAATTACAAGTGTGAGCCACCACCTCCGGCCAATAAATATGTTTTGAATTGAATTAGGAATAGCAAAATATTATTTCTATTTAAGACTTCTTTTCTTTTCTTTCTTTCTTTTTTTTTTTTTTTTTTGAGATGGAATTTCCCTCTGTTGCCCAGGCTGGAATGCAGTGGCATAATCTCGGCTCACTGCAACCTCCGCCTCCTGGGTTCAAGCGATTCTGCTACCTCAGCCTCCCGAATAGCTGAGACTACAGGCGTGCGCCACCACGCCCAGCTAGTTTTTTTGTATTTTTAGTAGAGACGGGGTTTCACCATGTTGGCCAGGCTGGTCTTGAACTCCTGACCTCGTGATCCACCTGCCTCAGCCTCCCAAAGTGCTGTGATTTCAGGCGTGAGCCACCACGCCCAGCCTATTTAAGACTCTTTTCAAAGCTTGCTTACTGATTCAACAAAGATTTATTAAAGGCCTCCTGTATGCTAAGTACTGTATAGGTCCTAAGGTCATACATATAGTAAGAATAGCTTACAGAGTCAAGGTATAAGTTAGTAAATCTTATTCCCAATGCATGAGAAGGAGGTCATTTAATACCTGATGCGTTGAGATCTCACAAATATATCTGAAATGAGAGGTGGGCCTAAGGCAGTTCTTTAATTCCCATTAAGTAAGGTCACCCCTGCCCCACCCAATGACATATGATTATCCCCAAAATGGGTTTATGAGTATGTAAGAAGGAAATTCTATATTTGCTATTTGTTAGGTTTCCTATCATCGTTCCTCTCTTTTCTCCTTTTTTTCCTGAGCTAGGGAGCAGGACTTTGTGAAAACTGTAAAAACCTGAAAAGACACAGGGCTGCTGTCACTGGTCTTTTATTTCTTAGTGTGAAGGTGGGTAAATTGAGTTGCAAGAGAATAAATCACACCTCCCACCATTCTTTATGGATCAGGCCTCCTGCTTTTAGAAACAGTTCTTTCCCATTGTTTTATTAAAGCCTCACTTGTCTGGAAAGAGGAAGTCTGACCTTTAACTTTCTATTCTTGTCTCATTTGGAGTTATTTCATGTATCCATAATATCGACGGTTGCCAGAAAACTAGTTCTCTTGTTGCTTGATGGCTGGACATCTCTGTCTGTCATGGAAACAGTACTCAAGTAGCCGTCACTCTTTTTTTCTCCCAAAGTGTTATATGGGTGCCTGGTATTGCATAATGCCTGCACCATACTTTGAGTACAGAGTGAAAATAAAAGACATTTATTTCTACCTGCTATTTTCTGCTCTTCCATGTCTCTCAAACATATTTCCTAAGAAGCTATTGTCATGGTCACTTTGTTCTTTATTTCTTACAGTATCGGGATGCCCTTTACAAGTTCATGGTGGATACTGCCGTGCTTTTAGGAGCTAACAGTTCCAGAGCAGAGCATGACATGAAGTCAGTGCTCAGATTGGAAATTAAGATAGCTGAGGTAAGTCTTCACTGAAAATCTCTTTCTTTCCTTTACTTTCTTTTCTTTTCCTTTACTTTCTTTTCCTTTCCTTTTATTAAAGGCAGTATATCCTGAATGAAAATATAAATTGCAAACAAATAATAGCGTTTTGTGTCATTGCCCATTGGGCCCAAGGTAGAACTAATAGCATCCCCTCTAGGAAGTAACAAGGACTGTGACAGAAAAGCTCCTCATTCCTTCCACCTCCCTGGTTTAAGCCCATTCAGTGTCCATACGTTGCTCAGCTGTGGCCAAAGAATAGCAGCAGAGAGACCCTCTGACCGTTTTTCCTGGAGAAACTCATGTTTGGCTTAAATAGAAGATAGATGTTTAATAAATCCTTAGTAATCTGGCTTGAATGGAAGGTTGCTTTTAATCCAGCCCATGTTTTATGCTATCCCCACTCAGAGTCATTCTGGCTTAAGTTCTGGGCTCAGGGAAATCTGTCCACCAATACTGGATATAAAAGTTGGTATAGAAATAGGTAGGACATGCTGGTAAGCATTTTTAAACGACCTTTCTGGTATTACTTTGTACCTGCCCCTGTTTTTCATTATTTTCTTGCCCTACTTTAATGAATATCATTGTGTCATATACATGACACAGAACTACATGTCTATGTAAATTACCTTAACTTCTTGTTGGCTCATTGTAGAGACAAAAAGATGTAAAAACAAACTTGTGGGCAAAATAATGAGAACTCCTAAATGGTTAGCTTTGTTTATGGAATAACTTTTTTCTAGAAGAAAGAAAGTGTAAAAATCTCTCTATATGTTCCTAGGCCAAGAGGGAATAAATGTGGTAAAATCTGCTTCTGGGGAAACCCTGTAGTGAAAAAAATGATACTTTTTACCAAGAAAGTTTTGCGTATGTGTTGGGAATCTTTTACAAGAGAAGTTGGTAAAAATCTCGAGATGAATAAGAGTCCAAATGTTGATTGGTTTTGTTTGGCGAGGTGGTGGTGGTGTGTTGAGGTATGGAGTAGGGATGAAGGATAAGGGTAAGGAGGAATTGGTCTCTCTCTCTTTGCCGTGGTGATGTTCGTGTATAGCTCTCTCCAAACTCCTACTTGCAGTGCAAAAAGTTCATTCCTGCATGTCACCTTTGAAGACTGTGAAGACTGCTGCAGATGTTTCGAAGTCCAGGACTGTGCCTCTGAGCCATGTCTAGAGTCTGTCTGAATTCTCTTTCCAGGCACATAGGAGGCCCAGGGCTCTCATTTGGACTAAAACTCTGAAACAGCAGGGAAGGCCTTGCCCTGAGCCAGGGATTTGGACCAAAAAGGGAACTAAAAACAGCTGGGCTGAGGCAAGACTGGGAATTGTCAAAAGGCTAAATGAAGTGACAAATCTATTGTGTGGAGGGGAGTGGCTGGCAGAGAGCTGAAAACAGCTCTGAGGCCAAAGGGCTCCAACTTGGGGCTGTGAGACTCCGAGGGCGGAGGAGGGATTGGTGGAAGAGGAGTGTGGATATCCTCTGAGGCAATGATTCACACCGAGCCAGGAGGCTGTTTGTAAGTTACATGTGGTCTCTCCTGTGGAGGGTGAAGAAAGGGAAGCTAAGGACACTGAAGCATTTAGCAAAGAGGGGCCAGACGTCTGCCAGTCAGCCCTCTGTAATTTTTACCTTGAAAAATCACTGCTAGTAATGCTCACTTCCATATCTTACACTACACATCACTAGGTACTTTTAAAATTAGTGGGATACATAGTCCTATGGAAACTTCTGAAGCTGGGAAGACAAGACAGTCCAGCCCAGCCAAATACGTCCTTGTAATTACAACCAGGGAAGCATATACTTAACCAATCCAGCTAGAGAGATGTGTGCACAAGGAGAGGTTTTATTGATGGAGTAGCCCTTGTGATTGGAACCAAGTGGAGTGTAATTGGAAAGGCTTGCTAGATGCAGTGAGTCTTGGGCAGTCCTGAGTCATAGTTCAAACCATGGAGGTGGTGATGGTGGATAGGAGATGCAAGAGTCGGAGAGTCATGTGTGCAGTGGGAAGGTGGCAAGTTTAATGCAAGGGAATTAGATGATGGAAGGCCCGAAGGCAAAGTCATGACGTGATTGAGGGGTGGATATGTGAGCTACTGCTGGTCAATGGAAGTGATTAAGATGATCCTTGAGGAAGATAATCATTGCTGCTGTTCTTAGGTTAAACATAGTGGAGGCTAGAAGCTCAGATTTGGTGTTGGCCAAATGGCCAAGAGCATGAGTATTAGGAATTGAAAGAGTATAGAGCCAGGGCTAGAGAGAGGCAAGTTTTGAAATGTGTGTCCAGGCGGTGACTAAATCCATACCCCCAGCAATGGGGCTAGGGAAATCTCAAGGCCAAAGAGACAAGAGGGGAAATGAGGGAATGAGCTGTTGACAAAATGATCACGGGGAACAGTGGCATCCAGATAGTCTTGTGTTCATCAGTGAAAATTTGCCCCTAGAGGTGAAGGGATGGTCTGTGGTTCATGAAATATTGAAATCATTATCTGGAGACCACAGGTGACAATGGGATGTTTACCTCAATGTCCAACTTAAGTTTGATTGTCAAAATTGAGCCAGCAATAGATTTTGCCCATCCACATTATAGATTGGGAGGGAGATTTGGGGTAGTTCTTTTTGTACTGGGGACAATATTTCACACAGAGGAGGATATGAAAGTTTATTTTCTTAATCCTGCCTAAAGTGATGTCTTTTTTTCTCTTCCCCGAGTTGGGGACCACACCAAAGCCTTGAAAAACTTTATAATACTATGCAGATGTTTTGGCACATGTAGGAAGTAATCATACAGTAAGAAATGGTTCACTTGAAAAAAAATAACAAAAATCTCTTTTCAACAGATAATGATTCCACATGAAAACCGAACCAGCGAGGCCATGTACAACAAAATGAACATTTCTGAACTGAGTGCTATGATTCCCCAGGTTGGTGAAAACTATCCAGAAAACTTTCTCTCAACTCATCATTTTAGAAGGGATTGGATTTCATCTCTGTGTAAATTTGTGTCTTGTAAAACCTGCTCTCAGTCTTGGTTATCATCATCTTTGTCAACAATCACATAAAATATCCCTTGTCTGTGTATTGGGATGCCTTCTGTTACAGGGAACAAAACATCTTTCCAACAGTGGCTTAGAAACTTAAAGCCTATATTCTCACATGACAAAAGTCTAGACATAGGTAATTGTTGGCATTGGCTCAGCTGTTTAACAGTGTTGTCAAAGGCCCAAGTTCTTTCTATCTTTCCATCCTACTGTGTTTAGTGTGTTGGCTTTTTGACTTCATGTTTGATGACTCATGGTTCCAAGGTATCCATCACAGCTCCATATATCACATCTGCTGTCAGAGCAGGAAGAAGGTGAAAGGGCCAGTGATGTGTCTAACTCTTTTACTAGGAAAAACAAACAAGCCTTTCCAGAACATCTCCAGATGTCTTCCCTTTATTTCTTATTGAGTAGGATTGGGTCACATGGCCACTCCTAACCACAGGGGAGGTTGGGCAAGTGAGTAACTGGTTTTCCGTTTCAACAGTGGACACAGGCAAGGAAGAAAAGGTTGGGAAAAGACTTTTAGAGTAGCCAATCTAAAAAACACCATATGGTGTTTTAGGTAGGATAGGGATGCTCTGAAGAATGGAGGCATGTTACTTTCTGTGTTTTTATTTGTTTTTTTTTGAGACACAGTCTTGCTGTGTCATCCAGGCTGGGGTGCAGTGGTGTGATCTTGGCTCATTGCAACCTCTGCCTCCCGGGTTCAAGTGATTCTCCTGCCTTAGCCTCTCGAGTAGCTGGGATTACAGGTGCCGGCCACCACACCTAGCTAATTTTTGTATTTTTGATAGAGATGGGATTGGCCAGGCTGGTCTCAAACTCCTGACCTCAAATGATCCACCTGCCTCGGCCTCCCAAAGTGCTGGGATTACAGGTGTGAGCTACCATGCCTGGCTGCATTTACTTTCTGTTGCTGCTTATTTCCTCTTGTGTTTTTTTTTTTTTTTTTTTAAAAACTGTGTCACAGAGACAAATTATGTACTGGGGCATCTGTTTCTGTGTGTATGTGAGAGTGAGGGAGAGTACAGGACAGAGAAAGGGAGGGAGGGAGAGAGAAAATGTACCGTATAGAGGAAGAATTTAGAAGGAGGAAGAGAAATGCAGGAGAGAAGGAGGGAAGAGTATGGGAGGAAGAAAGAGTATAGAATAGAGGAAGAGTACTGGACAGGGAGAGAGCAGAATGGGGAGAGAAAGACAGAGGGGAGAGTTCAGGAAGGAGGAAGAGTACTGGAGGGGGCCAAGGGAGTGAGGGTGCATATTACTGTGTTAGTGTGTGTGTGGGTGTCGTCCAGATGTAGATGGTACAGAACACATGCTCCATTTGTGATTAAGACAATAGGTCAGGCCGAGCATGGTGGCTCATACCTGTAATCCCAGCACATTGGGAGGCCAAGGTGGGTGGATCACTTGAAGTCAGGAGTTCGAGACCAGCCTGGCCAACATGGTGAAATTCCACCTCTACTAAAAATACAAAAAAAAAAAAAAAATTAGCCAAGTGTGGTGGCAGGTGCCTGTAATCCCAGCTACTCAGGAGGCTGAGGCAGGAAAATTGCTTGAACCCAGGAGGCAGAGGTAACAGTGAGCCAAGATCATGCCACTGCACTCCAGCCTGGGTGATAGAGCGAGAATGTCTCAAAAAAAAAAAAAAAAAAAAAAAAAAAAAAAAGACAATAGGTCTGGATGGCAATGATCAGGAGTTTATTTTCTAGACTTGAGTAGTTGCATCTTGAATTATTAGGTGTGAAATCAAAAGAAATGAATGATGCTCAATCTACTCTATCTGCCTTTCTTACTTGCTACCTAACCGAGATTCTCTCATTCTGTTTTGTTCTCTCTCCCCTCAGTTCGACTGGCTGGGCTACATCAAGAAGGTCATTGACACCAGACTCTACCCCCATCTGAAAGACATCAGCCCCTCCGAGAATGTGGTGGTCCGCGTCCCGCAGTACTTTAAAGATTTGTTTAGGATATTAGGGTCTGAGAGAAAGAAGTAAGAACTTTCACATGAATTTTACTGTGACTTTTGTGTTTTCTTTAAATTATAAGGGCTTCCCTTCTCACATCCTTTGAAAACTGTTTTTAAAGAATGTTACATCAAAAGAGTCATAGGGAAAATCCCGGTGTCCTTTGTGATGAACTGGCCAAAAGCACTGTCTGGTGTAATTTACTTGCTGCAATGATAACAAATGTTTTTGCCCTTTATTTCTGGTCTTTCTCCATGCTGTTCTCTTTGAGATCCTAAATTGTTTATGAGCTTGGGGAGCTAGTCATATAATGATGTTATTTTCTAAAATGTCTGTGTGAACATCTTTTTTTTTCCCCAGTTCATTCTCAATCTTTTGCTGCTTTTTTTTTTTTTTCCTGGTTCCTTTTTAACCATTAAGTCACTTTCTGGCAATAAACTAAAGTAACTGTATTGAGAAGACACAAGACCACCTTGAGAGTGGTAGAAAAATTGCACGGATAAAACAACTTTAGGAACTGCCAGGTTTTTCTTATTTTAAAGAATGTTTTAGAATTTGTTGCTTTGCTAGTTTATTGCTACAAAGAAAAATCTTCCAATATTCCAGGAAGGAGAATTTTACAGGTTCCTTAAGGCATTCAGCTTTGACTACAGAAAATGAATCACAGAGCTTACAAAATGAATCAACGAGTTTACAAAACACTTTACTGAGTTAATTGCTGGGCCATGATTAAAATCACATTTTCTTATTTGGACTCAGACAAGGCTATGTTGCCAGAAGTTACGTTTTTTAAAAAAGGCACAACAGTCCTTGGAAGAAAATGTAGCATTTATCCCCTACGGAAACACTTAGACACCTGAGAGGAGCTGCTGCTCTTTTTAAGATACTTTCTGATGATAAAAGTAATCTGTGTTCACTGAGGAAAACATACAGAAAAAGGAGAGAAGAAACAATTAATTTACTTAAAATTCTATCATTTAGAGATAAGCCAGGATTCTTTGAAAATGTTCTAAATGGAAATTGAATCTAGAGGTACGTAATTATATTGCAGGGTAGAGCCTTGCTCCATGGACCAGGAATGTCAGCAGCATCACCTCGGGTGCTTGTTAAAAATGCAGATTCCAAGGCCCTCCTCCATTGAGTCTGATCCAGTAGAGCTGGAGGGGAGGCCAAGTAATCTTTATTTTAAACAAGTACCTCAGAAGAATCTTATGATTAACTTTTCTTAGGGGAGGGGAAGGGGATCACTGTATTAGAAAATTTCTTTGTAAGTACTTCCTAGCTCTCAAATACTATAAAATATGACCCAAACGATTTTCTACTCATATGCCATTGAGTTACGGAGCACATTTTAAATTTTGGTGGTAATTTCCATTGAAAGGTGGAGTTTGGCCTGCTTTAGATTCATCCTTCACCTCGTGAGTCAGTTTCTTCTAGTATCTGTGTTAAAAGAGTAGGTACTTCTGAACACTGATTGATTTTACTTCCAAAAAAGCCTAATTTACAATCAGGGGATAGATTGGGATTTGGTTTACTGTATTAGAAAAAGCATCTCTATCGTGATGATTTTACTTGGTAATTGCAGGACCTTTCATAACAATGGAAAAGAGCATGATTGGAGGGAGATTTTACTCTGATTCTTGTCAAAATGATAACTTGGACAAATATAAACGTAGAGAACAACAGTAGAAAAAACATAGATGGAAAAGTCACCTTAGATGTTATGTACACATACAACTTCATTTAAAAATAAGGACAAAAATTGGCCAGGCGCGGTGGCTCACACCTGTAATCCCAGCACTTTGGGAGGCTGAGGTGGGCAGATCACTTGAGGCCAGGAGTTCAAGACCAACCTGGCCAACATGGTGAAACCCCGTCTCTACTTAAAAAAAATACAAAATTTAGCTGGGCGTGGTGGCTGGCACCTGTAATCCCAGCGACTTGGGAAGCTGAGGCAGGAGAATCGCTTGAACCCAGGAGGTGGAGGTTGCAGTGAGCCAAGGTCGCACCACTGCACTCCAGCCTGGGTGACATAGCGAGACTCTGTCTTAAAAAATAAATAAATAAAAATAAAGCCAAATCCCAAATCTCTTTCACACAGTTTATCCCTCAACCACCAGTTTATAAAAAGCAACTTGTGTTCTGCGTATTCTTGTGAGATTTCAATACAACGTACACATCATGAGAAGTCTGACAGCATTTTATTTGCAGACTATGGTGATGTTTTTTCATTGATGATCGTGTTTAATCACCACTCGTGTAGCATTACAGGGCTACTTGAGGAAAAGTCTTCTTGGGTTCCCATAATTGCCATATTGGTCAGGATATGCCAGTTGCTATAACCAGCACCTCTAAACACTCATTGGCTAAATTGTACCCTCTGCTCATGGAACAGTCTGAACATGGGTGTCCCTGTAAGAGAGCTTTCTTCTAAATAGTGACTTAGGAAGCCAGACTCCTTTCATCTTATGGCTCTGCCCTCCCTTGGATGTTTGGCATCCTCTCTATTCAGCTGGAGGATGGAGAAACAGAGAGGGTGGAGGATTGTATAGGTTTTGGTGGGAAGGCCTAGAAGTGGGGTATGTCACTTCTACCCATAATCCATAAGCCAGAACTCAGTCTTGTGACTCATCTAGCTGTAGGGGAGACTGGGAAATATAGTTTAGCTATATACCCAGAAGGAAAAGGAGTTGGAGTTTCCCTAGACATGCCTTTATCAAAGAGCCTATCTCATTTTCTTGAAATGACCACTTTTCTCTCAATGGCAAATACTTCCCTGCTCCCTACCTCTATGACACTGTGAGCACCTCATGGCAGGCACTCTTTTTTAATTTTTAATTTTTGTGGGCACAGGACATATTTTGATACAGGAATGTAATGCATAATAATCACATCAAGGTAAATGGGGTATCTATCCCCTCAAGCATTTGTCCTTTGTGTTACAAGCAATCCAATTATACTGTTTTATTTATTTAAAAATGTACAATTACACTATTTTTGACTATAGTTACCTGTTGTGCTAGCAACTACTAGGTTTTATTCATTCTTTCTATTTTTTTGTACCCATTAACCATCCCTCCTTCCCTCCTTCCCCTCTGCTATCCTTCCCAACCTCCAGTAACCACCCTTCTATTCTCTATCTCTATGAATTCAATTATTTTAATTGTTAGCTCCCACAGATAAGTGAGAACATGTGAAGTTTGTCTTTCTGTGCCAGGTTATTTCACTTAACATTATGATCTCCAGTTCCACTCATGTTTCTGGAAATGACAGGATCTCATTCTTTTTTATGGCTGAATGGTCCTCCGTTGTGTATATGTACCACATTTTTAAAAATCCATTTATCTGTTGATGGACACTTAGGTTGCTTCTGGCAGGCTGTCTTGTGATTGCTTTTTTAAGTGTTGTGACCTAGCACAGTGCTTCTCATGTAGTAGACACTTTAAAAATTCTAGAAGTTAACCAGATACCCCATCACCACCACAAGGAGGTGACATATGAATGGAACCCCAAAGGATAAAGAGGAATTTTCTAGGTAGGGAAGAATAGAGAAAAGGGGATGGTAAGCATCTTCAGTGGTGGAACCAATGTGAACTTGGGTGTTGCCTGCAAGGCAGGGGGCTAGAGAGCTGAGAGGCCAGCTTGGGCTCAGGATATGTAGAGGAAAAGCATCAGATGAATGTTCTGAGGATCCCCCCACCTCCTACCTTTCCCTTGGAGGCACCATTGAAGAAAAAGCCAGCCAAGCCTTCTCACATTGGGCATCTCTGCTGTGCCTCTGTTTCGAGAATCTGCCTATAAAAATCATATACAGGTAATGGTGATGTTAACCACCACTATGGTTAACATCTTTGATCTTTACAACAATTCTATGCGTTGTTCCCACTTTACAGATGAGGAAGCTGAGGTTAAGTGACTTGGCCAAGATCACACCTCTAAGAGGAAACAGAGCTGAGATTCTAAATGGGGTCACCCTCATTTCTATGTCTTGTCTCTTTTTTTCCATAAATGTCTTGGTGTGAAAAGAGATACTTTTCAGATGCTTCACTGCTCATTTTGGAGATGCTAGCGTATTGTACCCTCAGCTAGTTAGATATTGCTAGCTTTGGCAATTTTCCTGCAATGTTCAGCAGTTCAAAGCCATCCTGTGTTGGTGTCAGCTGTTCATTTCTTATTTTTTATTTTTATTTTTATTTCAATAATTTTGGGGGAACAGGTGGTGTTTGGTTGCATGGAAAAATTCTTTAGTGGTGATTTCTGAGATTTTGGTGTACCCATCACCTGAGCAGTGTACATTGTACCCAATATGTAGTCTTTTATTGCTTACCCCCTCCCACTCTCCCCCTGAGTCCCCAAAGTCCATTATATCATTCTTATGCCTTTGCATTCTCGTAGCTTACCTCCTGCTTATAAGTGAGAACATGCGATATATGTTTTTCCATTCCTGAGTTACTTCACTTAGAATAATCATCTTCAGCTCTATCCAGGCTGCTGCGAATGCCATTATTTCCTTCCTGTTTATGGCTGAGTAGTATTCCATGGTGTATATATACCACATTTTCTTTATCCATTCGTTGGTTGATGGGCATTTATGTTGGTTCCATATTTTTGCGATTGCAAATTGTGCTGCTGCTATAAACATGCATGAGCTAGTATCTTTTTTGTATAATGACTTCTTTTCCTCTGGGTAGATACCCAGTAGTGGTATTGCTGGATCAAACGGTAGTTCTATTTAGTTCTTTAAGGAATCTCCATACTGTTTTCCATAGTGGTTGTACTAGTTTACATTCCCACCAGCAGTGTAAAAGTGTTCCCTTTTCACCACATCCATGCCAACATCTGTTATTTTTTTGATTTTTGATTATGGCCATTCTCACAGGAGTGAGGTGGTATCTCATTGTGGTTTGGCACTTCCCTGATAATTAGTGATGTTGAGCATTTTTCATATGTTTGTTGGCCCTTTGTATATCTTCTTTTGAGAATTGTCTATTCATGTCTTTTGCCCACTTTTTGATGGGATTGTTTGTTTTTTTCTTTCAGCTGCTCATTTCTCAATTGCTGCTTCTCCCTTCTTATATTACTCCCACTGCCAGTCTAGGGGATTAGGCCTCTTTCTCTGACTGAGTGGCTGTGGGGACAGTGGCACTGACTCTTTGGTAGGTGGTGCATGGTACAGAATTAGAGCAATGAGATCCTCCAGTGGTGGTGGTGCCAAACCACACCAGCCCTTGCAGTCCAAGGGGGTAGGTGGCCAGGGAGGGACCCTTGGAGGAATGAGCTGGAGGCTGCCTGTGGGGAACAAGAGCTGGTGTTTGAGGTGGAAAGGGGGGTGGGGTAAGGAGGTAGTGATGATCCCTCATGTTATGTGCATCTCTTCCTAACTACATGTTCGGTGATCTCATGTTGATAGTTTCAATTCAACTATGGGGGATTTTGACACCATGGAAATTGGCAAATGTAACAAATCATTTTTCTTTTTCTTGACAAGGCAGTTGGCAACCTTTACTAGCACATCACTGGGTGAGGGGCACTATAGACTTCTCTCCCTTTCTGTCCCCCTCAATTCTCCTCCTCACTCCTGACTCGAGGCTGCCTCAGACACTTCCCATCTACTTTTATCTGAGGAGTAAGAGTGGGAGGAGGAGAGGCCAAGGAAGGTTGGCATCAGGAGGAGCTGACGTGATTTCCTCTTGCAGGCCAGGGCTGGATCCATGGAGATCATCTGCGCCAGGACTGTTTTCTTTTGTTGTTGTTGTTGTTTTGTTTTTTAGCAGACTGGCCTAGAGCAAACCCTTGGAGTTTTGTCAAGGACCCTGTAAGTATTCCTGTCTTTAGTTTTATTTTCATATAAAGCAAGTACAATGTACATTAAAGTAAGATGATTCTTGTTGCATGTTCCCAAAGGATGACCTGGAAAATGTGCTGTTATGTGGACCTCTCCTGGGGGCCAGCTCTTCTGAGAGTGATCTAGGGTCTTGCTAGCCAAAGAATGGCCTACAGATGAGCAGCAGAGACATTACTGGGGAGTTTGTCAGAAATGCAGACTCTCGGGCTCTGCCCCAGACCTACTGAATCAGAGGCTGAAATTGAATAAGATCCCCAGGGGACTCATATATACATTCAAGTTTAAGAAGCACTGATGTGGGATTTAGGAAGTCCTAGTTGAGCTGTGTGTGCAGAACGATGCGGAGATGGAGTTTTCCTAGACCAGCTGTTTTCAAACCTGACACGCCTCAGAATCCCCTGGAGGGTTTGCTAAAATACAGTCTGCTGGCCCCCCACCCCACAGATTCTGATTCAGCAGGTCTGGCGGTAAGGCCTAGGAATTTTCTAACAAGTTCTCAGATGACGCTGAAGCTGCTGGCTCAGGGACACACTTTCAGAATCACTGCCTTACATAAGCCTCTAGGCAGCCTGTAGGAAGATCTCTGGCTTTGAGAACCTTTAAGAAGAGCCTCTGTGGCTCACTTCAGATAGTATGACCAAGACGAGCAAATGCAAGTTCTGGAATCTGAAAACCCAGATGTTAGTCCTGGATTTGACACATTCTTGGAAGTACCTTGACCTCTTACCTTTGTTTTCTTCACCTGAAAATAAGGATAATAATAATAATCACCTCACAGCACTGTTAGAAATATCAAAGAAGGTATTTTATGATCTCTTAAATGTGATACAAATGTAAGCTGCCACTACAATTTGAGTATCCCTTATCCAAAATACTTGGGATTGGAAGTGTTTCTGATTTTGGATTTATTCAGATTTTGGAATATTTGCATTATAATTACCAATTGAGCATCCCAAATCTAAAAATTAAAAGAATCTTCCAAGTCAGAGGCTTTAGGAAATGATTTCATGTTGCTCTCTTTGTGGTGGGTGCTCTTTTGAGATGCTTTGCCTTTCTCTGTTTGATTTATTGCCACTTGGGGAAATTACCATATGGCTGAAAATGTGTTTTTTTGGGAAAAAAGGATATTATGTGTTATTTTCAAGGACTGTTGCTGACTGTGATTTTTGCTTTTTGATATATCTGAGCATTAGGTGACAGTGATTCAGTCATTATGGTTATATCTGTTCCTGGCGTGGTAATATTAGCACTCCAAAACTGTGCTCCATAGCATTCTGTCAGTGTATTTATAACACACTGAAGAAACTCATCAGTGCCATTGTCTCGCTGTGTGAACTTCTCAGCATTACAGCTTCCAGCTTGCAGAGGTCTGGTTGTTATGCTATCACCTTTGTAATGCCTTGTCCAGGAAGTCCTCGTAATTCTTTTTGTGCCCACAGATTTCTGTGAAGCATCTTTGTTGGAGTGTTTTGGGGTCTCTGTGACTGGCCAGGAAATCTTAGCTAAATTAGAGGCTTTGGCCAGGCGTGGTGGCTCACGCCTGTAATCCCAGCAACTTGGGAGGCCGAGTTGGGCGGATTGCTTGAGTCCAGGAGTTTGAGACCAGCTTGGCAAAATCATGAAACCCTGTCTCTACCAAAAATACAAAAAAAAATGTGCTGAGCACAGTGGCGCATGCCTGTAGTCCCAGCTACTTGGGAGGCTGAGGCAGGAGGTTACCTTGAGCCTAGGAGATCGAGGCTGTAGTGAGCTGAGATTGTGCCATTACACTCCAGCCTGGGTGACAGGAGTGAGTGAAACTCTGTCTCAAAAAAAAAAAAAAAAAACCAAATAGAGGCTTTAATTCATCACTATCTGGCATAGGGAAAAGCATGCAGGCTTTAGAGTTAGACACACCTGGGTCTGGTCCGGCCTCCATTGCTTATTACAGTGGTTCTTCAACTTGGCCTCACATTGGACTTAGCTGAGGAGATTTATAAGCAATATTTATGTTGGGTCCCACTTTAGAGATTGTGACTTAATTGGCCTGGGGTGGCCTAGGCATGTGGACTTTTAACAACTTCCCCAGGTGACTCTACTAGTTTGAGACTCACTGAATATGTGATCGTGAGTTTACTTAATGGTTCTAAGCCTGAAGTCTCCTCATATGTAAAATGGGTATAATAACATCTCTCTTACAGCAGCACTGTGAGGATCATAATTAATGTGAGATGCCTAAATGGGATGATCTCAGGGGAGCTGGAAGGGCCCCTGCTTCTCAAACCCCAGTATACTTTGCCATACTACATCTTCCACCACCACCATTGGGCCCCCTAACAACTTCCCTAGTTATTCTGGCTCATCACCACCCCTTTGAGGGAATATCTTTTGAACTGATGAAAGGACATCTGCTGGCTGTTGACCTCCTTCTCGTCTCCACCTATGGATCCAGCATGGTTCACATGCCTGGTAAGAGGTATTTTAGAGACAAAGAACATAAAGTCCTTGCACTAGGACCAAGATCGGCCCATTAATGTGCTAGACACCATGACCTGGTCGCTGTCTGCATCTCCCCAGTGTGGCTGGCCTTTCTGCCCACTTCCTTGAGTGATGATCCTGTTCACCATCCTCTCCAACATATCAGCCGATTCCACCATTATTTAGCCTGTCCAGAGTTCACGTTCCTGTTTGCAACACCAAAGCCTTTTAACCTTTCGGCATGCTTCTCTCATGAAGCCTACTCTTAACCCTCAGTTTGAGATGTACTATCCTTACAGTGAAGTGTCTGGCACATACTTTTGGGTGCTAGTGTCTACCAAATCATTATTTATGCACTTGCCTCATCTCCCCTGCTCAGCTAAAAGCTTCAGGAAATCAGGGACTATCCATCTCCCCAGCACAGAGAACTGTTAGTATATATGTGGGTGCTCAGGATGTGTTGATTGAGTGAATGAAAGAAAGACCCTTATGTACTGACAGTGTGTCCCTTCAATTAAACAACCCAATTACATGAACAAGCTGAAATCTGAAGTCCTGTGTTCCCAGCTGGACTTTGAGTTCTCTAACTGTAGGTGCTGGGTTCTTACTTCTTTACGTTCCTCATGGCATCTGGCACAATACTTGGCCAACAATAAGTGCTCAGTGAGCACTTCTTGTCCTATTAAGGAGTGGAGATGTGAATGCAAAAGAGCCAAAGGAATGACCCCAAACCACTTAGTGGCCTCAACAGAGATGGGCAAGGGCTGGACTTTGCTGATTAGTGCAGTGGTGTCTTAGGGGAATGCGCATATCCTAACAAGATCCATTGGGTCTGAGAAGAACATTTTAGAACTTCTATATCTTTATTTAAATTTAAAAATAATTAGGCTTTATACAGAGTGGTATAATGGACTTTGGAGACTCAGAAGCAGGGAGGGTAGGAAGGGGATGAGGCATAAAAAAACTATAGATTGGATCCAGTGTACATTACTTGGGTGATGGGTGCACTAACATCTCAGACTTCACCACTATACAATTTATCCATATAACCAAAAACCATTTACATCCCCAAAAGCTATTGAAATAAAAAAACTTTATAAAGAAAAATAATTACACTTTATTGAGTTCTATATTGATGGCTATGGACCCTTCATTTGATCTGTATGGAACATGTGAGAGGGGCACTGTCACCCTCACTGGCTTGTTTTCATTCAATATATTAAAAATAATCTCAGCTGATACGGTGGCTCACGCCTGTAATCCCAGCACTTTGGGAGGCTGAGGCGGGAGGATCACCTGAGGTCAGGAGATTGAGACCAGCCTGACCAACATGGTGAAACCCCATCAGTACTAAAAATATAGAAATTAGCCAGTCGTGGTGGCGGGCATGTGTAATCCCAGCTACTTGGGAGGCTGAGGCAGGAGAATTGCTTGAACCTAGGAGGCAGAGGTTGCAGTGAGTGGAGATCGCGCCATTGCACTCCAGCTTGGGCGACAGAGCAAGACTCCATCTTCAAAAAAAAAAAAAAAAATCTTGAGCGGTTTACATATAGCTGTGGATTTATGAATTTTATTATCTAGTTTATCTAGTTTACTACTTACAAAGTAGACAAGTGGCTTAAAAATTCTTGCAGGAAACAGGAATTGAAATGATTATTGATGATGTAAGCACAAGAGAACAGCTAGAAATTGGCAGAAGTGACCCTTCTCCCAGGCTGGTATGCCATGTTGGTTAGCCAGATGACAAAAGAAATACAATGGTGGTCTAACAAGAACAAGGACAATGGCAATCTGACAAAGACATGTCATACATTTTTGAAATAGTCAAGAAGACTCTAAGAAATGTGGATTTATATTCATTGTCATTGTTGTATTAACCAAATCCTATATGGACACTGTGTCTTGAAGAATTAACCCAATGGTGTTTGAAGAATTAATGACTTTTGAAGATTTTAAATTTCATTTTACCTCATCTTTTGAAATTTCTGTTTTTGTATTTGTTAAAAATATTCCTAATATATTAGTCTATTAGTATATCTCTATAGAAATTAAACATCCATGTATTGGGTGTGTATGCTGAAAAATATTTTACTAGTAGGAGCGCATGTCCACTGTGTCAGAATGTCATACAAATGAGAGTGTAGTTTGTTCTTGATGGGCTTTTAGCATCATCATGTCATATTGCTCTCATGTGATTGGCTCACCAGAAAGCCATTTCAGGAATGTGTGTTATTAGTCACCATGGTAATGGCACAGCTGGGAGGGGAATGGATCATTAAAGATCCATCATCACTATTGAGTTAGAAATTAACTGAGATCACACATTCTTCTGAGGTCAGGTCATCTTTTGCTTATAGAAAAAGGCAACCCTTAAAATTTAACAGATTTTTAAAGATATGTATTATAGGCATTACATGAGCTTATGAGGTTGTTCATACATTTGGAAGTGAAAGACAAAACCCTAGAAATTGACTATTTGTCAAGCATTTTGTTATTTATTTGAACCCTGCAACAACTCTGTAAGGTAGGGATCATCCTCATTGTATGAAAAATAAAGATAAAATCACAGACCTTAAGTGACTTGTCGAAACTCACATATTTAGTAAGTATAGAATGAGGGTGCAAAATTAGATGATTGGTATTAGCCAATATTTTGCTGTTAGTTTCCAAAGGCAAAGAATACATAGGCATTGTATCAAGTCACCTAATCCAGTAAGTCCTCACTTAACATCATCGATAGCTTCTTGGAAACTGTGACTTTAAGCAAAATGACAGATAATGAAATCAATTTTACCATAGGCTAATTGATGTAAACAAGAGTTAAGTTCCCATGGCATATTCCTGCTCACAAAAACATCACCAAACTTCTAAATAAAGACCAAAACACTTCTAATATTGAACATTGAATACATGTGAGCTATGCGTACATTTAAGAAAGACAAATAAAAGCAAGTAAGATAATTTTTTTTGATCTTTGGAACCCATTCAATGTTTTTGTAGACATATTCTTTTTTTTATCCTTGTTTTCATTTTTTAAATTATACTTTAAGTTCTAGGGTACATGTGTACAACGTGCAGGTTTGTTACATATGTATACATGTGCCATGTTGGTGTGCTGCACCCATTAACTCAACTCGTCATTTACATTAGGTATATCTCCTAATGCTATCCCTCCCCCCTCCCTCTATGCAGCCATAAAAAATGATGAGTTCATGTCCTTTGTAGGGACATGGATGAAGCTGGAAACCATCATTCTCAGCAAACTATCACAAGGACAAAAAACCAAACACCGCATGTTCTCACTCGTAGGTGGGAATTGAACAATGAGAACACTTGGACACAGGAAGGGGAAAGTAAGATAATTATTAACCCAGTTATTCTAGTTCAGGGTTGCAGGTGCTGGAGCCTATCTAGGCAGCTCAGGGCACCAGGCAGGATCCAGCCCTGGCTAGGATGCCATCCTGTCACAGGGTGCAGTAGCTCACCATGCTCACTCACACTGGGAATGTGTAGACACGCCGATTAACCTAGCAGGCACATCTTTGGGATGTGGGAGGAAACCACAGCACCCAGAGAAAACCTGTGCAGACTTGAGGAGAATGTGCAAACTCTACACAGACAGTGACCCTGGCCCAGAATTGGTTTTTTCCTTATCAACTGTATAACAAAAGGATGTTGAATGAAATGATGTTATTCGAGGATCTGCTGTAATTTGAAGGTACTCACAATTTCCAGACACGAAAGGCTGTGTAACAGTGGACTTTATACCCTGAGAGTGAAAGTAAAATGTTCACTCTGAGGGCTGGAGCTGGAATCTTTCCTTCATCTATCTCTGTTAGGTGGTGAAAAGCAAGCCAATTTTGGTTGTGCTTATTGACATTGTATCATCTTATGTCATTTCTCAAGTGAAAGTTCTGCATTTTTGTATGAGTAAGAGGTCCCTCGATGGAGCTTTGCCAACTGTTTCTCTCAAGATGTTCTGCAGAGCATCAGATATTGACCTAAAATACAATAAATGGGCATCTCTCTCTGTTAACAGGACCATTGCCAACTATTTGGTGTGGAGAATGGTTTATTCCAGAATTCCAAACCTTAGCAGGCGCTTTCAGTATAGATGGCTGGAATTCTCAAGGGTAAGTTTAAGAAGATTGCAGTGTTACATCGCTGGATAACTTTACATGCTGGAATAGTCCATATATTAACTGATCCAGTAAAAATCATCTTTAGGGATTAGACAGGGGGAGTTTGTAGCCCAAGCTCTATTGTTTTTGTGTGTGTGTGTGTGCCTTATTTATTTTTATTTAGGTATAAATTACATATGGTAAGGTACACTCAAGTTTTACTTTGATGGGTTATATAAAGATATTTAGAGAAATACTTGAGGCCACACATTGTTTTCAAACTTCCCCGTCTTATTAGTGTATTCCCATTTTCCCCCAGAGTTTTTAACTGGGTCACTGTAATTATAGTTTTAACATTTCTTTGTGATATATTTGTAACTATCTTTTATTCTCAGTATTCTGAATATTTAAAATGTGCATGATAGAGATATTGGATGGTAGAACTTCATTTTCAATTTGGAAATGGAATTTTGTCTTAAACTTTGCCTATACCTTCCATCTTTGAATCTATCCTCTGCTAGGTCCAAGAGGCTCCAATTTAGTTTTCTTGCTCAACTGTCTGAGATGGTTTTCCTCCACCTGCTCACCTGGCTCTTTATTTATTTATTTTTATTAGAGATGGGGTCTTGCCATGTTGCCCAGGCTTGTCTTGAACTCCAGAGCTCAAGTGATCCTCTCACCTCAGCTTCCCAAAGTGCTGGGATTAAAGGCACGAGCCACTGTGCCGGGCCTCACCTGGCTCTTTAACCTTTGCTTCTCTCCCACCCTTGCTCGTCTCCCAGTTTGTACCCATGTTACTCTCACCTTTGTTTTTGAGGCTTATGTCTGACTAATTCTCCTACCACTAGAGGCCGTAAGGATTTTGTATCTTTGAAACAGTTTTTATTTTTCTATCAATTTAAAGTTAAGTGAATGGTGAATCTTATAAGCTATGATTTCATTCAAGAGGCATTTTAGTTATTAGAGGAACTAATAAGTATAGAAATTCTTAGTGGGCCATTACTCTGGAAGAGTAGTGCAATTATTTTGGATATGCTTTGACCCTATAAAGTCACTAGCATATAAAGTTACTTTAGGGCTGGGTGCAGTGGCTCACACCTGTAATCCCAGCACTTTGGGAGGCCAAGGCAGGCAAATTGAGGTCAGGAGTTTGAGACCAGCCTGGCCAACGTGGTGAAACCTCGTCTCTACAAAAAATACAAAAATTAGCCGGGCATGGTGTCACGCACCTGTGGTCCCAGCTACTCGGGGGGCTGAGGCAGGAGAATTGCTTGAATCCGGGAGGCGGAGGCTACAGTGAACTGAGATGATGGCACCAATGCACTCCAGCCTGGGCAACAGAGCAAGACTCCGTCTCAAAAAAAAGAAAAAAAGTCTTTTTTACAGAGAACAGCATAAAACAACTATATATATATTTAGGTCATATTGATGGGTTAAGATACAAAACAAGTAGGTTTTGTGTGTGTGTGTGTGTGTGTGTGTGTGTGTGTGTGTGTGTGTGTGTGTTTGTGTGTATTTTTAACTGCTACGAATCACATAAAAGATGATGCCCAGCTGCTTTCCACCCCTACTGTGAAGAGAATGAGAGAGGTGTAAGAAGCACTGTGTGAACATTTAAGGTTAGGTATGAGGGGATGTTTCTTGAGCACGAAGTGCTAAATATAATATTGAATTGCCGAAGAAGGTTGTAGGATCTCTTTCTCTAGAGGTTTTAAAAATAGATTCATCGCTTACCTCTGAGAGAGGTTACCAGAAATCAGAGGAAGAATAGATGAAATTAAGCCTTAATCCCATTCCTCAAAACAACCTGGGTCTAACATTGTGCAAAGGACACTTCTGACCACCATTCTCAGGGCCTCCCTTCCTCCCTGCCTGCACCCCCAGCTTCCAAGGGCAACTTACACTATATTTATTTCTCTGCTTTTATTCCCAAGAGTAAACCTCTGACCCAGGTCCTGCTTGGGAAACTTCTTACTTGTTTGTAAATGTTTTCTTGCAATGGTATAATTGGGACAGATGGGCAAAGCATTTACATCTGTATTTTGCTTGTTTATCAGTGTGTTTTTTGCTGTGACACAATGTAAATATGCTCCCTGTGTTGTTCATGGTGGGCCATGTTCTTCTGGTCTGCCTTGTTGAGTGTGCTACTCGGAGCAAGGAAACCCTCACTGGGCAGGAACTTTGATCACCCACTGATTCTAGACCTTCTTAGTGGAACTTTAGTTCTCAGGAGATATTAAATATTATCTAGACACTTGGATAGCATCCTCTCATGTCCCTGCTGACTGCAGAAAAGTGATACCATTGTCCAGATTCTTTGTTTAATGGGGAAAATTGGGAAGAAAGGATACATATATTATTTTAACTGTTAAATCACTTTCTTTTCTTCTTCTTCTTTTTTTTTTTTTTTTTTTTTTTCCAGACAGAGTCTCACTCTATTGCCCAGGCTGGAGTGCAGTGGCCCAATCTCAGCTCACTGCAACCACCGCTTCCTGGGTTCACACAATTCTCCCACCTCAGCCTCCCAAGTAGCTGGGATTACAGGCATGCACCACCGTGCCCGGCTAATTTTTGTGTTTTTAGTAAGCACGGGGTTTCACCATGTTGGCCAGGCTGGTCTCGAGCTCCTGACCTCAGGTGATCTGCTCACCTGGGCTTCTTAAAGTGCTGGGATTACAGATGTGAGCCACTTTGACCGGCCTAAAACATTTTCATTTAGTTTGAAATATAATGGGGACAAGCAGAATTTTTTTCTTCAACTATTTTACCTTTGCCTCTACTATCTGATGCATATATATGGGTTAGGGTGTGCAGTGTTTTGTAGACTGTTTTCTTCAGGTTGTTTGAATTGTTTTCAGCCATGGGTTTTATCCAAATGAAGTTTAATCTGGATCAATTATCTCCCACAGGTAATCCAGGGGACCACAACTTTGCTGCCTCAATGGGACAAATGTGTAAACTTTATTGAAAGTGCCCTCCCTTATGTTGTTGGAAAGATGTTTGTAGATGTGTACTTCCAGGAAGATAAGAAGGAAATGGTAAGTGGTACTCCCCAGCTAGCAAAAAATAATGGCAATTTAGCCAGATCTGACAAGGGTATATTCAACAGGCTAATGTCAGCCTTCCAGGTGGTAGTGGCCTGTGGGTATTGTCTTCAGATTCTTTCAACTTCTAAGTGAAATAGGAAGAAAGGTCATCAAACGAGAGTGAGGATGAGTTAGCAGGTATTGAAGGTTAGAGGAGAGAGAAGGTGTGTAGTTTTCCAGGGGAGTGGGAGAGTGAATAAACTGAGGGAATGTAGTATAGCTGCTTGAGGGCAGGCATGTCCAGATGTAGGTGAGGTTTGAGGTATTGAATTTAAAGAGGGACTCATCACTGTGGCAACGTGTTCTTCTCCATCTGTTTCAACTGCATTGGAGAAAAGGGTGTATTTTTTTTTCTTTCAGCTTTATTGAGATGCATTTGACTAATAACAATTGTATATATTCGAAGTATACGGCCGGGCGCAGTGGCTCACACCTGTAATCCTAGTACTTTGAGAGGCTAAGCCGGGCAGATCACTTGAGGTCAGGAGTTTGAGGCCAGCCTGGCCAACATGGTAAAACCCCATCTCTACTAAAAAAAATACAAAATTTATCTGGGCGTGGTGGCAGGCACCTGTAATCCCAGCTATTTGGGAGGCTGAGGCAGGAGAATTGCTTGAACCCCGGAGGCGGAGGTTGCAGTGAGCCGAGATCGCGCCACTGCCCTTCAGCCAAGGCGACAGAGCGAGACTCTGTCTCAAAACAAACACAAAGTATACAAGATGATGATTTGACATACATTGTGAAATGGTTGCCACAATCAAATGAACACATCTGTTGTCACACTTATTTACCATTGTGTGTGTGGTGGTGGGGGATGAGGACACTTAAGATTTACTGTCTTAGCAAATTCAAGTATACAATACATTATTAGTAACTATAGTCACCATGCCATATTTTAGATCCCCATAACTTATTCATCTTAGAACTAGAAGTTTGTACCCTTTGATCAATATCTCCCCATTTCCCTGCCCCCAGCCCCTGGCAACTACTGTTCTACTCTCTGCTTCTATATTTTAACTTTTATAAAGATTCTACATATAAGTGAGATCATATAATATTTGTCTTTCTGTGCCTGGCTTATTTCACTTAGCATAATGTCCTCTGGCTTTATCTATGCTGTTGCAAAAGGCAGGATTTTCTTCATTTCTTCATTTTTATGGCCAAATATTCCATTGTGTGGTACACACATGCACACATCGCAGTTTCCTTATGTATTTATCCATTGAAGGGTATTTAGGTTTATTCCATATCTTGGCTATTATGAATAATGCTGCAATGAACATGAAGGTGCAGATCTTTCTTCCATATACTGATTTTACTTACTTTGGATATATACCCAGTAGTGGGATGGCTGGATTGAATGGTAGTCCTATTTTTATTTTTTTGAAGATTTTCCATGCTATTTTCCATAATGGCTGTACCAGTTTACATTCTTACCAACAGTATATGAGCGTTTCCTTTTTTTCCAGGAATATTTTGCCAACACTTACCTCTTAAATTTTTGATCATAGCCATCCTAACAGGTAGTGAAGTGCTATTTCATTATGGTTTGATTTGCATTTCCCTGATGATTAGTGATGAAAACCTTTTCATAAACCTCCTGTTTATGTGTCGTCTTTGGAAAAATGTCTATTCAGATCTTTTGCCTATTTTTTAATCAGATTATTCGTTTTTTCACTATTGAGAGGGTGTATTTTGAATTAGAAACATGGATTTGGCCAAGTTTTTTGTCTGCATTTTATTTTTGATGAATTATATTTTACAAATGTCATGAAGTAAAAGATCCAGGCATGATTAATAATAATCCGTGTAGTCAATAAGATACAAATATATGAGCAGCTTGGATGCAGGTGGTCAATAAACACTGAATTAAAGGGCAAAGACATTGTAATGTCATGATTGTTCAAATGATTGGTATCACGTAGTGATACATAATAATACCAAATGGTTGGTATTATGTATCAGTACATAGTCATTATTGATACATAATACATGATTATGTATTATGCACTGAAGTTTGCTTTGCAATACCATATCTAAGTACATTTGTGGCAGGCCAGGTCTCACTAACACAGGCCTCCATCACAACTGTCCCAGCACGTACTGAGTAGCTAGGTTAAACATTAAAAGCTGATTGAACCACTGCCCATATACAAAGCCTGGAATGTAACAAAGAGCCCACCAAGAGTTTTGCCTAGGCTTTTCCTGGATCTTGAAGCATGACAAGATAATGAATGAATTCTTAACAGGACCCTTTTAGGATTAAACAAGTTTTATTGGGGGTCTGAAGAAACTCCACAGGCCTCCACAAACAAGTTTACTGGGGTCTAAAGGAACTCCCCAAACCTTTATGATTTAGCAGGAGACAAGATAAGGGTAATTACCTCAGTACCTAGACCCATTTAGATTAAGTAAACTTACTGAGGCTCCAGAAGAAGGTCTTCAAGACTCACACCTAGTTATAGATTAAAAGAAGTTAATCATTTATGTCTTTCGACGATTGCACACTTTCACGTAGACATATAGCTTAGAAGGTATATGAGCTCTAGAAAACTTTGTAACTTTGAGTTGGTCTGGTGATAATTTCCAGGCTTTCTCCCTGTAACCAGTGGCAGAAAATAAAACTCTGTTCTTCCCCAGTTCATTTGCATCTCGTTATTGGGCCGTGAGAAATAGCAGCCTGACCCTCAGTTTGGTCTGGGAACAAATTGACCTATGTTAACTTGTTTTTACTGTCTAACTATGAGACTTTATGTTTGAACCTGAAAGTTCCCTTGCAAATAATTCCACTGAGGAATTAATGGCTTATTTCAAAATACTCAGTATTCTCATTGCGTGTTTTCTTTTGCTCTTTGGTCAGAGTAAATAGATTGAGATCTTATCAGATAATCACAGTAGTAATATTATAATCTCTGGGAAGGCTATAAAAACAATTAAAGGATAATGAAAGATTTAAAAAAATTATAGCAGGTTTTTTGGCAGTAGAAGAATTTTAACTAATATGAAAAGTATGTGGATTAAACTTGTTTTTCTCAGTTTTGGTGTGAAAGTCCCTTTTCCTTGTGTCAGGGTATGACATTCTAAAATAAAGTTAATTTTGGCATCTTCCCCCTTATTTTGATGTACGTGGGGGTAGTTTGGTAGTTAGGCAGATACTCATCTCTTTAACGTAAAATTGTTTGCCTCCCTTGTGCTGAAGCTGTTTGCCTCAGGGAATACTTAGGTTGGAAACTTATAAGAGAAATATCTGGCCTTTTATAGCCTTTTTTTTTACAGGGCTCCCATCCAAGAACCACCTGGAACCACTGATTTACTTGAAAAACATTCAGTATTATTAGCTACAGTCTAAAGAAAAAGAAAAACAGAAAGATCCCCAAAGGGGCAAATTCCAGAGACCCTAACTCAGATGGAAGGCTGCCATTGTTTATTTACCAAAAAAGTTTGTTAAGCAAATGAATACAGTCAGAAGCTTAAACTTCAGGTATGTCTCAAATTTACATGTGTACATAAATCACGTGAGCATCTGCTTGTTAAAAATGCAGATTCTCATTGCATTTTAACAAGGTTTTTTTTTTTTAAGTTGTGTTTGGGGTAGGACCCAAGAATTTGCCTAACAAGGTTCCAGGTGCGACTGCTGCTGCTGGTCGTGGACCACACTTTGCGCAGCAAGGTCTTCTCATGATTCATTTGTTTGTAAACAGCACCAAAAAAAAAAAAAAAAAAAAAAAAAAGCCTCGGTGACTCACAAGAGCAGGCCAGGCCAGTTGACATGAATAGCAGTACTTTATTTACCAAAACCGGTTACATTAGTGCAAGTAACTGCTTTAATTTTCAGATCATTGAAAATTTCTGTGATTCAGATTGGTTTAAATGGACTGTGAAAAACCCTGCGTTAGGACCTCCAGGCTTTATCTTTTGAAAACTGATACCTAGGTTTTACTAAGAGACTCCCGCCCCACTTCTCCTCCGTGTCTGTTTTGAGAACCTCTTGATGACAGAGTTGGCCCAACTGCCTGTGGTTGGTACCCTCTCTTCTAAAGAGTGAGTGGGAGAGAGCAGTTCACATTGAGGTTTCCTACCTATCAGTGTTCTCCTCCTTTTCACTGGGGAAAACACATAATTCTATATTACTGTTTCACTAAGACTTCCTACATCCAACTGTGCATTTGGACACACCGATACACCAACGTTCTCATACTCATTCACACACACAACCATGGGAATTTAGCAAATTGAATTAGAAATGAGAAGAATAGCATGTAGAAAAGGAGAGTCCTTCAACAGAAAGCCACCAAAAGAGGTCATATAGTACAATCCCTTGCCTCCCAGTTAGCAGGACAGAGCCTTAACTCGTGAGATTGGCTGCAAGTGTTGCTTTGTCTTTGCAGTCCAAAGTAGCACTACCCAATTGAACTGGAATATGAGCCACATATTTTTTTTGAGACAGGGTCTCACTCTGTTGCCCAGGCTGGAGTGCAGTGGCGTGATCTCGGCTCACTGCCACCTCCGCCTCCCTGTGTTGGGATTACAGGCATGAGCCACTACCCCTGGCCTCCATTGACTTTTATATTAACATTTTCTCCCTCCTTACCTCCCTTTCTTCCCCCATTCCCCAGAACTAAAAATCATAACTTTGTCTATCAGAGGACTTCTTTAATTTTTTATCTTATTTAGATGAAGATTATTTATAATTTTAAAACATTCCATTAGCTAAGCATTTAATATTACTTTTGTGGAAAGTTACATGAAAGTGGGACTCCCCTAGAGAATTGATGATATATCATCACTGTAAATAGAGATGATGCTCTCGTTCCACTGTGCCAAGCCCTGATCCATATGCTCATGACCTAAATGGCAGGAGAGAGGATTAGTTGTGTTCAGGAAGGATGTCTAGAGTTATCACTTGCTAATTTTCCCCTTTATTTATTTTTATTTTTTAATACTCTTGTCTTTTTCTTTTTCTTTTTTTTTTTTTTGAGACAGAGTCTTGCTCCATCACCCAGGCTGAAGTGCACTGGCATGATCTTGGCTCATTGCAACCTCTGCCTCCTGGGTTCAAGCCATTCTTGTGCCTCAGCCTCATGAGTAGCTGGGATTACAGGTGTGCACCACCAGGCCCAGCTAATTTTTGTATTTTTTTTGGGTAGAGATGTGGTTTCCTCATGTTGGCCAAGCTGGTCTTGAACTCCTGACTTTAAGTGATCTCCCTGCCTCAGCCTCCCAAGGTGCTGGGATTATAGACGTGAGCCACCACGCCTGGCCTTGTTTGATTATTATTATTATTGCTTATATCTGTAATGTATAAGTAAGTGCCCCAGGTAGATACTCATGTCCATGGAGGGCAGGTGAAGGTTCCAACGAAGGCCAGGGAATGAAGGGATTGTCACCATGGGCCTAGTTGTGACTGTGATGGTCAGGACATATTGGTTTTAAAATGTGGTGATGATAATAACAGTAGCAGTTAGCTTTCACTGAGGTTTAACTAGCTGTCTGGTATTCTTTTAAGTGCTTTCAGTGTGTGAACTCACTTATCCTCACAATGACCCTGTTACTGCTGTTAGTGCCCTCATTTTCCAGATGAGGAAACAGGCTCAGAGAGTTGAAGTAAATTCTCTGGAGTCATATAGCTTGAAAATGGCTTAGGTAGGGTTCAAGCCCAGACAATCTACATGGAAACCAGTGTTCCATTCCCTTGCTTATCTCTGAAGGCACTTGAATCTTTGCCAGTTTTACGAATATGAGGAGACCAGAACCTTCTTAGTGGCTTATCTTATAATTACCCTTGTTAGCAAATTATTCTAATATTAAGATCCTAAAAGGGCATACATTTCATATTTTTTAACATTTCAGAGGTAGGAAACAGTTGGAATAGGTTTGGCTTCCAGTATTTCAAAATTTTAAATATAAATATAGTGGAAACCTAATTCATATCCAACCAGTTGACATCACATTTTTGTATTCATATAATTCTCAGGAGAAAGACGGAAATGATAAGAAGCAAGCTACTATTGATTTAATCTAAGAATAACCTTGCAGGTATATCTTTGGCTCAGTCTACACACTGAGCTCAATTTCTCGTATTTTGTACATACGTCATTCTAAGGAGTGATCCCTGATGTTTGCAGTGGTAACCCAAAGGCTCTGTAAGATTTATTATCAAAGTTTAAAAAAAAATGTTTACCATTCTCTACTAAGGCGGAAATGTGAATATATACATCAAAGAAATTTTTTTTCTATTGTGTTGATGGGAAAAAAGGCCTTGTTGCTGTAACTCTAGTTTCTAGAAAATTCAGTAAAGCTGAAGTTCCCATGTGAACATTTTGGCTGGGCTAAGTTCTTCTGTATAAACCATGTCTTGGTTTGTTTCATTGTAGACACTATGTCCCCAAACTGCTTATCTTTATTCATATATCTCATCTCTGCCAGTAGGTATTTTTTGCTGCTCCCTCAAATTTTCTGCATTTTTCTTATAGAGTAAACCCTGCTAAAGCAAATAATTATTTTGACACTTGTTAAAATAGTAATGAAGACTATTCAGGACTATTGCAAGAGGTGTCAAGTCTATTGCAACAGGGGAGAAAGATTAGGCCCAACTCTAAATACAGCAAAGATAGCTGGAGATTTATAGCCAGTGAGGAGAATGAGGGGGTCAGTGGATGGAAAATTATGAAGAGGAGACATCACGAGCAGGGAAATTCTTGTTAAACCAACTTGACAGGATTCTTGTGGAAGGCAGGCCAAGGTGATCAGGATGGGGATTCTTTCTAAAGTGACTTAGCAGGATTCTTGCTACAACTGGACTAGACAGGCTTGTCGAGGACAGGATGGGGGTGGGAGGCTGGGAGGAGGGTAAGGGCAAGACGTACTTGAGAAGAGGGCTCAGAGGAGCCTGACTAAACTTTGGTCAAGGAGAGAGTCTTTGTCAGCTCTCAGATCAAAGCTAAAGTCACTGATCTCCTGTCATATATTAAAACATTCTATATGCAGAAGGTTAATCTAGTTAAAGCAGAGCAAATCTATTACACTTCAGATTCAGATTTTATTAAGTGAAGAACTAAAACTTGACTCCCTATGTAGAACAATTCACTAATTTCTCCTGCACTCTAGCAGCTATTCTATTTCTCTTTAAAGACATTGTTCATGTCCCCAAGTAATGCCATGGATGCCCTAAAATATCTTCCATTTTTTCTGAGCTGCTCTCTGCCTGAGCAATTCCAGTAGTAATTCTTATCCTAAGAAAAGAATTCTCCTCCCACCCCATACTGCTACATCTGGTGTTGAAGACTTAAATACCCACGTGGGTCCAATTGCAGTGGCGGAGTTTGAACTTGCAACCTCAATACACTAGAAGTTCACCTCATTAGTGAGCTAAGATAATTGAATTGATGTACTGCCATTAATATTCTTTAAGTTCTCCAATTCCCTCGCTCACTGT
The DNA here is from genome assembly GCF_000001405.40 of Homo sapiens. Classification (NCBI taxonomy): domain Eukaryota; kingdom Metazoa; phylum Chordata; class Mammalia; order Primates; family Hominidae; genus Homo; species Homo sapiens. Next base: position 22,122,070 of record NC_000023.11, read on the forward strand.
TTCTCTCAGTGGTTGAGTAAATGAGATGTAACTATAACGTTGATGGCAGAAGTCACATGAAACTCAGTGTCATGCATTATAGCATTGCCCTTATACTGAGGAGTTTTTCGTTCCTTGCAAATTCAGCTGCTCACAAAGGTTGTTCTCAGTAAAGCCACTGTACAGATAAAGACAATGGTCCCTTCATCACAAATTGTGAAAGAAAGGATATTCTCTTTGGCTACTAAATGCCCGTTTCTGTTTGTCTAGTAAGTGGTGTTGGTTATTATTATCAAGATCACTTTCCAGAGAAACTTTGCTGAAGACCTGTCCAAATTAAGGCAAACCATGATGATTTGGTTTTTTAAGGGCTTTTTAATATATTTATAAAATATTGACCTAATATAGAAATTACATCTGATTTTCTGCAAAGTTGCATTGATAGCTCATAGCCCAGCTCTGCTCTTACCAACATGGGCAAATCAGTTAACTTCTTTGAGCTTGTTTTCCTGTTATAAATGATGCAAGAGTTTCTGTTGCTTTGGTAATGCTGTGTAACAATCAATCACAAAGCCTCACTGGCATTTGACAATAAGCAGTTACTGCTGATGCATCTGGAGTCAGTGGTGGGCCCCCATGCAGCTCTGTTGATTTTGGCCAGGCTGGCTTGAATTTCTGGGGGTTGGCTGATCAAGGTTGGCTTTGGCAGAGGTGATTGGAATGACTCGGCTCTGCTTCATGTGTCCTGCTTCCTTCAGCCGGCTAGCCTGTGCATGTTCTCATGGTGATGGCAGAAGTTCAAGCAAGCAAGTAGAAACATGTGAGGTCTCCTGAGACCTAGGCTCAGGACAGGCATAATGTAATATCTGCATTTTGTTGGCCAAAGCAAGTCACAAGGCCGGTCCAGATTTACAGACTAGGGAGATAGGGTCTGCATTTTTTTTTTTTTTTTTTTTTTTGAGACAAGGTCTGGCTCTGTCCCCCAGGCTGGAGTGCAGTGGTGCGATCTCGGCTCACTGCAGCCTCTGCCTCCCAGGCTCAAGCCATCTTCCCACTTTAGCCTGCGAGTAGCTGGGACTACAGGTGTGCGCCATGATGCCCGGCTAATTTTTGTATTTTTTGTAGAGATGGGGCTTTGGCGTGTTGTCCAGGCTGGTCTTGGACTCGTGAGCTTAAGCGATCTGCCCGCCTTGGCTTCCCAAAGTGTTAGGATTACAGGTGTGAGCCACCTGTAACTCTGCATTTTTAATGAGAGGATCTGCAAAGTCACACAGTAAGGGGTGTGGATAAATGAAGGAGTATGGCATTAAAGCTGTCAGTGCTGTGTATCACAAATAGGGATAAAAGTATACCTCCTTCTTTCATTTGAGGTGAGAGTTAAATGATATAATCTATGTAGAAGGCCTAGCATAATACCTGGTACACAAAAAGTGCTCAGTGAATGTCATCTACTCTTATTGCTAATATTGCCATGCCTAATGTTAATAATTAAGATAGAATTTATAATATCAACTTCCTGGCACAGGCTGTGGCAACTTCTGCATTTAGATTGCCTCTTTTTAATTTATCATAGAGTGAGGGAGGTGCCTGGGGGGTTTTGCTGTCGCTACTCCTCCATACATGCCTAGTATAGTAGCTTTCATTGGAATAAAGATCCTTTTCATGTTAGTGCCCTGGCCACATTCCAGAACCCACCCTATCATTTAACGCCAAGTCTGGCTCATACAAGAGTCTCATGAAATTACTCATGAAATTACTCGAGGAGCCAAATATAATTTCTTTTTCTTTTTTTTTTTTTTTTGAGACCAAGTCTCGCCCTGTTGCCCAGGCTGGAGTGCAGTGGTGCGATCTTGGCTCACTGCAAGCTCTGCCTCCCGGGTTCACGCCATTTTCCCGCCTCAGCCTCCCAAGTAGCTGGGACCACAGGTGCATGCCACCTCGCCTGGCTAATTTTTTGTATTTTTAGTAGAGATGGGGTTTCACTGTGTTAGCCAGGATGGTCTCGATCTCCTGACCTCGTGATCTGCCCTCCTCAGCGTCCCAAAGTGCTGGGATTACAGGCATGAGCCACCATGCCCGGCCATGTAATTTCTAGAATAGGTCCAGATTTCATAACCCTCTGCAGGCTAAATCTTGTTACAACAAATATCATCCGGTCCCAATCGTGACAGCTCATTTATGCAATCTTCGGTCAAGTAACATCCAGCAAAACAAGTAATTTAGATAGCTCATTGGGAATTCTTTTGAAATAAGTATGAACACTTACTCTTGTCCTTGTCTTTGAGTGTGCTGCCACGACGATGACACATTGGCTCACCTTTCTTGTTTGTTTTCTCCATTTCTGGCTAGCATTGGGCAGTGTTGCCTTTGCCACATATTATCAGCCACAGTCTTGTCAAGCAGATCTGGTCAGACCTATGGAATGTGAAGACCCTTTATTAGAAATTCATTTACCTAAAGAAAACATTTATGCCTTCCAACAGATCTGAATGTTGGAAGTGACCAGACATAGTTACTTGCTGGGGAGAATTTACCCACAGCCAAAGGCTAGACTATTTGAGACTGATTGACTTGTAAATATTATTCTGGTTTCTGATCCATCCTCTCTTAAAGTTGGAAAGTGGAAAACAGGAAAAGATGAGTTATAAAATTAGAACACAGCCTATATGTTCATATCCAGCAAATAGAAATATAAATATCTACCTGAGTCTTATGAATATATACCTTTAGATAAAAGGACATGAGAAACTCCTCCTGTACCACCAGAATAACCCACTTTATAGCACCAAATAATTTGATTTTTTCTTCTTTTGCCAAAATGTTTAATAGCTATGTAACACTGCTAATCCTGACAAACTGATATGATTTATTCACTCACTTGGCTGCCAGAAACCTCAGCATTTTCTAACTATCCTTAGTTCTTCTGGTTTAACCACATGTCCCACTTCAATATAGGTCACTTTTTACTTATTTTGTTGCCATTATTTTTTATCAGGAGCCAATCCAAGGGCATTTTTATAAATAGTTATAGTATAAGTAATTAATTAATGAATATTTCATATTTATTGGTGCATTCATTTATTTAATGTCTGTGTTTCTAGTAAAGTGACAATTGCCAGAAAGAAAATTTTAAGAGTCCCCCTGAGATTAAAGCCTATTTCTTCAGGGTTATCCACATAAATTATTAACAACGATTTCCATTTTTCACATTCCACCAATCAGTGGTTACAACTCAAGAAAACTTGCCCTGTTCTAGAGCAATGAGAAGACTGGAAACATTTTAATCTCATGGTTTTTTTCCAGATATTATAACTTCTAAGTATGTTAAAGAGGAAAGCCTACTCAACATTATGCCTTTTCGTTAAGAATTTTATTAACATTAAATTAGTTTAAGGTTAATGCCCATAATCAACCTTACTGATTTTTTTTCTTTTTCCTTTCTTTTCTTTTTCAGAACTCCTAGCCTATAATTATTCCTACTAGATATGTACTATATTTTTAAACCATTCCAAGCTGTTTGTCATGTACCATGTTGACATCACCTATCTTAGAATGGACTAGGCTAACTTACAGAGTCACTTGATTTCCACTAAAGTTTGTGTTTGGTAGTAGGCTACAGTCATTCTGGAGACATTTGCTGTGAACCTTGTCCCCTAATATAACGATGGATTTTCTATTCACTGATAAGTTCTACTCATGGATTCAGGCTTTGAATTACTAAATCAGAGTAGGTCTCTCTTTTCAAAAATGACTTCACCTAAAAAGGGTACCATGCATTTTTTTTTTCCCTTTTTCAGCTTTCATGTTGTTAAATCTCATGATCATATCTGCACAGCACCATATTTTCTATGAGTGAGTTTGTTAATATTTTCTCTTTATACTATTGGAATAACTGTTATCTGTTAGCATATATGAAAGATATTTGATTCAATTTCAACTCTGCTAGGTGCCAATTGAAGGTTTCAAAAAGCATAAATTGATCAGCTTGTATTTACTGAGCATCTGCTATATTTTAGTATTAGGTATGAATGTGAGATATGGACTCGTGAAAAATCATATCACATGAGATATGAAATCATAAAACTAACAAAATTTTAAATTAGCAGAATACTTTTTTGTTTGCTTACATATTCATGATCTCATTTGATCTAAATCATGGTTCCTGTTCTCAAAGCTTATGGGTCTTGTTAGGGAGACCAAATAAATATAAATGAAAAGACAACAATTAAACACACACCTATGTATTATTCTGATTTTAAGCCTCACAGGAACTCAGAGAGGGAATTGAAAGTGTGGGTTTAAGTGTTTGGGATTCATGGGTATGAGATAGGATTTGAGTTGCCTTGTGGGATTTCTTTATTATCAGGGACAAAGCTTTGAAGAAAACTACAACCGATCATGGGGCAAACTAATCCCTCCTTAAAGCAATGTTGGCATATGTCCCTTCAAATGTATTAATAGAACCATCATGACTCATTTATGCAAAGTACAGAATTCTTATGTCTATGTGATGGGAGGAAGGGTAAGGAGAGGGCAAGAGGAGCAGGAGAGATAATTTATAATTTGCTAAGATAGGAGCATCTCATTAAAGTAAAGCCCTGGATTGAAGGGTAACAAGTGCCTATGCATATGTGACTCACCAATGTCTGGTGTCTGATGTAGAACTCTATGGGCAAAATCCTGGGGTGCAAAGAATGAAAAAGGAAGAACCTATTTTTAGATAACACTGGTTGAGGAAGAGAACTAAGAACTGCCCATAGATCAACCAAATGAACTGTATTTTTATAGTGTGGATCCATAAAATCTGAAATAGTTGTTTTTTTTTTTTTTTTTTTTTTTTTGAGACAGAGTCTTGCTCTGTCACCCAGGCTCGAGTGCAGTGGGGTGATCTCAGCTCACTGCACCCTCCACCTCCCGGGTTCAAGCGATTCTTGTGCCTCAGCCTCTCGAGTAGCTGAGATTACAGTTGCCCGCCACCATGCCTGGCTAATTTTTGTATTTTTAGTAGAGACAGGGTTTCACCATGTTGGCCAGGCTGGTCTTGAGCTCCTGACCTCAGGTGATTCGCCCACCTCGGCCTCCCAAAGTGCTGGGATTACAGGTGGGAGCCATTGCGCCCTGCCCCTGAAATAAATAGATATTTAACAAAACGTTGCTTTGCCTAGAGGGCTCTTACCCTGAATATGGCAGATTTTACCAAAATAACACTTGAGTTAATTTTTATATGTTATATTTTGACCTTTGACTGGCTCTAAATAAATATTTCCTATGGATAACTTCACCTTAAGACTTCCACTTTAAGGGATTTCTATTAATGTTATATGCTGCCTGGTTGAGGTGTGAGGTCCAAGTTTGGTGAAGAAATACTATTTCTCTATTTTTTTCTTATTTTAAAATTACAGCAGGTTTTTGACTTGACTGAAGGCAATGTTATTATGTGATGCTGTAGAGTAGTCTAAAGATAAAAATCAGAAGTGTTCAGTGATTTATCTTCCTAGTTCCAGCATGCTAAAATAATTATTTCTCTTATTTGCATTGACATGTCAACCAATGAAATTAATCACCTTCAAAGATTTTCCTTGTTCTTGAAGTCTGCTGGGGTAGTTCAACACCATTTCACAGAAAATGTTATACAATAAATCTGTAAAGTCTGCCAAAAAAAAAAAAATTGAGAACCTGAGGTGGGGGATGGTGTGGGGAGTGGAGGTGCCAGAGAAGACAAGGGCAAAGAGCAGCTGAGGCTCATGGGAAAAAAAAAGTGATTTACCCGCGTTTTGACAAATGTGAGAGGGCCACAAAGAGTGAGTTACCGAAGTGTGGATTCAGGGAAGACAGAGGTGGTGGGGGCAGGGGAGGAGGTGGAAGAAAAGGCAGAGGAGGGAGGAACTGGCATGTGAATAAACTATTTGTCATTTTTCACTCTGGCAGTGGGCTGAAATGTTTTTGCCTCTTTTTATTTTCATTTAGAATGCCAATCAATGGGTTACAGACAAAGAGCTTTGAAAACCTTTTCTTATTTATTTATTTAGAGACGGAATCTTGCTCTGTCGCCCAGGCTGGAGTGCTGTGGCGCGATCTTGGCTCACTGCAACCTCCGCCTCGCGGGTTCAAGCAATTATCCTGTCTCAGCCTCCCAAGTTGCTGAGGTTACAGGCATGTGCCACCACACCTGGCTAATTTCTTTTTTTGTATCTAGTAGAGACGGGGTTTCACCATGTTGGTCAGGCTGGTCTTGAACTCCAGACCTCAGGTGATCCAACCGCCTCAGCCTCCCAAAGTGCTGGGATTACAGGCGTGAGCCACTGCACCCGCCCTGAAAACCTTTTCAAAATGCATTAAATTTTAATGAATTTGATAGCCATTTTAATGCCTGGGAGATGCTGGACAGGGAGGGTCCTATGAAACCAAGCTGCTTAGAGAGAAGTATCTGGAAACACTCAGCCCCATTTTAATAATAGCCACATACTCCATAAAAATACCTCAAAGAGAACAGGAGCAAAATGACCTTAAGATTCATCATAGGAATCCAAAAATTCCAAAATTTGCTGAAGATCTTTTTAGCTTGGAGAGTGCTTATTTTTTTGATAATTTATTTTAAAACCTAATAAAATGTTTTGCTTTTGTACACCTTGTCCCAAATAAATATTTTCTTTGGACATATTCAACTTTTTATTATTTATTGGGTGCTTTCTATTATTGCTACATCCTGGCCAGGGTATTGAGAGGGAACCTTTTATTGTCCTCTTTGTCCCTATCTGTAAATATAGTAATCCCCCCTTATCTGAGACAGATACTTTCCAAGACCCCCCCCAACCCCCGCCCAGTGGATGAGACTGGGGATAGTACTAAACTCTATATATACTATGTTTTTCCTATGCATATATAACTATCATAAGGTTTATTTTATAAAGTAGGCACAGTAAGAGATTAACACCAATAACTAATAATAAAATAGAACAGTTATAATGATATACTGTAATAAAAGTTATGTGAATGTGGTCTCTCTTTCTCTCAAAGTATCTTATGGTATTGAACTCATGCATGTACTTCCTATGATCTGTCTGATAACCAAGATAGCTAGCAAGTGACTATTGGGTGCGTATATACAGGGTGGAGATGCTGGACAAACGAAGGGTGATTCACATCCCGGGCCAGACAGGCTGGGATGGCATGAAACTTCATCACACTAATCAGAATGGTGTGCAATTTAAAATTTGTGAATTGTTTATTTCTGGAATTTTCCATTTAATATTTTCAGAACACAGTTGCCCATAGGTAACTGAAACTATGGAAAGCAAAATCGTGAATAAGGGGGTACTACTGTACTTCTCTTCCTAGTAATATGTTCATGCTGCCAGGATGCACATAGCCATGTGCGAAGAAATATAATTTTTTAGATAAACCTCCCTTTAAGCAGAAGGTCTCAATCCTATTTCATGGAGAAAAGACCCACGTTTATACTAGGACTCTCTCAACCTTCTACATCTAATCTTTAGATTCTTCTGCATGCCTGCCTATCATTTTAATCTTCTCTCCTCTCATAAGTCTGTCTCATATCTAAGGTGAATCCTTCCATATAGTCTCTGGATCCCATCACCTCCTTTGCCCTCTGAGACACCACTCATGGCTTGCTTTGTCCCATATTTTCAGTCTCTTCCTTTTCGCTGGATCCTTTCTATTGGTATTTAAACATAGTCAAATCTCTCAGCTTTTCAACAACAACAAAAACAGTAGGAACAGCATTAGCAAGCATATGCATGAAACCCAAACTCCAAACCCTCAGACCCTTCCCTTAACCCTACCTCTACTTCTCTCCTATCTTTGCTTTTTCTCCTTCATAGACAAACTCAATTAATTTGTCCAGACTTGCTGTCTTCGCTTCCCACACACTCTTCATCCCACTAGTTTGGCTTCTGTCCCCATCCCTCTTTTTCTTCCAATTTTCTCAGTCTTATTGAATGACGGTGTTTGCCAATATCTTTCTGAAGCCTAGGAATGAATCTGACTCTCTCTACGTTCCTCACTTTCCCACATAAAATGAGTCACCTGTTTCCATTGGTTTGGTCTCTAAATCTCTCCTTTGAGTCCACCCACTTCTTTCCCTCCCCATTGCCCCTCCCTAATTTGGGAAGATATAATTTCTTTTTCTCTGTGAACGTGATGGGCCAGCCAATGCATGTTGCTACATGATGAGTCCCTAAAGACTTAGGGCCAGGTGTGGTGGCTCACGCCTGTAATCCCAGCACTTTGGGAGACTGAGGCGGGTGGATCACCTGAGCTCGGAGGTTCGAGACTAGCCTGGGCAATATGGTGAAAGCCCGTCTCTACTAAAAATACACAAAAATTAGCTGGGCATGGTGGTGCATGTCTGTGATCCCAGCTACTTAGGAGGCTGAGGCAGAAGAATCGCTTGAACCTGGGAGGTGGAGGTTACAGTGAGCAGTGAGCCAAGATCATGCCACTGCACTCCAGCCTGGGCGACACAGTCAGACTCATTCTCAAAAAAAAAAAAAAAAAAAAAAAACTTAGGCATGCTGATAGGCAAAAGATCTAGTCCCCGGAGATTTCCTTGTCATTTTAACATCCTCCTGATGTGGGTTTTCTGTTTGAAATTGTGACTTATGCATCTCTCAGTTGATTCCCTTTCACTCCCTGGCATTTCTCTCTGATTTTGGGAGGGATCCTCTGTTGTTACTAGAGGCTCTGAGCTCTCCACTGTTATTTTAGCTCTTTGGTCAGGTCCTGGCTCTGGTCCTCATTAGCTGTGTCAGCTTGAGCAGATCATAGACTCCTTGACCCTTAATTTCCTTATCTGTCAAATAAATGGTTTCCCCTGGTCTAGTGGGTCTCAGCCCTGACTGCACATTAGAATTACCTGGGGAACTTTTTAAACCCTCCCAATGCCCAGGCTGGACCTCAGAACAATGATACTAGCATCCCGATGCCCACGACGCAGGATTTTTTATTTTATTTAGAAATTTTTTGTCAGTATTATTTTTTTTTTCTTTTGAGACTGAGTCTCGCTCTGTCACCCAGACTGGAGTGCAGTGGTGTAATCTCAGCTCACTGTGACCTCTGCCTCCCGAGTTCCAGTGATTCTCCTGCCTCAGCCTCCTGAGTAGCTGGGATTACAGGCGCCTGCTACTACACCCAGCTAATTTTTTGTATTTTTAGTAGAGACGGGGTTTCACCATGTTGGCCAGGCTGGTCTCGAACTCCTGACCTCAAGTAATCTGCCCGCCTCAGCCTCCCAAAGTGCTGGGATTACAGGTATGAGCCCCTGCGGCCAGCTCTCAGTATTTTTTAAAGTTCCTCCAAAGATTCTAATGGGCAGACAAAGTTAAGAACCACCGACTTAATGATTTTTAAAGGACCTTTTGCTCTTTGCTCTTCTAGCAGTTTGTGTTTTATCCCAAGTTGAAGTTTCTCTTCTTTTAATGTTTTTACCAAGTTGGGAAGAAATAGCTGTGAAGCTCCCCCGACCCCCTTCCATCTGCTGTTTGTTCTTATTTACATATGATGGAACCCAGCCCACTGATTTATAGCTCTGGTTCCCTCACAACTGTTATTGAACTGAAAACATAGCTGAAAACTTATTAAACAGAAAAAACTTATTTTGAGCTTCATGCTGACAATTTATTATAGAACCAAGGAAACATTTCAACGTCTTTCCTTCTAGAGTTAATGTTAACAATTGATTTACAACCCCATGCTCTCAAATGAAAAAGTTCATTCTGGGGCCAAACCCAGTGTTTTTTTTTTCTTGGGTGTCCCATTGAGAAAGCCAAAGCATCTCTGCAGGAGAACTGGATTTCGAGGGGTTTGTATCCATGAACAGGCAGGGCCTCCTCACATTGCTGCCGGTGGCCTCTAATGTGACGTGTCAGTAGCCCCTTTCCTCCAGTCCTCTCTTCTGGTCCACAGACACCGGCAGCAAAGCCAGGCACGTACATCCTCACTATGGGTGTGGCCTCACTGTTCAAATGCTTTGCGATAGGTCTTTCAGAAGTCCACCTTTCGGTAGCAGCCCCCTTTAGACCTACCATTTTATTTTATTATTATTTTTTTAGAGACAAGGTCTCACTCTGTCACCCAGGCTGAAGTATAGTGGTACAGTCATAGCTTACTGCAGCCTCAAACTCCTGAGCTCAAGTGATCTTCCTGCCTCAGCCTCCTGAGTACCTAGGACTACAGGTGCAGGCGCCACCATGCCTGGCCTTTAAAAAATAATTTTGTTTTTATAGAGATGAGGTCCTCTTGTGTTGCCCAGGCTGGTCTCGAACTCCTGGCCTCAAGCAATCCTCCTGCTTCGGCCTTCCAAAGTCCTGAGATTATAGGGGTGAGCCACTGCCCCTGGCCTATACCTACCCTTTTAAATTGGAAATAACAAGACTTTTCTGAGCTGCCAAGGAGTAGAGAGGAGAGTAGGAAGATGATATAGAAGAGCCGAACATTTAGTTTAACCCACGGAACTAAATCTGGAAAGAACTGGGGTCCTGACATAAGTGTGATTCATATTGGTGAAGTGTCCTTTGGGGTGCTAAGTCTCCCTGCCCGTTTCTCTGTGTTAACAGTTATCTCTTTCAACTGTTCACTTTCTTCTGCAATACCTATCTGAAATGCACAGCCCATGCCTTTCCTGTCTCTCTCAGTCCTTTATTAAATGATTAAAATTAGTTGGCACCTTGATAAGGATGAACTAGTTTAGTAGCTACAGACAGGTAAGTTATTGGTTTGTCATAATCTATGGTGAATTCCTATCCCTGTATACCCGTATAATTCATTTTATAGCTGGGCCACCACATTATTCTCATGGAAAGAAATGGTTTTTTTTTTTTAATGTTTTTTATTTTTTGGAGACAGGGTCTTGCTTTGTTGCCCAGGCTGGAGTACAGTGGTGCAGTCATGGCTCACTGCAACCTCCACCTCTTGGGCTCAAGCAATCCTCTCACTTCAGCCTCCTGAGTAGCTGGGACTAAGGCATTTGCCTCTACACCAAGCTAATTTTTATATTTTTTGTAGAGATGGGGTTTTGCCATGTTGCCCATGTTGGTCTTGAACTCCTGGGCTCAAGGGATCTGCTCATCTCAGCCTCCCAAAGTCCTGGGATTACAGGCATGAGCCACCATGCCCAGCTAATTTTTATATTTTTGGTAGAGATGGGGTTTCACCATGTTGTCCGCGCTGGTCTCAAACTCCTGGGCTCAAGTGATCCACCTGCCTTGGCCTCCCAAATTGTTGGGATTACAGGCATGAGCCACCATGCTGGGCCTGGTTAGTTATCTTTTAGTGGTGGAAAAAAGGGAATTTTCCTGGAAAAAGAAGTGTTGCCAGAGCATGGAGTCAAGCTGAAAGAACCCCTTACTTACCATGTTGAGTAAAGAGTCATTTCTCATGCAAGCCAATTTTGTTCCAGAAAACCTCGACTGAAGCTTCTTGGCTTTGACGTTCCCTCTTTGGGTATTTTCTTGTAGATGGAGGAATTGGTTGAGGGCGTTCGCTGGGCCTTTATTGACATGCTAGAGAAAGAAAATGAGTGGATGGATGCAGGAACGAAAAGGAAAGCCAAAGAAAAGGTAAGGATTCCTTTTGATGAAAAAAAAATAAGACTTCTGGTTTAATGGATGTTCATGCTTGACATTGACTGTGTAGTTGGTTTTTATATTGACTGAACTGTTGACTCTGAATGACCCCAGAGTTAGCTGTCTGCTTTTGGATGAATACATAGATTTTTGTTTCACCAGGAGGTAAGAGAAAATAATACCTGAATTTTTCGAACTGCATTTTCAAATACCTTGTAATTCGGCCTTTCCTTTCTCCTAATTGCTGTCTGTAAGAGGCACATGGCTTGCTGCCTGGTGAATTGTGTCATAAACCATCACTGGATATGGCAGAATGCAGAGCAGTGGGGAGTCACAGGGAGCAGCTGGAACAAGAGCCCCTAAGACACCAAAACGAAGAAAACCCATATTGGCCACATGTCCTTCTGCTCTGTGCATGATGCATGCAAATGTCCTGGGGCAAATCCTTTCCTGTAACCAAGCATATCTCCTTCCCGACCCATCATTTGGCACAAATGACCCAAATAGTATACTGATAAACTGCAGACCAGTGTTCTACCATTGCTTAGGACTACAAACGTATTTCCTAATAGAAGTGGACACTTGCTGGGCCTTGTAAAATTTTCTGATACTATGCGACACGATAAGGGAACAAAGGAGAAAAGTATTGACAGCCATGCTGTTTAAAAGTAGAAAACGGGCTGGGTGCAGTGGCTCACGCCTGTAATACCAGGACTTTGGGAGGCTGAGGCAGGTGGATCACTTGAGGTCAGGAGTTTGAGATCAGCCTGGCCAACATGGCAAAACCCCATCTCTGCTAAAAATACAAAAAAATTAGTCGGGTGTGGTGGCATGCATCTGTAGTCCCAGCTACTCGGGAGGCTGAGGCAGGAGAATCGCTTGAGCCTGGGAGGCGGAGGTTGCAGTGAGTTGAGATCGTGCCACTGCACTCCAGCCTGGGTGACAGAGCGAGACTCCATCTCTGAATAAATGAATGAATGAATGGGATCCATTTTGAATTCCAGAGATTCTGATAGAGCTGGAATTCAAGTGGGTGGAGCATACCTGCTAGACTCTTGATGGATGCTTCTCTGCAGCTGAGCATTTCTTGTATCTAGAGGTATTTTTGAAAGCTTCCTGAGTATAACAATCACCTGGGTTGCCTGGACGCTCTGGCTTTCTGGGCCCCTTCCCAGCAAGGCCTGGGTTAATGGATCATGGATGCAGGCTGAACAGCTGTCACTTTAGCCAGTCTCCGGGTGATTGTTATCACTAGGCAGGTCTGGGGAAACACTGCCTGGAGTCATACTGAGTCATACTGAGCACAAATATTTTTGCCTCAGCGTTCTGGGAATGCTTAACCTTGTTGAAATGAGAACACGTAGAGTTTTAGCAAGGATATTTTCTAGTGCTTTAAACTCATGGTACTGGAGATGGATAAACATTGCCATAGATACTTTTGTCAGTAGATGTGAAAAGGCGTTTGTTCAGTGTTTATAATGAAGGAAGAACTGGGATGGTGGGTGGCAAGGCAGCGTTGGAGGAAGACAAAGAGTAGGTTTGATTTTTTGTTTCCCCTTCAAAAATCTGTCAAAGCTGTCCTCAGTCACATAAGGCACAGGCTGATGAAGGCAAGAGCACATGGGCTGTGATGGGAAACTCTCCAGATGGTAGACAACTTTCAACACCAACATATTGTTGTTTTATGAAGGCTTCATTTATTTGCTGAGCTAGCTTGTGGTATGTGGAACAGGATGTGTCTTGCCCTGGGCAGTTGAGCGCTTAGTGTATTAAGGGCTCTTTATCCTCGCCTGACCCCACATGAACCGAAGAGGTGCTTGCATGAATTAGTACAGGACCACCAGGGTGGAGGGTGGGGTGGAGTGTGTGTGTATGTATAGGTGTTGGGGGTAATGTGTTATGAATAGCTGGATGCCAGGGGAATGTTCTGGGAAGTGCAGTCAGTTCTTTGAGCAGTGTGGATTGCAGTTGCCTCAGGGAGCTCTTCTGAGTGGCATAAGGGAGTGGGTGCCTCACAGTTGGCCCTTCTCGGCAAGTGGCCCATGGGTCCTTCTTGAAGCAGGACTATTCTCAGTTCTTCTAATATTAGACATGTTCCTGTTTGCCTCCCGAGTTGCTCTCCAGTCTTCTATTTTATTTCAATGAGAGCTGTCAGTTTTTCTTCTAAAAGCGTTCTTTGAACACTCTGCTTTCTTTGAGCTGAGTTCAACCTGCCAGGAACTCTGCTAGTTCCACGACAGGTACAAATATCAAAGGCAAATTGGATCTCACAAAGTTCCCCGACTGTATCTTGCATTTCAGAGTTCAGAGAAGTTTCTTTAACGAAATGCAAGAAAGATGGATGTTGTTGAAGCAATTTCAGCAGTTCTTTGAAGTGGGTCCTTTCCTGGACCCCAGAAGATGTAAATTTTTTTTTTTTTTTTCCCCTCAAAATTAAATGAACATGCAGTTCTTAAAATGACCTCTGGGTGGAGCTCGTGGTACTCACAAAGAACACTAGCGGCGTTGAAAGCTTTTATGCAGCTTTCTACTCCGGCGTTGTTTTTGAAAAAAAAAAAATTTCTTGCCCTTTTTCTCTGCTGTCCTCGATTTGATTGCCTTTTAATAGTCAACAAGAAAGGAGAGACTTTGCCTAATAATTCCTTGAATCTTAGATGGAAATCTCCCACTATCTTAGGGTTTTGTCTTTCTGATACTGAGTAGCCCCTGCATTAAGAAAGGATTTGCCTGCATTTGAAGTGGAGGTGAATAACTCGCCTGCTCTTCCTGGTATGACTTGGCACTGTTCTTTGGGCATGTGTTGTATGCAGTGTATCACCCAGGCGGAAGATTTCTCATCAATAATAGTGCCCACACTGGGCCAATGCTGAGTCACTTGGCAACCCATTGGGAAAGCTGGAAAAATGTTCTGATTTGTGAAAGGGAGAAGCTTTTCTTTCCCTCACCATGAAGCTCTGGACCGCAGCTAATTACAGAGCCTCCTAAGAAGTGTTAACCTCAGCATTCCATAGTGACCGACCTCCTGAACCGGGCAGGTACAGAAAGCTGCAGTGTTCTGAGGCCTAATACCTTGGCTTTTGTAGCAATGACCTCGTCTCAAAATGGAAGTGTGTGGATGTGGCTTTGTTGTACTCTTTGCTAGGGGTGTTCACTGTAAAAGATAAATGAGGATGCCTCTGCTCCCGTGAAGGGTAAATTTGTTTTCTCTGTCTCCCTGCCTTTTCCTGCTCATCTCTTAAGAGGTCACGAGTAGTTTTTGTATTGTGAAACTGATGGTGTAGGTTTCAAGTGGAAATTTAGTATCGTGAAATAAGCACCGCTTTTTGTTTAGGATTCTCTGTTCCCTGCAAGCATGTGCTCTTATTGTAAATAAGCAGCAAAGGACAGGGCATCTGTTATTTTTCTGGTGACCACAGCTGTTGAATGAGTGTCAGGTGATAAAATAATGATTTTAGGGGTGTCTTCTGGAGGATTTGCCCTTGCCAGAGTAGAAGAGGAGGATCTCAAGGTCGCTACATCAGGATTCTGACTGAGACCTGGCAGGAGAGCGTCAGATCAGGAGGAGCAACTTCCTGAGCTTGGCTTATCTCCAGCTGGATTTGACTATATAGCCAAAAAGCTGGATCCCTTCGGAATTATTTGTTTGTTTGTGCTCTTTGCCCCTGGGACCTAAGTTTGTCAGGTCACATCCAAAGAAAAATAGCAGGATGGGACTCACAGGGAGGTGGCATCCTAATGATGCTCTGAGGGAGTGGCCTTAACCTTGGCCACAGCAGGTGCAGAGAAGTCGGCTGAATGGTCCTAAATTTATTGGCATGTGACTCTCACACACAGGCTTTGAGTGAGGTGGTGAGAGTT